>NC_000002.12:239887891-240215839 GCF_000001405.40 Homo sapiens
TTTACAACAGTCAAAAGGTGGAAGGAGCAATGCATCTCAGCTAATAAATGAATAAACAAAATGTGATATACCCATACAATGGAGTGCTGTTTGGCCACGGAAAGGAAAGAAGTACTAACACGACACGGGTGAACCTTGAAAACATCATGCTAAGCAAAAAACAATCCACTCCCAAAGGAATATCCATAAGTAGATTAGCAGTTGCTTAGTGAGGGGAGGGGAAAATAGTGAGGTCGATACTAAAGGGCATAGGATTTCTTACAATTTTCTAGAAATGGGTGATGGTTGCTGCTATGCTTTGAATGTTTGTCTGCTCCACAATTCATGTTGAAAATTAACTGCCAATGTAATGGTTTGGGTGGTGGGGCCTTTAAGAGGTGATTAGGTCACAAGCATGTCCCCTCATGGGTGAGTGTGACGCCTTAATAAAAGGTATTTCAGAAGTGAGTTCTCTCCCGGCTCTTTCACTCTTCTGCCATGTGAGAACAGTGTTTCTCTCCTCTGGAAGACACAGTGTTCAAGGCACCAACCTGGAAGCACAGACTGGGGCCCTCACCAGATATCAAGGCTGACAGCACCTTGAAACTGAACTTTCCAGCCTCCAGAACTGTCAGCTGGTAAAGTTCTGTCCATTATAAATTATCCAGCCTGTGGTACTTTGTTACAGCAGCACAAAAAGACGAAGACAGTTGCATTTATCTCTGAATGTGTTAAGAACCATTGAGTTGGACACTTAAATAAAACATACAAAAAGAGCCCTCATGCCTGTAATCCCAGCACTTTGGGAGGCTGAGGCGGGCAGATCACCTGAGATCAGGAGTTCGAGACTAGCCTGACCAATGTGGTGAAACCCCATCTCTACTAAAAATACAAAATGAGCTGGGTGTGGTGACACATGCCTGTAATCCCAGCTACTCAAGAGGCTGAGGCAGAAGAATCGCTTGAACCCAGAAGGTGGAGGTTGCAGTGAGCCAAGATCACACCACTGCACTCCAGCCTGGGTGACAAGAGTGAAACTCTGACTCAAAAAAAAAAAAGAGTTAGCCTAATGAGCACAGCAACACATCAATGGGAAAATAACTTATGCCTGAAAAAAATTTAAAAAGCTTATCGAGATTCCTACAATGAAACAGAGGAGAATGGAAAGTAACCGTAGAAACATGAGATTAGCCTGGGTAGCAAACAATAATACCCATCAGGTGCTGAGCATTGGCTGTAATTTGGTCTGGAATTCTGATAACCCTAGCAAAGATCAAAACATGCCCAGCTCCATCTCACCCAAAGGCTGGATGATCCTGGCTTCACAGGACACCCATTTAAAAGACAGCCCATTCACCCACCCACTGGATGGCTGGAATCTCAGTAATGTCTGACCTGGCCTCACACTGGACGTGTCTGCCTGGCCCTGAACGCCTGCTGGAAGGATCCCAACCCTGACTCCTGCCTTGTCTCACCTTCCTTAGGGTCAGAATCCTGCGCCTCAAACACTGAAAGTATAGCTTTCTCCGGTGGACTCTGGCAGGACAAATCAGAGCCCCTACCCCTCGCACCATTAGCAGCCTCTGGCAGAAATCCCCCGGTCCCACTCCATCCCCACAGTGACCCATAAGGGCTCCTTCCCCAAGCAGGAGTGGGAAATGGCAGGATTTGGGCACCCACCCTTCTCAGTAAGGGCTTGATCAGATGCACCTCACACACTTGCTTAGATAACTTGCAGAATTTCTGCAGCTTGTCTTGAGTTTATTTTGGCTCAAATCATTATATTAACTTGCAAATAATAGCAATGGAGAACACAGGCTTGGGCTGGGGCCAGCTCCCCACTGATGTCCCCACAGTGGACACAGGAAAAACAAGCCTTCATCTCTCCCAGGTCAAAAACATTAAAGCATGAGCAGATGGAATCCTAATAGGAGTTGTCAATCTGAGCCTTTGGGGATTTGCTGATGGTGACATCCCAAGGTCAGGGGCAGGAACCAGGGTCCAGGAGAAGCTGTCCGTCCTGTGTTCCAAGCCAGCACGGGCTCTGCTGAAGCAGATGGGAGGGCAAGACGGCTGCAGTCACAGCTGCCCTGGGCCTGGCTGCCCTCTCCAATGTGCTAGCCAACAGGGAGCGGGCGGCGCAGACAGCCTGGAGAGAGTGGGGCCGCAGCTTCCCATTCGGAATACGAAAGGAAAGGCCTGATGCAGCTGCCTTCAGATGGATAGAGGCCAAAAAGATGGTCTTAGGACATAAAGCAAGACAAGTCACTTCCAATCGGGGTCATTCAACAGCCATGTCTACAAGAATTAATTTGTGAATTAAACAAACGTTACTGTTAGAAAAATGAACTGGAAGAGAATGTTACATTTGCATAAGAAGAATGGAAGAAAGGGGCACTTCTGTGGAAGATGGAGGATTTGACACTGAGAACTAGCATGCGCCTTGTGATTTCAGTGAATCATGGTAAAAAGGAGATGTTGGAATTCACTGAGAATGATGACAAGGCTGCGGAAAAAGATGATAAGCTGACACCCGGGCAGCTGAAATACAGTCAGTGGGCGAGCAGGATCACAGCTCTGATTTGGAGGAACAAGCGGATGTTGCATTACTTCTAAAACCACCTAGTGTTTAACAGCCATGCCGAACCCCACTGCATTTAAATAAAGCAGAGGGATGAAGCCATAGCAGAACTTTGGGGTATCCCTGCTCCTCTCTTGCTCCTGGTGCTCACAAGCAAACAGGTGGCTTGGCAAATGTGTTTGTTTAGGACACCTGGCCTCCTCTGTAGCCCACTGCGACGCCTACGGTCTCTGTTGACTCAAGGTGTCTCTCTAGGTCAGAGCTTTTAGACTCCAGAGTTGATCTGGAACACCTCAGAGTGGAGAAGTTTTGCTGAGTTCTCATTTAACATTTTAAAAAAGCAGTAACACATGTTTGATTGTTGCTTATAAGATAAATACACAATTTTTTTTTTTTTTTGAGACGGAGTCTAGTTCTGTCACCCAGGCTGGAGTGCAGCGGTGCGATCTCGGCTCACTGCAAGCTCCACCTCCCGCGTTCATGCCATTCTCCTGCCTCAGCCTCCTGAGTAGCTGGGACCACAGGCACCTGCCACCACGCCTGGCTAATTTTTTGTATTTTTAGTAGAGTTCCTGGCCAGGCATGGTGGCTCATGCCTGTAATCCCAGCACTTTGAGAGGCCAAGGCAGGTGGATCACCTGAGGTCAGGAGTTTGAGATCGGCCTGGCCAACGTGGTGAAATCCCATCTCTACTAAAAATACAAAAATTAACCAGGCGTGGTGGTGGGTGCCTGTAATCCCAGCTACTGGGGAGACTGAGGCAGGAGAATTGCTTGAACCCGGGAGGCGGAGGTTGCCGTGAGTCGAGATCCCGCCATTGCACTCCAGCCTGAATGAGTGAAACTGTCTCAAAAGAAAAAAAAAAAAAAGATATTCCTGATCCATCACAATGTGTGGCCCCACAGTCAGCCCTCACATGAAGAAACTGATCAAAACAGGGTCCTTGGCTTAGGGTCCAGGACCCCCTTGCAATGATACACAAATATTAGTGTTGGAATACAGCATTTCTTAGTACCATCTCCGCAGGAAGCATAACTTCAGTTATTATTCAACATTCTCAATGGCCTCTGTGTACCTGAAAAACAAAGTTTGGCCAGGACAAAACTACATGCACCATATCTTGTACTAAGTTCTTCACTGTCCAGGTTGAATATTACAGGTTAAGACACAGACATTTCAGAGTAAAGCTGACCCACAGAAGTACAGTCCTGTGCTGCAGGATGACATTTTAGGCAACGAGAACCACATATACGGTGGCAGTTCCATATAAGATTGTCATATTACATTTTTACTACACCTTTTCTATGTTGAGATATGTTTAGATACACAAATACTTAGCATTGTGTCACAGTTGCCTGCAGTATTCAGCACAGTCACATGCTGTACAGGTCTGCAGCTTAGGAGCAATAGGCTCCATCCAGCATGCAGCCTTGGTGTGTAATAGGCTATACCACCTAGGGGAGCTGCAGGCACACTCTATGATGTTTGTATAATTATGAAATTGCCTAACAATGCATTTTGCAGAACATATTCTTGTCATTAAGTGATGCATGACTATAGTTTTCTCATTCACAGTCCTTCCTGTGTGCTCCAGCACTAAGCATCAATGCCTTCCGAACAAGGCTGGACCGGTTCAGACACCAGCAGGACCTAGTGGCCCAGGATGGATGTCAGATGGTCAGGTGAGTGAAAGGATAAGCAGGGAGAATTTCTAGATGGTCTCTAGAAATTCTGCTAAAATTGCTGTGGCTCAGATACGTGACAGCATGGCTGTAGTCCCGTCATCGATTTTTCTCTCTGTAAATTCTTCGAATGTCTGGATTCCTTCACAGGATGATGCTTCCCCAGTGCCCAGGGTGCATGGCCTGAGTCATCCCTGCTAAGTTCTGCTAACGACCACCTTTCTCTAACAGTACCTGAAATCAACATTTTATAGAGTGCTGGGTTTGTGAGTAAGTTGGTAGCTAGAAGGAAGAAAACAATTCTTATGTTTTTGTTTTTAAAACATACCCAAGTCGCCTGAAGCTTTAATGCTGTAAGATGACGTATGGGTGAGGACTTTTGGTTGCACATAACCGAATGATCTGGAATCATTTAACAGAAAAGTGAATTTACAGGGATTCTGGGACAGCCTTACGTACCAGGGCTGGGACGCAGACCAGGAACGGATGGAAGCAGGGAAGGGAGAATGCTGCTCTCGGTTTCAGGCCACGTCCTCGCTCTGTATCGCCTTCATCCGCTTCACCCACAGCCCACCTATGCCACACAGTGGACATGTCCTTAGTTCCACCACCCAAGCAAAACATGACTTCTCTTTCTCAGCTTTGTTTCCAATGCCATGGTGGAGACCATGGTTCTGGCAGAAACCAGCTGGCACAGTTGAGTCAGGTTTATCCCAGGAGGAATTGGTAAAGAGACTATCTACAAATGTGTAGGCAGGGGGGCAAGGAAACCACAGGGGACAGCATCATTTCTGGAGGCCAGCAACGGTGAGGCTGTTAGCCCCCCTCACCTAAAGGAACGAGGGCAGAGAGCCTGGCCCTGAACGCCTACGTGGAGAGGCTGCCTTGGGGAGCCGGGACCCTCACTGGGGGTTGTAGCCAGCAACAGGAAACTAGTTGGGATGAAGCCAGGAGTAAGTACCCTGCCCTGGCAGTACTCTCTGCCCCTCTGATCCCCTGCTGAGATTCCCCACCAGGCAAACCCAAAAGGAAGCCAGGGCAGGGGGTGGGCTGATGCGGCTCAATCAGGCCAGCTGCAGCACAGGGTACACGGCAGAGAACACAGTAGAGAACTGGATCATGATCGCACAGAGGACCGGAAGTATGTGCACAGAAGGGCTCTGATTGGCCCAGCGTGGACCATGTGCCCACCTCTGAGCCAATCAGAGAGCCTGGGGGAGGAGTCTGTGCCAATACGGCAGCCCTGCCATGAATGTGGCTGTTGGGATGTGTCTTAGTCCATCTGTGTTGCTGTAACAAAATACTACAGACTAGATAGATTATAGAAAAAGAATAGAACATTATTTTTCAAAGCTCTGGAGGTAGGAAGTCCAAGATCAGGGTAGGTCTGGTGTCTGGTGAGGGCTGATCTCCGCAGCCCTATGGCTGCATCCTCCAGAGCGGAGAACTGCTGTGTCTCCACGTGGCAGAAGAGATGGAAGGGGTGGAAGTGCCCTGCTCAAGCCCTTCCATAAGGCACTAATCCATTCATGAGGACCTGATCACCTCCTAAAGGCCCCACTTCTTAACACTGCTGCATTGGGGGTTAAGTTTCAACACGAATTTTGAGGGGACACACATCATTCAAACCACGCAGTGGGAGTGGGAAGCACGGCAGGGAAGGTGCCTAGATAAAGTCAGGTGGTCCTGAGCTCCACCATCCCAGCCTCACTCCTTCTCCCTGCCTCCCGTCCTCAGTTCTATCCTAGCCTCATTCCCTCTCCCTGCCTCCCATCCTCAACTCCATCATCCCAATCTCATTCCTCCCTGCCTCCCGTCCTCAGCTCCATCCCAGCCTCATTCCTTCTCCCTGCCTCCCGTCCTCAGTTCTATCCTAGCCTCATTCCCTCTCCCTGCCTCCCATCCTCAACTCCATCATCCCAATCTCATTCCTCCCTGCCTTCCGTCCTCAGCTCCATCCCAGCCTCATTCCTTCTCCCTGCTTCCCATCCTAAGCTCCATCATCCCAGCCTCACTCCTCCTGCCTCCTGTCCTCAGCTCCATCCCAGCCTCACTCCTTCTCCCTGCCTGTCCTCAGCTCCATCCCAGCCTCACTCCTTCTCCCTGCCTCCCATCCTCAGCTCCATCATCCCAATCTCATTCCTCCCTGCCTCCCGTCCTCAGCTCCATCCCAGCCTCATTCCTTCTCTCTGCCTCCTGTCCTCAGCTGCATCATTCCAGCCTCATTCCTTCTCCCTGCCTCCCGTCCTCAGCTCCATCATCCCAGCCTCATTCCTTCTCCCTGCCTCCCGTCCTCTGCTTCCACCTCCTCCCCAGGATGAGAGCCTTGCAAGTTTCCTGCCACCTCCTCTGGATCTCCCTCTCATCAGTCCCCAACACCGGATCTGTCAGTAAGATCTGTCTCTTCTGCCTCCTCCACAGCTCTCCAGCCTGGGTCCTCTTGTTGTCCCAGTGGGCCATTTCAGGACTTGGCTCCTCTTGTTCTCTGCCTTGTTGCTCTGTCAACAGTCCCCACGCCAGCTTCTACTGCCAATGCCCCCTCCTGCATTCCTCCGTCTCTGTGGCTGTCCCTTCTGACCTTCTCTATGGATCCCCTTTTCTCCCTCACCAACATTCTCTCCTTGACCCTCGCCTCTTCTCTCACCATGGCTGTCTTTTGATAATGTCATATCTTTTTATGGCTGAAATATATGAGCCACCAACTCCCAAATCAGGAGCCCTCTTCCATGATGAATATGGCTACAGGCACGATCCTGAGGTACCTCAAATTTAGCAGGTCCCAAGTGGAACACGAAGTCTCTTCCCACAACCCTGACCCCTTCTTCAGGAAGCAGCTCAGGTAAAGACACCCCATCCACCCAGTCGCCCAAACCAGAAACCCAGAACCCAGTTTCCCAGTCTCTCCTTCACCCCCACATCTATCTTAGCCGGGCACTGGCTTTCAGTGCCCTGTAGAGAAGAATCTTGCCTTCACCCTCTCTTCCTTATCCCCACCATCCATCACTGACCCAGTCCACGTCACATCCTCCCTCTCCAGGATGCCTGCCAGGCCTCTGCCCCAACTCACTTACCTATTCCCAGGCACTTAGGAGTCTTCTCCACACACAGACCATTCTGAGAACAGGGAGCCCAGTGGAGAACTGAGTAGGCTGACCCATCTGTGCTCCTGGTCTGCTGGGACCTAGAGACGAAGAGGACAGTGACCACAGAGCATATGAGTGAGGAGGGGAGCCCGAGCTCTGTGCAGGTGTAGGTGGGGCTTTACTCCACACTCATAGGTTCTGAAGCCAGGGCAGCAACTTCAAAAGTGATAGGTTAGGGGAGAAACTATAAAATGAAAACACACAGTCCCTTGTTCACAAAACAGGGAAAACTGCTCTTAACAGTGTTAAAAAACAAAACTTTTCCTTTTCCTCTGTTCTCTCTAATAATTTACCATTGTTATTTGCTACTTAAGGTCATCCTAAGTAAAGAAAATTTCAATTTTTATGTTTTAGCTGAATGTTACTGTTCATTTTATATTGTGCAATGTCAGTTTTAAATACAAATATAAAAGCATTAGATCCCCATGCAGAAACACAGAGATTACACGATTCCTATTTTGTAGCTCACATATGTATGTATATTTAATTTTTACCTTAACAGTGGAAGTGCTGTGCAAAACTAAACCAAGGGTTTTGATTTCACTTCTCGATACTGGCCGTGCTACTGCCTTCTTGACACTGCCTGCAGCTTACTGGTGAAAATGGAAGAACTGAAAGAAGGAACTGTGGCTTTTCCCGTCTTCTTTCCGTCCATGCATTGTTTTCAGTGTAAGTGCTTGGCTAATACACGAAAGTAGAATAAGTAAGAAAAAGTACAATAGGGTCTTTGGTTGTTGGTGTTATTCACAAGGCCACTGCCTTCTTTCTACATTTGAAGTGGACTCATGTGGAAGGTGTGGCTTTCCCACAGACTCAGTGGCAAACACACACAGTGACCTGTTCCTGGCCTCGAGTCCTGCTGGTCTCCCGTGCATCCTAGGGTCACTGGAATTCTGTGCTCACTGTGTCACCAATGCCGCGTGTGAATGGAGAGGCAAGGAATGGCAGACGTGCATATCATGCAAATCTCCTGTGCTCCTGCCCCTGCTGTGCAGTGCTTCCAAAACACAAGTTCAAAGGCAAAGGTATCAAGATTCAGGGCAGACCTGGCCGAGCATTAAGCCCAGCACAGAGCCCTTCTTAAGTGCAAGGCCCCATGAGATTGCACGCCTGTGAAGCTGGCAGTACCCTCGTCTTAACTGCAATTGACAGGAAATTCAAGGGTAGAGGAGCATGTTAAACACCACCACAAGGACACAGCAAATCCAGGGTTGGGGGCACTGCAGCCAATGACCCAGACACTGCAACCAGCCAGTGGGGCCACGGAAGGGAGGAAAGAGGCTGAAACAGGTTCCATCATCGGAAATGCCAACTTGTTTGGCTCCTAATTCAAACAAACCAACTGTAAAAACACATTTCTGGATAATTAGGGAAACTTGGATATGAACTTGTATTTGATGCTATAGAGGTAAAGGAAGTCTTCTTAGTTTAGAGTGAAGGATAGTCATATGTGTCGTGGTTACGTGGGGAAAATGCCCGATCCGTGAAAGATGCAGACCAAGTCATCTGCAAGTCAAACAACAAGATGTTTGGGATTTGATGTATTTTAGAAAAAAACAGCAGGGGAATAGTTGGCACAAGATTGGCAAAATATTGAAAATGTTTGAATCTCAGAGGTTCATCATTTTATTCTACTTTTTAAAAAGTTTTTTAAATGTTCTATAACAGAAAGAAGGAAAATAACATATGTATGTGTGTATGTGTGTGTACTTATTATGTATTCCTTAAACAAATCTTTTCTTTTAGTTTATAAGGAATTATATTTTCAACACTGAATTAATTACCTTATTTTGCAATAAATTAGTAAGGAGTTAATGAAGACTGAACTATGATCCACACATGAGAGCTTTGGCATGGAAATCACTTTTTATCTCAACTTCGTATCCCTTCTTTTCATTTCTTCGAGCAATATGGAAAATTTCCCAGCATGTAGGACACACTATAATGTTCTTTCTTGAAGATGTAACTCTATACATTGCAGTAGCTAATTATTCAAGTTTTTATTTAGTAAAAATTCAAGAAAAATCCTATTTTTATTAGAAATTCTATCACTAAAATTATTTGTGATAAATTGATTCTTCCCATGACTCTTTAGGGAAAAAATACATTTTTAGATCATACTTTTTCTTGAAGTGAAAAAAAAAATTAACATGCACGTACCACACACATGTAAATTAGAGACAAGTTTAGACACAGGAGTAGATTGGATTTGCCTAAATATGGCCTCAGATTAATAAAACCAAATGGGGAAAAGCTGACTATTTTTGTTGTTGTTATTGACAAGTGTCTGTTATATTTTGAAAAGCATCCATACTTGATGAAGTGCTGGAGGGCCGAAGAGAGTCCCAGGCTTCCGGATTCCAGGCCGGCAGCTTCCCTCTGAATTCAGTTCCTCTCCTGGGCCCTCCTCCTCCTCCTCTTCTTCTTACCTAACTGCCTGTCCCCAGGCCTAAAGCCACCAAACCCTGCTGTTGGGAGGCCCTGAAGACTGATGGCCGCCCTGGAGGTCACTCAGCCCCCAGAGACTGCAGCACCCAGGCCAGTAGTGGGAGTGAGCCAGGTTCACCCCTCCCTCTGCCATCCCAGCCTCAGCTCCAGAAGCACGCGCATCCCCTGGGGCACACAGCCCCTTCCTGCATCCCTTCAGTTCCTTCCCTTCTGGGATCCCTCTTCCTTTCATCAGCAGGACACTGGGAGAAGGAACCATCCCTACCAAGAAAACTGGAATGGCTTTGGTGTCTGGCTAAGCTGGAATATAGAGCCAGGCTGCCTGCTCTGTGAGAAAACGGAACTGCAGGAACCAACCGGGGCCCAGCTCACAGATGGAGCAAGGACTGTTCAGAACCACCCAGGGCCCAGCTCACAAATGGAGTCAGGACTGTTCAGGGTTACGCAGTCATGGGCATTTCTCCTCCACTTCCCAATACTCTGCAATAAAATAATGATGTTTATACCAAGGAGGTTATAAAATGAGAGAACGTGTTCCTCTGAAGTCTACAGTGGCATTTCCTACAGTACCTAGAAAGCCAAGTCCCTTACAGCACTCAGGAGGTGCTCAGCCTGCGCCCGGGGCTGTTTGGAGGAGGCGCTGCCCCTGCCTGCCAGCCTCCAGAGTCAGGAAGGTGGCCCCGAGGGAGCTGCCTACACACACTCTGCTCTTTTTGTCAGCCCCCGGCCCACAAGTGAATTCCCAGGACTGGGAGCTGATGCCGTATTTACGAGCTTTGCTCCTGGTGAGGTTGAACCCTGGGGCTTCCAACCCCAAAAGAGATCAGACCCGAAGAGGGCACCAGCAGGGGCAGGCAAGGAACGCCTCTCCAGGAACGCCTCTCCTTCCTCTCCTTCCCTCTCTTGCACTGGTGAGCATGTGGACATGTCCTGTGATTGCAGGTTCCTGCTACTTAGTGCCACTGCATCACAGGCAAGATGAGAAGAGCAAGATGCAGGTGTCAACTCTGCATCATCTTGGAAACCACATTCACGAGTGCACAACGAAGTCCTACACAGATGGGGCAAGGACCACAGAAGAATAACTGTCATCATACGAAAGCACAGCAAGCATTTTTCTGAGCTTACAGCATGCCAGGCCTGTCTCCTTCTCTCCACATGTAAAGGGGTGTGAAGGAGGGGAGTGATGGAAGGTTGTGATGGAGGGGTGTGACGGAGGGGTGTGGAGGGGTGTGGCAGGGTGTGATGAAGAGGTATGATGGAGAGGTGTGATGGAGAGGTGTGATGGAGGGGAGTCATGGAGGGGTGTAAAGGAGGGGTGTGATGGAGGAGTGTGATGGAGGGGTGTGATGGAGGAGTGTGGAGGGGTGTGGTGGAGGGGTGTGACGGAGGGGTGTGATGGAGAGGTGTGATGGAGGGGTGTGATGGAGGGGAGTCATGGAGGGGTGTAAAGGAGGGGTGTGATGGAGGAGTGTGATGGAGGGGTGTGGAGGGGTGTGGTGGAGGGGTGTGACGGAGGGGTGTGATGGAGAGGTGTGGTGGAGGGGTGTGACGGAGGGGTGTGATGGAGAGGTGTGATGGAGGGGTGTGATGGAGGGGAGTCATGGAGGGGTGTAAAGGAGGGGTGTGATGGAGGAGTGTGATGGAGGGGTGTGGAGGGGTGTGGTGGAGAGGTATGATGCAGAGGTGTGATGGAGGGGTGTGATGGAGGAATGTGGAGGGTTGTGATGGAGGGGTGTGACGGAGGGGTGTGATGGAGAGGTGTGATGGAGGGGTGTGATGGTCCCTTCCACAATTGCCAGGATGAAACAGAAAACTGCGCCACTAGAGCTTCCAGGCCAGGTACCTGGAAAATGGTTGATAGTTATTTTTATTCTAGGCAAAACAAGTCTCCAACTCAACAAAGTCAGTTAGTAAGGCAGGTGGACATCAGAGCCAAAGCAATGAGCCACTGGGCCACCCTGCACATCCCTGAGGGTAGAGAAGCTCCTGGGCCTCAATGCAACACTTAAGGGAGTGAGAGGCTGAATGGACAATGTCCAGCCCAGATGTAAAAACAGAATTCCACGACCTGCAGCATCCAGCACACAAAACCCATCATCATCCACAGTCACCAGCCCAGAAAGCCCACCCATCATCCACAGTCACCAGCCGGGAAGCCCACCAATCATCCACAGTCAGTAGGCCAGGAAGCCCACCCATCTTAAAAAGTCACTAGCCTGGGAAGTTATCTTCCCATTATCTGGGTGGGCACCATCTAATCAGCTCCCAGAGAGGCTAGAATAAAGCAAGCAGAAGAAAGTGGAATGAGCAGACTTGCTGAGTCTTCCAGCCTTCATCTTTCTCCCGTGGTGGATGCTTCCTGCCCCTGAACATCAGACTCCAAGTTCTTCAGCTTTTGGACTCTTGGACTTACATCAGTGGTTTGCCAGGGGGTCTCGGGCCTTCAGCCACAGACTGAAGGCTGTACTGTTGGCTTCCCTACTTTTGAGGTTTTGGGACTTGGACTTGCTTCTCAGCTTGCAGACAGACTATTGTGGGACTTCACCTTGTGATCGTGTGAGTCAATACTCCTTAATGAACTCCCCTTCATATATATATATATATATATATATATATATATATATATATATATTTATCCTATTAGTTCTGTCCCTCTGGAGAACCTTGACTAATACAGGCCTCTAGCCAGGGCACACCTGAGCCTCCCCGTTTTCCTACCATGAAGCTTCCCCACTCCTCTGCTTATCTTTGTCTCTGCCAAATGCAGGTGATAATGGCTGCCTCCCCTGCTATAGCAAGCTCTGAGTAGGTAACCTGTGCTTTTTTCATTGGGTGGTCTTTTCTTCCATAGGAAAAAAAAAACCCATGTGTGTGGGCTAGGGGTGGGGAAGTCACCCACATAGCCCAGCAAAGCTGAGTGACACTGATGGGTGGGTGTAGAACCTTGTCAGATCCCCTGGCATTGCCGATATGGAGAAGTGGTCTGGCTAGAAGATCAAACCAGCCACCACATTCCCTGAAGCCAAAGCCTAATCCAGAGCAAGGCCCTCACTCTCTTCAATTCTGTGACGGTAAAGCTAGAGAAGGAAATTGCAGAAGCAAAGCCTGGAGCCAGCAGAGGTTGACTCAGGAGGCTGAAGGAAAGAAGCCATCTTCATCACATAAAGGTGCAAGGTGAAGTAGCAAGTGCTGATGGAGACGCTGCAGCAAGTTATACAGAAGATCTAGCTGAGATCATGGATGTAGGTGGTTACACTAAACAACAGACTTTCAATGTAGAAGAAACAGCTTTCTGTTGGAAAAAGATGCCATCTAGGACTTTCATAGCTAGAGAGAAGTCAATGCAGGGCTTCAAAGGACAAGCTGACTCTCTGGTTAGGGGCATTACGCTGTGCCTTCAAACTGAAGCCAACACTCTTTTCCATTCTGAAAAATCCTAGGACCCTTAAAAATTATGCTACATTGACTCCGCCATGCTCTACAAATGAAACAACAATGGCTGGGTGGCAGTGGCTCGCATCTGTAATCCCAGCACTTTGGGAGGCAGAAGGATCGCTTAAGCCCAGGAGTTTGAGGCTGCAGTGAGCTATGATCACGCCACTGCCTGGGTGACAGAGTGAGACCTTGTCCCCAAAATAATACTAGTAATAAATGGAATAAGAAAGCCTGGATGACAGCACATCTCTTTATAGCATGATTCACGAAGTATTTTAAGCCCACTGTTGTGACCTACTGCTCAGAAAAAAAAGATTCCCCTGAAAATGCTACCGCTCACCGACAATGCACCTGCCCCCCAAGAGCTCTGATGGAGAGGCATAAGGAGGTTCATGTTGTTTTCACAGCTGCTAATACAACATCCATTCTTCAGCCCATGAACCGAGGGGTGATCTGACTTTCAAGTTTCATTATTGAAGAAACACATTTTGTAAGGCTATAGCTGACATAGATAGTGGTTCCTCTGATGGATCTGGGCAAAGTCAATTGAAAACCTTCTGGAAAGGCTTCGTCATTCTAGATGCCAGTAAGAACATTTTTGATTCATGGGAGGAAGTCAAAATGTCAACATTAACAAGAGTTTAAAAGAAGTTGATTCCAACCCTCATAGGTGACTTAAGGGGTTCAAGACTTCAGTGGAGGAAGCAACTGCAGATGTAGTGGAAATGACAAGGGAGCTAGAATCAGAAGTGGAGCCTGAAGATGGGATGGAACTGCTGCAATCTCAGGAGAAAATTTGAGTGAATGAGGAATTGCTTCTTGTGGATGAGCGGAGAAAGTGGTTTCATGAAATGGAATCTACTCCTGGTGAAGATGTCGTGACCGTTGTTGAAATGACAACAAAGGATTCTGAATATTACATAAACTTCGTTAATAAAGCAGTGGCAGGGAGATTTACTCTCAATTTTAAAATTTAAAATTTTAATTTTAAAAGAAGTTCTACTATGGATAAAATGCTATCAAATAGAATCTCAAGCAACAGAAATCTTTCATGAAAGAAAGTGTCAACAGATGCAGCAAACTTCATTGTTGTCTTATTTTAAGAAGTTGCCACGGCCACCCCAATCTTCAGCAGCCACTACCCTATGCAGTCAGCAGCCACCAACTCCAGACAAAACCCTCCAGCAGTCCAGCAGTGAAATGATTACAACTTGCGGAAGGCTCTGATGATTGTTGGCATTTTTTAGCAATGAAGTATTTTTAAGGTGAGGTATGCACATTGTTTTTGTGAGACATAATACTATTTGCACACTGAATAGACTATAGTACAGTATAAATATAGCTTTTATATGCCCTGGAAAACCAAAACATCTGTGCAACTTACTTTTTTGCAATATTCACTTTGTTGCAGTGGTCTGGAACTGAACCCGCAATACCCCAAAGGTATGTCTGTACACACTTGTACACTCTGTGTCCACAGGACTGGGCTTGTGCTCTAAAATACATTTCTCATCCTGAGTGGGAACGGCCTCGTTCTGTGCATGCCTGGTGTGCGCTGTTTGTGGGACCTTAGGCAAAGGTAATTTGGTGACACCGTTTAGTGGCAGGGTGGTTCCTGAGGCAAACAAAGCACCCAGACCTGCAGTCCAGACCCAAAGCGGCCCTGAGAGCCACTCTTTGGAAACAGCCAGGATTCCTGCGGAAGGGGGCTGGGCTCCTGCTCCCCCGAATGCAGATTTGACTTGATTTTAATTAAAACGAAGAGACAGCAGGAGCCCAGCCAATATTTGGGCTGCAGTTGGCCATTGCACTCAATCTATACAACACCCTTTCAGGTCAGACACGTGCCTGTTTCACAGACGTGGAAAGGCAGGCCCGGAACTCACATGGGCAATGAGTGGCTGTGGTGGAAATCCAGAGCACGTTCTTGTCTGACCCAGCTCACCTCACCTCTGCTTGGTGAGGTCACCCTGAGGCTCTGAGGCTTCCCAGGGTCACAGCTGGACATGACACAGGGCAGCTGGTGAGACGTGCGCTCCTTCCCCACTGAGGAACATTTCTCTAGAAAACCAGACTTCTCATGAGTGCTTTGGACCCTAAAACACCTTTCAGGAATGTGGCCACAGAACGTCAGCACGGGGGGCTTGTATATTACGTTGAGCTCAGGGCGAGGAGGCTCCTTCTGCATTTTACCTGGAGGTGACCAGGAAGGGCCTTGGCCACCTCAGCCCAGCCAACCTGCAGTCGCGTTGGACAGAATGATCCCACAGTCCCTGCCCTCCCTGGGCTGCTCTGCATGTCCCAGGACAGGGCAGCTCCTGATGCTTCTGGAGTGAGGCTCTGGGTGAAAGTCTGTTTTTCTATAAGGCCAGACATAAGGCGTGAGCATGCCTGACAAATAAGGCTGGACGCTGCCCTGTTGAAAAGGGGAAAGGAGATCATCTGGAAGCATTTTATAAGGAAAAGAATGTCAATTATACCTATTATATGTATATTCAGAAAATCTTTGCAGTTTGGAAAATGTGTCCCGGCTCTGCCATTTCTTCCCATTTCCTGCAATTTCCTTCCCCATTGTCAAGATATTCTAAAAGCCAGTTTCTTCCCTTCTCACAGATGGGTCCTTTTTGTTGGCAGCTGCCGGTTTCTAACCGGGCCCTGCTGGAACAGAATCACTTTGGGCTGAGAGTGGGGTAGAGAAGGTCCCACAGCTCTTCCATGCAGGGGAGAACTTTGTGTCATTGAGATCAGGTGGGGCAGGGGCCGCCTGGCCTCAGGGCTGCAGAGAACCAGGGGCAGGCAATGGTAACAGTGGGGCAGCACAGAGTCCAGACGCCCTGGATGATGCAGGCGTCTGCCCATCCCAGGGAGCCCAGGCTGTCCTGAGCGCATGGGGTCACTCCAGGAACACAGAACTACAGGAGGCCAGGCAAAGGGGGCAAAAGGAGGAGGGGTGGGGGCCTATCTCAGAGAAATTCAGGCTTTAGAGAAAGTGGTGGTACACCCCAGAGATGGCCAGAACCTTCCAGTGTGCCCCGGGGGACACTGGCCCTGAAACTTCGCCCCGTACCCAACCCTAAAGGTGCCTCTTCCTTTCTTCTTCTTCTTTTTTCTTTTTAGTTATTTATTATTTATTTATTCGTTATACATATTTTTTAGACGTAGTCTCTCTCTGTCACCCAGGTTGGAGTATAGTGGTGTGATTCTGGCTCACTGCAACCTCTGCCTCCTGGGTTCAAGCGATTATCCTGCCTCAGCCTCCTGAGTAGCTGGGATTACAGGCACACGCCATGTCCAGCTAATATTTGTATTTTTAGTAGAGTTGGGGTTTCGCCATGTTGGCCAGGCTGGTCTCGAACTCCTGACCTCAAGCGATCTGCCTGTGTCAGCCTCCCAAAGTGCTGGGATTACAGCTGTCAGCCACCATGCCCAGCCCCTGCTTTCTTCTTGTTGAGAAGGCGCCCTAGAGACTGCAGGCCCTGCCCTAGGCACGGTGCCCTCAGACCTGAGAGCCAGGGCCCCACCCCAGCCTGGTGCATCAGTGTCCTGGGGCCACCATAACACCTGGCCACACATCAGGCGGGGTGCTTACAACAGCAGACACACTATCTTAGCTCTGAGGCTGAAGTCTGAAGTCAGGGTGTCCACACAGCTGTCTTCTCCTGGAGACTTCTAGGGGAGGGTCCCTCCTGCCTCGTCCAGTGTCTGGTGACTCCAGGCTTCCTTGGCTTGTGGTGGAATGGCTCCGATCCCGCCTCTGCATTCACACCGGCGTCTCACTGTGTCTGTGCCTTCTGCTCTTCCGCCTCTTATATAGACACCTGTCATTGGGAAGCCCTAATCCAGGAGGGTCTCATCTCAAAACCTTTAACTGAGCTACAAAGACCCTTTTTCCAAATAAGTTCCCATTCACAAGCTCCAGAGGTTAGGGTATCTTTGGAAACTGCTGTTCTACCCTCTCTGCTGGGTATAAACTCACTGGATCCTTCCCAGCCCAGGGGGTTGAACGCAATGTGTGCCCGGGCCTGTTGGGGTCCTGTGTACCCCATGCAGTGTGAAGACCCCCTCTAACTGCACAGTATGGGAAGGGGGCTTCCTTGGCCACCACATGGAAGGACAACCCTTTGAGTCTCACAGAGGACAGAGGAGGGGCAGTGCTTCCAGTGGGTGTTCTTGGTCCTCCCGGCTCAAAGGGCGTCTAGGTTCCAGGGATTTCCAGGCACCACATGTGCTCCTGGGCTCCTCAGCAGCCTCGAAGATTTGCACCGGGACTCTCGGCTACCGAGGTGGAGCAGGGCATGCGTATGTGTGTGTGGTGGCGGGGTATGTGCGTCTACACGCGTGTGAGGCCAACAGCACCTGCTGTCGGTTCTGCACTGAGCAATGCTGATTGACATGTTCTTCACGGGATGCTGCCGCGTCGGGGGGTTTACGCAGCAAAGCCTGAGGTCAGTCGGATTTCCTTGCTCTTCCCCTTGGTTCGCGTGGTCCCATCTGTTAACAGACCTGGATCCTGGACACAAGCCCCATCAGAGGGAGAGCTTCCGAGGAAAGGTAGGCCCAGGACAGAGGACAGAAGGCATTTGCAGATCTGCCAAGGGATGAGGCTAATTATCTCTGAAGAAGAAGAAGCGGGGAGAGGAGGGGAGGGGAAGGGAGGGGAGCAGACTGGGAGGGGAGGGGAGGGGAGGGGAGGGGAGGGGAGCAGCCTGGGAGGGGACAGGAGGGGAGGAAGCAGTCCAAGTGGGAGAGGAGGTCTCCTGCCAAGTGGAGGCCGGCCTCCCCTATGCTGCAAAAAGAGATCGCAGCCCCCATCCTGTCCCATGCGCGGGAGGCCTGGCCTCCTGTGGTGGGATCAGAATTCCCCTAAGGAATTCCTGGAGCCCTGAGGGGTGATACCTCCAAGGTGCTCAGGGGACCTTGAAGCAGCCCTGGCCACAGATGTGTGCTGAGCTCATGACCTTCGGGGGCTCTGGGCGGGCCCTGCTCTGTGCCTAGATATTTCACACTCCAGCACACCTTTTAACAAGAACCCCCGGCCCTCCAGGTGGTTGGAAATATTACCCGGAAGGAAGTCAGTATATAATTAAAAGTCATTTAATCATCTACTGTTCAAGCTCTTAGCAAAACTGCGGCTTCAGTTGTGCCTTGCTGACTGTCTAGGCACTGACCACGCCCTGTTGATAGACGCCGAGGCCATTTTCTGGGATACTCAGGGCACCTTCACCTCAGCACCCCAGCTGACCCTTGAAATCAGAGCAACAAGGGCTCCTGAAGCACCCCAGGCCTTGAGAACACCAGACGGGGGCCCCCACGCCAATTCATGGAGTCCCCGCACTTATAGTGCCTCCCATTGCTAAGGCAGGCAGGACAACATGAAGAGGACCTGTTGCTAAAACACAGAGGACAGCCCAAGATTTAAAGAAAATGGCAGTGCACCCCATGGATGGCAAGAGCCAACCAGCGTGCCCCCGGGAATGCTGGTCCAGACGCTTTGCCCTGCACCCAACCCTAAAGGTGCCTCCTCCTTTCTTCTTGATGAAAAGGTGTGCTGCCTCTTCAAGGAGTACTACAAACCACCGCTCAATGAAATAAAAGAGGACACAAACAAATGGAAGAATATTCCATGCTCATGGACAGGAAGAATCAATATTGTGAAAATGGCCATACTGCACAAGGTAATTTATAGATTCAATGCCATCCCCACCAAGCTACCAATGACTTTCTTCACAAAATTGGAAAAAACTACTTTAAAGTTCTTATGGAACCAAAAAAGAGCCCACATTGCCAAGTCAATCCTAAGCCAAAAGAACAAAGCTGGAGGCATCACACTACCTGACTTCAAACTATACTACAAGGCTACAGTAATCAAAACAGCATGGTGCTGGTGCCAAAACAGAGATATAGACCAATGGAACAGATTAGAGCCCTCAGAAACAATACCACACATCTACAACCATCCGATCTGTGACAAACCTGACAAAAACAAGAAATGGGGAAAGGATTCCCTATTTAATAAATGGTGCTGGGAAAACTGGCTAGCCATATGTAGAAAGCTGAAACTGGATCTCTTCCTTACACCTTATACAAAAATTAATTCAAGATGGATTAAAGACTTAAATGTTAGACCTAAAACCGAAGAAAACCTAGACAATATCATTCAGGCCATAGGCATGGGCAAGGACTTCATGACTAAAACACCAAAAGCAATGGCAACAAAAGCCAAAATTGACAAATGGGATCTAATTAAACTAAAGAGCTTCTGTACAGCAAAAGAAACTACCATCAGAGTGAACAGGCAACCTACAAAATGGGAGAAAGTTTTTATGATCTACCCATCTAACAAAGGGCTAATATCCAGAATCTACAAAGAACTTAAACAAATTTACAAGAAAAAATCAAACAACCCCATCAAAAAGTGGGCGAAGGATATAAACAGACACTTCTCAAAAGAAGACATTTATGCAGCCAACAGACACGTGAAAAATGCTCATCATCACTGGCCATCAGAGAAATGCAAATCAAAACCACAATGAGATACCATCTCACACCAGTTAGAATGGTGATCATTAAAAAGTCAGGAAACAACAGGTGCTGGAGAGGATGTGGAGAAATAGGAACACTTTTACACTGTTGGTGGGAGTGTAAACTAGTTCAACCATTGTGGAAGACAGTGTGGCAATTCCTCAAGGATCTAGAACTAGAAATACCATTTGACCCAGCCATCCCATTACTGGGCATATACCCAAAGGAATATAAATCGTGCTGCTATAAAGACACATGCACATGTATGTTTATTGCGGCACTATTCACAATAGCAAAGACTTGGAACCAACCCAGATGTCCATCAATGATAGACTGGATTAAGAAAATGTGGTACATATACACCATGGAATACTATGCAGCCACAAAAAAGGATGAGTTCATGTCCTTTGTAGGGACATGGATGAAGCTAGAAACCATCATTCTGAGCAAACTATCGCAAGGACAGAAAACCAAACACTGCATGTTCTCACTCATAGGTGGGAATTGAACAATGAGAACACTTGGACACAGGGTGGGGAACATCACACACCGGGGCCTGTTGTGGGGTGGGGGGAGAGGGGAGGGATAGCATTAGGAGATAGACCTAATGTAAATGACAAATTAACAGGTGCAGCACACCAGCATGGCACATGTATACATACGTAACAAACCTGCACATTGTGCACATGTACCCTAGAACGTAAAGCATAATTAAAAAAACAAAAGAAAAAGAAAAGATGTCCTGGAGACTGCAGGCCCTGCCCCTGGGCACGGTGCTCCCAGACTTGAGAGTCAGGGCCCCACCACAGCCTGACAGTGCCGCCCACTGCTAAGGCAGCTCCCTTCCTGTCCCATGGGGATTGAGGGCTCCCTGACTTGCTTTGTGACTTTCACAAAGAAATAGCAGGCAGGCCTTTAATTCAGCAAACCTTAAGTAAGATGGCAGAATGTCCACCAATGCGCTGTTAGGAAAGGACAAGAAAATGGGATAAACTTACTGTTAACAGAGATCACTCCCTTATTCGCAATACATGAGGTACACTGAAAAGAAAGTGAGCGTGAGAGGTCTCAGTTAGAGAAGGGGCCAGGCCCTCAGTGCCCTCCACAGCCCACCTTCCCATGGGGTTGCACACCACGACAGCCATCGTGGCACCTGCACCTACCTCCCTGTTGGAAACCTGGAGTGACAAGGGTCAGTCCCTGCCCCAGGAGGAGCCCCCAAGCACCAAGTGCCCAGAGTCAGTGGATTGGTGCCCCAGCTCCCGCATCCCCTCTGGGCAGCTAACTCGAAGGTGTGGTCTGAGCCGGCTCCCAAGCTCTCCACTGGCTGACTCTGACTTAATGACATGCCCTCTGTTGGCTGGTCTCTTCCTCGTGTCACCCCACTGCCTCCTCCAGCGCCTCCCAAAGAAATAACAGTTCTTGCATTAGAATCCTTGGCTTACAGGCTGCTTCTGAGAAAGTCCAAAGCAAAACAGATGGACCCTAGAGGAATCAGACAAAACCAAAGTGGGGTCTTAATATTCACGTGACAGAGATGCAGAAAACTGAAACTGGACCCCTTCCTTACACCCTATACAAAAATGAACTCCAGAAGGATTAAAGACTTAAATGTAAAACCAAAAACTATTTTTAAAAAATCCCTAGGCCAGGGACGGCAGCTCACGCCTGTAATCTCAGCACTTTGGGAGGCCGAGGCAGGCAGATCACGAGGTCAGGAGTTCGAGACCAGTCTGGCCAACATAGTGAAACCCCGTCTCTACTAAACATACAAAAAAGTTAGCCAGGCGTGGTGGCATGTGCCTGTAATCCCAGCTACGCAGGAGGCTGAGGCAGGGGAATTGCTTGAACCCAGGAGGCAGAGGTTGGAGTGAGCCGAGATCGCACCACTGCACTCCAGCCTGGGCGAAAGAGCAAGACTCCATCTCAAAAACAAAAGCAAAACAAAACAAAAAAACCCTAGAAGAAAATCTAGGCAATATTATTCAGGACATAGGCATGGGCAAAGATTTCATGATAAAAAAATGCCAAAAGCAATTGCAACAAAAGCAAAAATTGACAAATGGAATCTAAGTAAACTAAAGAGCTTCTGCACAGCAAAAGAAACTATCTATCATCAGAGTGAACAGGCAACCTACAGAGTGGGAGAAAAATTCTGCAATCTACCCATCCGACAAAGATCTAATATCGAGTCTACAAGCAACTTAAACAAATATGCAAGAAGAAAGGCAGACAAAAGAAGACAAACATGCAGCCAGCAAACATATGAAAAAAAAAAAAAAGCTCAACATCACTGGTCATTAGAGAAATGCAAATCAAAACCACAATGAGATATCATCTCATGCCAGTCAGAATGACTATTAGTAAAAAGTCAAAAGACACAGAGGCTGGCAAGGTTGCAGAGTAAAAGGAATGCTTTGACACTGTTGGTGGGAATGTAAATTAGTTCAACCATTGTGGAAGACAGTGTGGCGATTCCTCAAAGATCCAGAAGCAGAAATACCATTTGACCCAGCAATCCTGTTACTGCATATATACTCAAAGGATTATAAATCATTCTATTATAAAGACACATGCACGTGTATGTTCACTGCAGCACTATTCACAATAGCAAAAACATGGAATCAACCTAAATGCCCATCAATGATAGACTGGGTAAAGAAAATGTGGCACATATACACCATGGAATACTATGCAGCCATAAAAAGAAATGAGCTCATGTCCTTTGCAGGGACATGGGTGGAGCTGGAAGCCATCATCCTCAGTCAAACTAATGCAGGAACAGAAAACCAAACACCACAGGTTCTGACTTGTAAGTGGGAGCTGAATGATGAGAACACGGACACATCGGGGGAACAACACACACTGGGGCCTGCTGGGGGGTGTTGAGGAAGGGAGAGGATCAGGAAGAGTAGCTATGGATGCTGGGCTTAGTACCTGGGTGATGGGATGATGTGTGCAGCAAACCACCATGACACACGTTTACCTGTGCAACAAACCCACACGCCCCGCACCTGTACCCCCGAACTCAAAATGAAAGTGGAAGAAAAAAATAATAATCATGTGACCGAGATGACCATTGTCACTAGCTTGAGAGACAAATGTTGATATCAGCCTTTTCCAAAAGCAATCACTTAAGCCACCTTGCCCACCATGGCAGGAAGTCCAGTATTTCCTTCTGGAGGCCCCGGCTCCTCCTCGTGAGCTGTCCAACAGCTCCGTTGGAGGCAGAGGCCGCTCCGTCCTGAGCAGAGAGTCCTATTTCCAAGTGCCCGGCAGAGAGGAGGCTGCAGCCCAGCCACCCCACCACAGTCACACTGCGTGTTTCCCCAGAGCACCTCCAGTGGTCTAGACCCACCACACACACCCTAGTGGGTCTGCTGGGCAGAGGGCACTCAGCCGTAGTCACACCACGCTGGGGCCTCGTTCCTGCCAGAAACTCAAGTCCCCTTGGAATGGGTTCTATGTGTCCTCCAGTTCTCCAAGCAACACCACTTACTACTGTCCCCGCCTCCCTGGAGGGAGTTGTGTGTGTAATCCTGGCTCACACCCTGACCTGGGAGAAGGGGCTCAGGACTATCCCAGCCCCTAGGCTGCTGCAGGAAATTTGCGTCCCCCAGGGCGGCAGGCGACTCTTTCTTGCTCTTTTCCAGCAGGCTCCCCTTCCTCTGTGTAGAATGAGGAGCCCTCTCTCCCTGCCACCAGCTCTGCAAACCCTGGGGGACTGGGGCATGCACATTCATCTAACAAGAGAGGTTTTGCTTAAACCAAGAAAGGAGAAGTTGCCTGAGAGGTACATCCTCCAGCCTTGCTCAACATACCCGGAAAAGGGCCACACCCTGAGCCTTCCACTGGTTACTTCCTTCACAGTTTCAGTACGGCAGAGCTGCTGGCATGATTCAAACCTTTCCAAGGTTAGACAAAGCATAAAAGCACCCAAAAACACTTACAAAGCCAGCCCAGCCCAGACACCAAAACATGAGAGAGTGTGTGTGCGTGTGTGTGTGTGTGTGTCCTACTCCCTGTTGCTCCTTCTCTCCCCTTCCCTCTCTTCCTTCCCCCAGCCCATCCCCCAGTCTCTCTCTTGTGCACACACACACCACACACCACCCAGAAATCCCAGTCCACGCCCTCGGTGACCAGCAGTTTCAGGCCAGATTCCCCAGAAACAGACTGAGACAAGAATCACAGCTTCAAGGAAGTGGGGGAGGCACCGACTCCAGTGGGACCCCACTGGCAGCTCTGAATCTGGAACAGCCCTGGGGGGTTTCCTGGGATTGTGTACAAGGGCAGCTGCTGGGACCATGCGTCTAGCAGGCACCAGCTGCATGTTGCCCCAGAGAGGAGGCGCAGCTTTGCTCACTCGCTGGAGGTACACCCCTCGTGCCCACAGAACTTTCTAAAGGACTCAGGCATGAACCATCCAAAGCCAATACTCCTGTAGCTGGAACATTCAGGCCTCAGTCCTGAAGGAGGGTCTGGGCGGCACACAGAGCACCCAGCACTTTGCACCCCCCTCTGGTCCTGCTGGGCTCCCCTGGCTCCATAGAATAAGGCTGCCTACCTGGGAACATCTCCTCCAGGATTCTGGCTAGGCTCCCATCCTGGGCAGAACGCTTGGGAGAGGAAGGGTGGGAAGCGGATTCGTGGGGCCGAGCTGCAGCTGGCCTCCAGGCTGTAGCTGATAGTCATCCTCCTGCCGCCCCTGCCAACGCTGGGTCAGCTCCTACTTGGTGGTGCTGGCCAGACCCTGAGGGCAGAAAAGACACACTTGTACCCAGAACACATGCTGGAGCCAGGCGAGAGTAGCTGCTCACCCTTCTGGGGTCTTTCCTGGGCAGAATGCCCTTGATGCAATTAACTTGCCACTGAGTGGCTGGCTAGCCTTTCCCAGGGATGGTGCCACGTGGGGCTCAGCATTGGTGTCTGTTGCTCGTAGGCTGGACATCTGGCAGTAGGTGGATCAGCCTCCATGAGTTGGGGCCCACAATGCTGGGGCCACACATACCCCTATCCCTGCCACCACCACCTCTCCGCCCAGGAGCCCATTGTGTCACACTGAGGACACAGGTGACAGAGGCTGGTGGTGGTCAACTGGCCAGGTCATCCTGTCTACCTGGGTGTCAATGTCCATCCATAGATCTTCACATTCAGGTCACTCCATCGGGTCCACGTGCTGCCTCAACTCCAGACCTCCTTGTCCCTGATCTTCCGATTCCCGAGTCTTTCCAAGCCTTGGTCCAGCCAGCCAAGCTGTTCCCAGCTGCCCGAGTCAACATGCGTATTCTCCTCCAGCTCCTTTCCTTCTGTGGAAAGCAAGTGGCAGGTGACCTGCCCAAAGCTCTGGCAAGGGGAGGATTTCCCCCACCTCTGCCACTCGGGGCCACTGCTGAGTGGGGCTGTAGGATAACCACCAGCCCACGTTTGGCTTGCATCCAATCATTAAGCTGACCAATCCCTGAACCATGCCCAGCCTTCTTCCTCCTCTGCCAGCTGGTTGAAAGAGACTGCCCTCTGTGGGGCTGTACCTTGAGCCAAGACTGCCCTCCGTGGGGAGTGACCCAGGTGGGAGTCGTAGCTGACTGGGGGTGAGGCCACTCATGCTTAGCTTGCTCCCTTCCTCCGAGGACGCTGGCCTAGGCGCACCACTTCCATCTTGTGCGGGCTCGTTGCTCGGCCCACGCAACCTGAGGACATGACGGGTCCTACAGGACTCTGCCACGATGGGCGGGCTGGCCTTGTGGTCACGTGGTGAACCTTGGCCAAGAGCTTCATCTCTAAGGGGCTCAGCACACATGCTGGGTGGGTGGCGTGGCCTTGCTCTGCACCTCAGACGCCTCCACGTGATTCTCCCCCTGGGGCTGTCTGCTACCACTGCAGACATCTCAATACTGCGGGGAGCTCTGGGCCACACGGCCCAAGGGGCAGGGTCCTTTCCTGCATGTATGCGTCAGGCTCACGTCTGTGCAGGCCTTCTGCCTCCTGTTGCTGTAACACTACAGGCTGAACCGGAAAATTGTAGTATTCAACCATGTTTGATCTGTCAACACTGCAGAGTCCCTGAGCTCAACCGGATGCAGTTTAGGATCCCACCCCATCTGGCAGGCTGCATGTTCCAGCACCTGAAGCAAAGGCCAGTGTCTGTGCACATGTGTGCAGATGCCAGAAAGGGGCATCACCTCGGCGTGCAGGAGGACGTGGCCAAGAGCGTCCTGTTGTCATCCACATGTGTGGCCTCTTCAGTTTCTCCCACTCTCTGGTCAGTCTGTTCAGCAGCTCCCCTTTCCAGCAGGTGGAACAAGGGTGGGCAGGAACTGAGGCGGACGTGGACTTAGCACAGGACAGCACAAAACTCTGGGCTTGGCAAGATCTGAGAAACCTTTACTTCCCCAGACCAGCAGGAGAAACGGAGTTCACAGGCAACACACACAGACACACACAAATATACAGATACACACACAGAGATACACAGAGATACACACACACACAGAACACACACATACACAGACACACACAAATATAGACACACACAGAGACAGAGATACACAAACATACACACACACAGAACACACACATATACATACACAGACACACACAAATATAGACACACAGAGATACTCAAACACACAC
Organism: Homo sapiens; assembly: GCF_000001405.40. NCBI lineage: Eukaryota > Metazoa > Chordata > Mammalia > Primates > Hominidae > Homo > Homo sapiens. The sequence goes on from NC_000002.12 coordinate 239,914,315, forward strand.
ACAGAACACATACATATACAGACACACACAAATATACAGACACAAAGAGATACACATACACACACAAAACACACACATACATACACAGACACACACAAATATACAGACACACACAGAGACACACAGAGATACACACACAAACATACACACACAGACACACACAAATATAGACACACACAGAGATACACAAACATACACACAGAACACACACATACATACACAGACACACAAATATACAGACACAGAGATACACACACACACAGAGAACACATACATACATAGACACACACAAATATACAGAGATACACATACACACACAGAACACACACATACATACACAGACACACACAAATATACAGACACAGAGATACACACACACACAGAGAACACATACATAGACACACACAAATATACAGAGATACACATACACACACAGAACACACACATACATACACAGACACACAAATATACAGACACACAGATACACATACACACACAGAACACACACATACATACACACACACAAATATACAGACACACACAGAGAGACATACAGAGATACTCACACAAACATACACACACATACATACTCAGACACACACAAATATACAGATACAGAGAGAGACACAGAGATATATAAACATACACACAGAACACACACACAGACACACACAAATATATAGACACACACAGAGAGACACACAGAGATACACATACACACACAGAACACACACATACACAGACACACACAAATATACAGACACACACAGAGACAGAGATACACAAACATACACACACACAGAACACACACATACACAGACACACACAAATATACAGACACACAGAGATACACAAACATACACACACAGAACACACACGTATACAGACACACAAATACACAGACACAGAGAGACACAGATACACAAACATACACACACAACACACACACATACAGACACACACAAATATACAGACACAGACAGAGAGACAGAGATAAACATACACACACACACAGAGAACGAAGACATACTCAGACACACACAAATATACAGACACACACAGAGACAGAGATACACATACATACACACAGAACACACACATACACAGACACAAATATACAGACACACACACAGAGAGACAGAGATACACATACATACACACACACAGAACACACACACAGACACACACAAATATACAGACACACACAGACAGATACACAAACATACACAGAGAACACACACATACACAGACACAAATATACAGACACACACACAGAGATACACATACACACACACACACATACACAGACACACACAAATATACAGACACACAGAGACACACAGAGATGCACACACAAACATATACACACACAGAACACACACATACATACACAGACATACACAAATATACAGAGACACACAGAGATACACATACACACACAGAACACACAAATATATACTCAGACACATAGAAATATATAAATACAGACAGAGAGACACACAGAGATACACAAACACACACACAGAACACACACATACACAGGCACACACAAATATACAGACACACACAGAGAGACACACAGAGATACACATACACACACAGCACACACACATACACAGACAGACACAGAGAGACACACAGAGATACATGGACATACACACACACACACACCCATACACAGATACACACAAATATACAGATACATAGAGAGACACACAGAGATACTCACACAAACATACACACACACATACATACTCAGACACAAAGATACAGATACACACAGAGAGACACAGAGAACACACACATACATAGACACACACAAATATACAGACACACACAGAGAGACACACAGAGATACTCACACAAACATACACACAGAACACACACATACATACACACACAAATATACAGATACACACAGACAGACACACAGAGATACACACACACACAGAACACACACACATACACAGATACAAATATACAGACACACACAGACACAGATACACAAACATACACACATGCACAGAACACACACAGACACACATACACAGACATGCAGATACACACACACATTGACACACATACAAACACACACAGTAGCGCACACACACAGACACAGACACAGCCAGACACACACAGAGACACAGAGATGCACCACACTGAATCCTGTAGGAAGAGCCCAAATGCCCGTCACAGGCCAAGCTCAGTTCCCTGACATCTCCAGATCCAGCAAAGACCACATCCTCATCTGCATATGCAGCTAACAAAATACCAACGCTGCACAAGTGATAAAGAGCAAACATTTATTTCCTCCCCATTCCAGAGGCTGAGAAGTCCAGGGTCCAGGCACCAGCAGGTTTGGTGTCTGCGAGGGCCGCTCTCTGCTCCCAGGACGGCACCTTGTGCTGCCACCTCTGGGGTGGAAGGTGAGGGACAGGTGCGGAACAGGCGCTGTGTGAGCCTCCTTCACGAGAGCCTTGATTCCCTCAGGAGGAGCAGCCCTCACGGCCTCACCAGCTCTTGGTGGCCCCACCTCTTTGCACCATCCCTTTGGCCATTATGTCTCAACCCCTGGGGTCAGACTCAGACTTGATGCCCAAGATCTGACCAGGAGCCATGGGGTGCTGGCACCGTCCCAGGCTCTGGCATTACAGGGCAGACATGAAACACTGTGGACATAACACTTGCTCCAGTGTGGTCACACCCAGAGAGACACACACACCTGTCACAGTCGCCGGCCAGAGTGAGGCCCTGAGCACATCCAGGCAGGAATGCCTGGGGGTGGGGTCTCAGGTTAGGCCAGGGAGGGGCTGACACTGAGCACCAAGGAAGGAAAGGGTCCAGGAAGCCAGAGTGAGGTGGGAAATTAAATAAATAATAAAAATAAAATTAAAAAGAGAAAGAAATAGGCTTTCCTGGATTAGGCTGACTCATCCCAAAGGCAGTAGCAGGCAAGGCCCACACCCATGAAAAGTCTTGATAAACACTGTCTTAAGAAGCTAGGACAAAAAGGAATGTGCTCTGAAGACTCTCCCAGCACTCCCTCAACATAGGGAGAATAAAAACAAATTTTCCTGTCTCTTATGGTATGAGTTTATAGATTCCTGTTCTCTGTAACTAGTAACTTCAAGCATTCTGTTTTATCTAAGCAGTGGAGTGAAGATCATAAACTATCTGGGCAGGCCTGAGATCCAGCCACCTGGACACCACAGTGAAGGTCATGGAATAAGCCATGCTAGGCACGAGAGAAAAACCTAGATAACGGACATCTGGGTTGCATAGCAACAGTCATGTGTAATCCTGAGTTATGAACCTGTCACAATTTGACTAATTGTTTTGCCTCTGTATCCTTGCTTCCACACCACTGTAACTGTAAGCCTGCTTCAAGCTAGCCCACCCCCTTTTTGAAGTGTACATAAAAGTCATGTGCTGTCTTTGTTCCAGGCCCAGTTTTCCAGATGTTAAGTCCGCTGGCTCTGAATGCACTCAGTAAAGATCCTCCTGCTTTACCCCAAGGTCTCTCTCATCCTCCTGATTCCCACAACAAGAGCCCCTCTGGGAAGATGGCAGCTATGGCAGGTACCAGTGACATGTGAGCCCTGAGAAGGTTTCAGCAGAGGAGCAGCACCCCCAGCCCTGGGCTGCAGTGCAGAATGGGAGCCACAGAGCCAGTCATGGTGTGGCGGCAGCCCAGCAGCCCTGGACTCCAGGTGGGGAGAGGAGGCCTGGGCTGTCCAGGTGGGCCTGCTCCTGGTCCTCAGGGGAAGGGCCTCTGTCTCTGCTGCCTGGGCCTGAATTATGGGGTCTCTGCCCTCCTTGGACCTGCTCTGGGGCCTGAGGGACCCTCTGCATCAAGGAGGGTGCCACAGATGGACCATGCATGCTCTGGCACATGGCCAGCACCTGCCATGTTGCCAGGAAAACCCACCATTGGGTATTTTCCACTGAGGTCCCACAGCCCTGGGCAGCAACAGGCCAGGGAGGCCCTCACCAAGGAGGACTGGACACTGGACATACATGCGCCCCATCGCCCTTGCTCTCAGGAAGCCCACCCTTGCAGGAGCCTTGAACCCGAGGCCTCCTCAGGTGCCCCCGCACGCCAGGCCTGACACTCAGTACCAGTGGAGACTTCCTCTTGAGCCCCTCCACCCCTGTGCTAACCCAATCCTGTCTCCCAAGGACAGACCCTGACACAGAGGCCAGGGAAAACCTGACTTGGCAAAATCACTTTCTCACCCATGAACACAATCTCATACCTTAGTTCCCTCCCCTCCTGCAGTGGCAGCCTCATCCACAGACCCTAAGAAAGCCCCCAGCTCTGGAGAACAGCTCTCCACCATTCACAAGTTCTCTCTCCTCCACTTTATTCCCAGGTGTGGGTAGGGGTGGAGTTGGTGCCTCATCCTCACAGAACAAAGATGGAAATCCAGCATTGGGACCACGCATGGTGACTGGTTACCCACGTCAGCTCCCACCCGTGTCCTCGCTCTCCACGCTGAGGGCTTGCCAAGGACACAGCCAGTTCAGGAAGGGGTGGCCCGTGTGGCAGGGTCTCCTCCAGGTCTGGGTCCAGCTGCCTCTGATGGAGTTCACCCTCCTCCTGCTCGTCCAGTGTCCATCTTCCCATCCCCACTCACAGCAGGTGGGAGGCCAATGGCAGGGACACAGTAACCGGCTGCTTCCACCCCATGAAGGGCAGACTCCTGACAAGATCTGAAGACAGCAGGGATGGGAGGTGGCACTTGTCTCTCCAGGTCTAAGCACCATCTTGGGAGGCAGCAGAGGGGCCGAGGTGGGACAGACTGACACCCACTGCTGAGGAGGAAGCCAGACCAGGACTCCAGTCCCTGCTCCAGCCACCATGTGGACCTTCGGTGGCACAGAAGGCATGCAGCTCTGGAGCCACTGACAACAGCAGCCCTGCCCCTCTTCGGGCTGTTTTCTCTTGATGGTTTGTTTCTCCTGGTTTGTCTCATGCCCCCTTTGCACTGGGGCCTCCCACCCCTGCTTGAAATCACCCCTCCCTCCTCACTCTCTGCCCCTCCCTGTCCTTCATGGCTCCTTGAATTACTCGACTAGCCTACTTCTGTCTCCTTCTAGAATGCTGGCTCCTCGAGGGCAGGGGCATCCTCACGGCTTTGTTCTCTGCTGCACTTACAGCTCCCAGGATGATTCCTAACACGCAGTGGGCATGCGGAACGGGGTAAGTTGAAGGAATAACCAAACGCAGCCTTAAGGCTCATACAGAAACAGATTCACCAAAACACCTGCAGTGCCCGCCACTGGGTGTGGGGTTATGGGTGATTTTAGCATTCTTCCTACAGTAATCCAAGTAATTCCTGTGAAACTGAGGCCCCATCCTAAGAGGATCACATTCTCAGAAAACCTGACACACAAACAAAACCATCCCTGAGAATACCTCGTTTTCCAAAGGGCTTCTCCACCTGCAGCCTCTCTCCACACTTCACCCTTCCCTGAACACATCTTCCATGAACTCTGAGTTCTCCTGCCATTTGGAGAGAATGCGGGGGAAGACACGGCCCCTACGGAAGGAGGGGTGGGGCCGCCCAGGTCTGCCATAGGGAGGCAAGGAGGCTGGTGCCCCTGCCTACGCCAGTCCTTCCCCATCAGGATAGCCACGGTCCAAGGCCTGAAATTAAGGTGCAGTACTGTGTGTGCCCCAGCACCTGTGAGATTGGGGGCCCCCTCACCCTGCTCCCAGGGTGCTTCCCCCCCATTCATATGTTGAAGCCCTGGTCCCAGCATAATGGGATTTGGAGGTGGGGCCTTTGGGAGGTGGTCAGGGTTCAGTGGGGTCACAGGGTGGGGCCCCATGATGGGACTGGGACAGCAGAATGCTGCTTCCTCTCTCTCCAACCCCGTGTGAGGGTTCAGCAGGAAGGTGGGGAGAGGGCCCTCCCCAGGAACAGAATACCTCAGCACCCTGACCTGGGACTGCCATCCTGCAGAGCTGAGAATGGAATGTCCTTTGAGACATCCCATCAGCAGCAGTTTGTACAGCAGCCCAGACTGACACGTGGATAAGGTCCCCTTGCCATGGGGACTGGGCACAGTGCCTGCTCAGCCCCGTCCTGGGGCAGATCCTGGAGGCTGAGGCCCCAGGGACAGGAGCATCCGAGGGGGAGAAAATCAAAAGGCTTCAGCAGCCAGACAGCCAGTTTGGGGCTGGAGCCGCAGACTATTTTTAAAGTGTTTTCTCCTAAGCTAAAAATTGAGAACGGGAGTCCTTAAATAGCATCCCCACTTGCCAAAAGGAGCTGTGTCTCCGTCTCCTTAACTTCCCTAGAGCCCAACATCCAACTGCTCCACACAGTTTCTGGAAGGAAGCAACTCTGAAGGTAAAGGAAGGGACGTGGCCTTTAAGGGAGGGGCTCCCAGGCCTTTTGCGTGACGGCGATGGAGGCGCTGTGGTTTTGTTTCTTGCTTTTTCTGCAGAATCAGCCCCAGCCACACCTGCTATTGAAAGAAAGCCTGGCAGATGCAGATGAACACAGTTCCTAGAAGGCGGAGGGGTGGGGTCGTCTGAGGTGCCTGGTCATTGGCTGCCCCCTTTAATCTTTGGGCAACCCCTCTGAGTCTCCCCAGGTGGGCAGGTTTCTCCTGTCTCTCCTCAGGTATCCTGGGGAAGGCTGAATGCCTAGAGATGATTGTCCAGGAAGTAGCATCTTCCACACAGCCACAGGGTTCTGTGGACAGAGCAACCAAGAGCCAGAGCCCCTGTCCCACAGGAGTGTGTGATCGTTTGTCAATCAACCAATATTATTTGCAAATCAATATGGTGGCTCGAACCTAAGGAAACTTTAGGGCAGGTCACAACCTGCAGGAACCGGGGCATGAGCCGTGTAGGTAGGCGAGTGAGCTGCACCTCATTGGGCCCAACCCTGCTGTGTCCAGAGCTGCTTCCTTCTGGTAGGTTTGTGGTCTCACTGACTTCAAGAACAAAGCCACGGACCTTTGCCATGAGTGTTATAGCTCTTAAAGGTGGCACTGACCCAAAGAGTGGAGAAGGAAAGAACAAAGCTTCTACAGCGTGGAAAGGAACCCAAGCAGGTTGCAGCTACTGGTTTGGGTGGTCAGCTTTTATTCCCTTATTTGTCCCTGCCCATGTTCCATTTCTGTCCTATCAGAGTGCCCTTTTTTCAATCTTCCCCGTGATTGGTTACTTTTAGGATCCCTGCTGATTGGTCCATTTTACAGAGCAATGATTGGTCCATTTTACAGAGCGCTGATTGATCCATTTTACAAACCTCTTGCTAGCTACAGGGCACTGATTGGTGTGTTTTTACAGAGCACTGATTGGTGCATTTTACAAACCTCTTGCTACTACAGAGCACTGATTGGCGCATTTTACAATCCCCTTGTAAGGCCAGGCCGAGGAGACCCGGGATGAGGCCGGGTCAGACATTAGTGAGGTTCTATGGATGGAGCTCCAGTTCCCTCTGGGTGAGGCCTCACGGAACCAGGCTCAGCCAGATCTGGGGGCAGGGTGGGGACGGGACACTGCTGGCTCTTTGCTCAGGTCCATCCTCCTGACCCTCTTCCCTCCCTCCTTCCCTCTCTCCTTCCTTTTCTCCTTTCCTCCATTTTTCTGTCCTTCCTTCCTTCTTTCCTTTCCTCCTCCCCTCCCTCCCTCCTTTCCTCCTTCTTTCCTTCCCTCCCTCCTTCCTTCTTTCCTTCCTTCCCTTCTTCCTTCTTTCCTTCCTTCCCTTCTTCCCTCCCTCCCTTCCTTCTTTCCTTCCTTCCTTGCTTGTTTCCTTCCTTCCTCCCTTCCTCCCTTCCTTCCATTTTCCCCTCAATTATAAGCAGTTGCCCCTAAATGAGCTTTTCCTACCTTGCTGCTAAATGTCCTGAGTGTCCCTTTGTCTTTATACCCACTTCTGCTCTGGAGTGGCCAGTTATCTTTGGGTGACTTGGATTCTGTGCTGAAAGGCAGCTAGGCACCTCAGCTGGCCAACCCCACAGTCTGCCTTTCTGCTGACTATGGCTGGGCAGCCTGGGAGCCCTCAATGCCACCACCCAGTCTCAGAGGGGCTCAAGGCAGGCAGTGAGCTGCAGGCCAAGGCATCAGGGACCCCAGGACAGAGAGGAGCACTCACAGACCATGCCCTACCTCCACCTTCCATGACAGGTACACAGAGACAGGTCTTTCTCCCACACATGGATGTCTTTCTCGGATAGTGACCATGTGTTCCTCTAGACAGTACAATGACTTCTCAGGGGATAGAGGCGGTGTCACCTGGGAAAAATCAGAGGCTGGGCATTGCCATTACCACTGTCGTCCGTCAGGTTGACTTTTCTACGCCACAATGCCTTGGTCCTTGGGCTCATCCCAGCCCCTGTACCAACATGATATGACAGCTATGATTCCAGGGACACCTGGTTTAAAATTGATGAGGCAGACTGTGAGGGAGAGTGAAGTGGGTTTCCACCCCAGGTGTCATCCTGGAGCTGTAAGCACCCTAAGAATCCCCGGCCCCATCACAGGTGTGCAGTGTGCCAGCAGGTAAGATGGTAGGGTACGGATACCACACCTTTGCGAAGTAGAAAGGACAATGATTACCATGAGGCTGCAAACCAAGGAGCAACTGGCATTGCCAGGGCTCAAGAACATCAAAGTCTGGTAAATTAGAAGTAAAGGATGGAGGCAGATGTTGGCTTAAAAGAAGAGAAGTATGAGTAGCTATATATGTTATCAGATAAAGTAGGTGTCAGAGCAAAGAAAATTACCAGGGACAAAAGAGGCCATTACATACATCATGATGAAAGGGTCAATATGCAAGAAGACACAGCAATCCAAAATACATAGCCACTGAGCAACACAGCTTCATAATACATAACACAAAAACTGAAAGTAGAAATAGACAAATCCACAAATAAACTTGTAGACTTCAATACCCTTCTCTCAGCAATACAACTGCTAGACACAAAATCAGCAAAGATGCATAAAAACTGAGCACTATCAAACAAAAGTATCTAATATTCTAGACTGCTGCACTTCAAACTGCATAATATACATTCTATACCTATGAAAAATTCCCCAAATAGACCATATCCTGGTTCATAAAAAAAACTGAAACCATACAAAATATGTTCTCTGACCATAAGGAAACCAAAGAAGAAATCAATAACAAAAAGATAACAGGAGTATCTCAAAGCACTTGAAAATTAAACAACAGATTTATAAATAATACATGGGTTCAAGAAATATCCTAGAAGAAAAGTAAATAATACAGAAAAAATAGAAATAAAAACACACACATCAAAATTTGTGGGGTGCGTATTAAATGCTTACATTAGAAAAGAGGAAGAGTCCCAAATCAATAATTTAAGTGCCAAGATAATCTGAATTCCTACACAAATAAGCTAGGAAAAAGGGCACAATAAACACAGAGCAAGAAAAAAAAGAAAAAGAAAATTAAAAAGCAGAAATCAATGAAATTGAAAACAGAAAAATAAGGGAAATCAAGAAAATAAAAACTTGTTTCCATGAAAATATCAATAAAATTAATAAACCTCTAGCAAGACAGACAAAGGAAAAAGAGAGAAGACACAAATTACCAATGCTGGAAATGAAACAGGTGATATTACTACAGACCCTGCAGCCATTAAAAGGAGCAAATATTACAAACATTACTGCACACATAAATTTCACAACTTAGATGACATGGATCAATTACTTGAAAACTACAGCTCATCCAATATAAAATGCATTTAATCTTTAATTTAAAAGCTTCTTTAAAAGTCTCCATGCCCAGGTGGTATCAGTGGAGAATTCTACCAAACATTCAAAGAGTAATTAGTGCCAATTATACACAGTCTCTTCCAGAAAATAAAAGAGAAAAAAGCATATCCTTTTTCATTTTATGCGACTGGTATTACCTTAATAAAAACCTGAAAAAGGAAGCACAAAAATGAAAAATATCAATATCCTTCATGAACTTAGATACAAACATCCCCAGCAAAACACTAGCAAATTCAATCAAACATCACATTAAAAAAAGAATCATACCCCACAATCAAGTGGGTTTTATTGCAGGAATGCAAAGTAGGGTTCATTGAAAATAATATAATACACCATCAACAGGTAAACAGGTAAAGAAGAAAAACTCACATTATCATATCAATTGATGATGCAGAAAATGTACTTGACAAAAGTCAACCCACTGATTTATGATGTTAAAAAAAAACCTCTCGGCAAACAGGTAGAGAGAGGAACTTCCTCAACTCGATAAAGAACATTTACCAAAAAAAAGAAATCACAGCTAACATAACACTTAATGATAAAAGACTCGGATCCTGAATATCATTAAGAAGTTGGAGATGTCTACTATTACCACTCCTATTCAATGTAGGACCAAAAATCCTAACTAGAGTAGTAAGTCAAGAAAGGAAAACAAATGGCATAGAGATTGGAAAAAAATAAAGAAAAACTCTTCTTATTTGCAGATGACATGATGGTATACATAGAAATTATCTCCCCTCAATTATTTTAAAATTCTTAGAACTAATGCGTGTTCATCAAGGCTGCAGGATACAAGAACAACACACGTAAAAATTATTGTATTTCTGTATAATAGCAATGAGCCCATAGAAACTGAAATTAAAAATACAATGCAGTGTATTTACAATAACTCAAAAAATTACCTATGTATAAATAAACATGCCATGTGCAGGATCTGTATGTTGAAAACTACAAAATGTTAATGAGATAAGTAAAATAAGATCTAAATAGATGGAGAGAAATACCACATTCATGAATTGGAAAACTCAATTCTCCCTAAATTCATCTATAGTCTTAGTGTAGTTCTTATTAAAATCCTAGCAGAAATCTGTGCAGATGTGAATAAGCATATCTTATATTTTATATGGAAAGGAAAATAAACTAGACTAGCTTAAACAAATTTTGAAAAAGAAGAAAAATGTGGGAGGAATCACTCTACCTGATTTTAATTTTTACTCCATCATTACGGTAATCAAGACTATAGAGAAACAGAGAGAAAAGAGAACAGAATAAAGAACCTAGAAACAGATCCATACAAGTACTTCCAATTGATGTTTGACAAAGGTGCAAAAGCAATTCAATGGGGAAGGGATAGTCTTTCTACAAATAAATGGTGCTGAAGTGAGTGAACATCCATTGGCAAAAGAAATGAACTGCGACCTAAGTCTCCCTTTATGTACAAAAATTAACTCACAATGGACCACAGACTTAAATGTAAAGTGTAAAACTACTAAACTTGCAGAAAACAACAGAGAAGGTCATCTTTGAGATCTAGGGTTAGGTGAAGAATTCTTAAGACTTGACTCGTAAAGTATTATCAATTAAAAAATATACATAAAATTGGACCTCACGCAAATTTAAGTTTTTGCTCTGTGAAAAGCCCTAGTGACAGAATGAAAAGACAAGCTACAAGGTGGGAGATCACCTGGCAGAGGACAAAATCTGAAATACATAAAGAAGGTCTCAAATCTCAACAATGATCAGCTCAGTCCAGTTAGAAAATGTGCAAAAGACATGAACAGATATTTCACAAAGAGGATATACAGATTAGCACATGAAAACATGTTAACATCACCAGTCACTAGAGAAATGAAGACCACAATGAAATATCACTATACATCTTTCAGAGCAACTAAAATTAAAAATAGAGACCACACCAAAGCCTGACGAGGATGCTGAGAGATTGTCCTTCACACATCATTGGTGGGAATGTAAGGTGGTACCCCACTCTGGGAAACATTTTGGAGTCTCTGATAAAAAATTAAACATACACTTACCCTACGATCCAGCAATTACACTTCTGGGCATTTACACCAGAGGAATGAAACTTTCTGTCTACACAAAAACTTGTATATCAATGTTCATAGCGGCTTTATTCATAATTGTCAAAATCTGGAAACGATGTCAATTTCCTTCAATGGGTGAATGGTTAAACAAACTGTGGTACACTGGTAATGTGAGCTCAGCAATAAACAGAAAAAACTAGCATACAATGCTTCAGTCAACAACAGACCAAATATGCTACAGTGGTCCCATGAGACTATAATGAAGCTGAAGAAATCCTATCCCCTAGTGACACTGTAGCCAGCATATGTCATAGCTTGTCTGTGATGAGGCTGGTGTAAGCAAACCTACTGTGTGCCAGTCATATACAAGTCTAGCACATGCAATTATGTACAGTACATAATACTGATGAAAATAACTGACGATATTTCTGGATTATATTTTTAGTACACTATACTTTTTATCATAATTTTGGAGTGTACTCCTCCTACTTATAAAAAAAAATAGATACCTGTAAAACAGCCTCAGATAAGTCCTTCAGGAGGTATTCAGAAGAAGGCATCATTACCACAGGGGAGAACAATTCCATGTGTGCTACTGCTCCTGAAGACCTTCCAGTGGGACAGGAGGTGGAGGTGGAAGACAGTGACGTCATATTAGTCTGTCCTCATGCTGCTAATAAAGACGTACCCGAGACCGGGTAATTCATAAAGGAAAGAGGTTTAATGGACTCACAGTTCCACATGGCTGGGGAGGCCTCACAATCATGGTGGAGAGCGAAGGGGAAGCAAGACACGTCTTACATGGTGGCAGGCAAGAAAGTGTGTGCAGGGGAGCTTCTCTTTATAAAACCACCAGATCCCATGAGACTGATTCACTGTGACAAGAACAGCATGGGAAAGATCCACCCCCACGATTCAACGGCCTCCCACCAGGTCCCTCCCACAACACATGGGGATTATGGGAGCTACAATTCAAGATGAGACTTGGGTGGGGACACAGTTATACCCTATCAGACATGGATGATCCTGACCGTATGTAGACCTAGGCTAATGTGTGCATTTGTGCCTTAGTATTTTTTTAAAGTTTTAAAAGTTAAAAAAGTAATAGAATAAAGCTTATAGAATAAGGATATGAAGAAAGAATATAGAGCTGTAACATGTATTTTAAGGTAAATGTTATTATAAAAGAGTCAGAAAGTTAAAAAATATCAAAAAGTGTATGAAGTAAAAGACTTAGAGTAAGCTAAGGTTAGCTTACTGAAGAAAGAAAACTTTTAACGATAAATTGAGTTTAGCCTAAGTGTGCAATGTCTATAAAGTCTGCAGCAGTGCACAGTCATGTCCCAGGCCCTCACGTTCACTCCCCACCCACTGGCTGACTCACCGACCTAACGGTGCAGTCCTCAGGATGTATCCCCGTCATTACACAAAGCATGACTGTATTGCCACTCTCACAGCCTGGAGGGGGCTCAAGGGCATTAGGCTGAATTTTAAAAGTTAATCTCTAAAGGTCACATGCCGCACAATTCCATTTATACAAAATTCTCAAAATGACAAAATCACAGAGCTGCAGAACAGCTTCCTGGTTGCCAGGGTTAGGGGTGGGGCAAGGGGAGGAGCCTGGGTGGCGACTGGGGACAGCCTGAGGGAGATTCACACGATGACATCAGCGTGGCAGCCGCCACAGGTGGCAAAATTCTATAAAACCACATGGAACAACAAATGAGTGTGAGGAAAGCTGGCAAAAACTCGGCAAGGCTGGTGGGCCCATCACTGTCAGGTCCCTGGTACCCCAATACGGTGGCTGTGGGGGTGCTGGGCAAGGACACAGGGGACTTCTGCATGCTGCGTTTGCAATTTCTTGTGCATGTGTAGTCATCAAATTAAAAGTTAAAAGCAAAGACACAAAACACCAGTACCCAGGTAAAGAGCGACTGAAGTCAAGAAGGGCCCTCCCATCCCACATGGGAAAACAGCAGACCCCAGCACAGCCCCCACCACAAACGCGAGTAAGGAGCAGAAGGTCTGTACAAAGATTCCAGGACTTTAAAAAAAAAATAACAAAAGAAGAAAACAAATGTAACAGAAAAAAAAAGGCAGGTACCAATGCCACTTTGAAGGCATAATTGTTCCATAACAGAAGAAAATGTATACCTCAACTGCTTTCATGTTTTCCAAGAAATAAAGGAGCACATGAATTCCATGAATCATGACTAAAGAAAAGAAGGCAAAAGACAAGATGAAATACAGAGCTGGAAAGAGAACACAAAGAGGAAAAAGGAAAACCACTTGCGATCTGAAAATTACTTCTATTGTGATTATTATTCTGTGAAGTCAGTTCCTCATGGCAGGAAATCCCCCGAATCCACGCCAGACTCCTCGGCCCTGGCCCACCGCGAGCCGCTGCTGGGTTTAATGCAGTTCCTGTCTCCCACCCTGGAGCTGTGACAGCGACATCTCGTTTCCAACTATGCTCTCCCCACAGGTGACCTCATCCAGGGCCCTGGGGGACACTCTCACCTGTGATTCCCAAGCTGTCTCCAAGCCCTGCCTCACCTGCTCCAGAGGCACCCAGCCAACCACCGGACATCCCGCTCCAGGTCCCTCTGTGCAAGGATGTCAGACCCTTCCGCGTTCCCTGCAGCGTCCCTTCCAAACAGGTGGTATCCGTGTTCCAAGCAGCCCAGGCCCAACCTCGGAGCCTGTGTGGTTGCTCCTTCACCCCACTCCTCCCATCAGCGGATCCTCCGCGAATCCTCCCAGCCTTGACTCCGAAACGCTTTGTCTCCCATCGCCCCGCGGCCACCCGGATCCCACTCCCGAGGTCAGGAGCCCCCGACTCTTCCTCCTGCACCTACTCCTGTCTCTGTCCAGTGCTCCCCACTGGCGCCCGGTGAGCTGAAGACAAGAACCAAAGCAGGCTTGAACCCCCTCCCGTGCCTTCCCACTGCTCTTTAAAAATGAAGAGAACGCTGCATCTGGCTAACGAGATCGTAACAAGATCGCCACCCGGCGTCTCCAAAGCCGGGATGCAGCCACCCAGGCGAGACGCTGCCCTGACACTGCAGTGATGTGCGTGCTTGGCACCAACCGGTGGCCTGGCTGCTGCCCTGGAGACAGGGACAATGGCTGCATCAGCCACCCATGGGTTACGGAGGACGGTACCGGGCAGAGACGCAGACACCGATGACTGAGTTGTCGAAGGTGGTTGAGAATGGGAAGGAGGGGCCAGGGTCTCACGAGGCCATTTCTCTTGTGGTCTCAGGTCTCACTCCTGAGCCTCCATAAAAAGGAAAAAATGAGTCAAAAAGAGCTCTTGCAAGGAATGCAAAATAAGCCATGGCAGTGTTTCCTCACCTCTCAACGTTATTTAATCAGTGGTGATTTTCCTTCTTGTGGGAGGCTAGTGCACCTCACAAGCCCGGGAAGTGCGGCAGCCCTTGCTGCTCCAGCAAGCTGCCCTGCTCCTCCGCCGGCCCTGCTTCTCCACCAGCCCTGCTCCTCCACTGCTCTTGCTCCTCCACCGCCCCTGCTTCTCCACCACCCCTGCTCCTCCACTGCCCCTGCTCCTCCACTGCTCTTGCTCCTCCGCCGGCCCTGCTTCTCCACCAGCCCTGCTTCTCCACTGCTCTTGCTCCTCCACTGCCCCTGCTTCTCCACCAGCCCTGCTCCTCCACTGCCCCTGCTCCTCCACTGCTCTTGCTCCTCCGCCGGCCCTGCTCTCCCACTGCCCCTGCTCCTCAGCCAGCCCTGCTCCTCCACTGCCCCTGCTCCTCCACCAGTCCTGCTCCTCCACTGCCCCTGCTCCTCCACTGCCCCTGCTCCTCCGCTGCCCCTGCTTCTCCACCGCCCCTGCTCCTCAGCCAGTCCTGCTTCTCAACTGCCCCTGCTCCTCCACCAGTCCTGCTCCTCCACTGCCCCTGCTCCTCCGCTGCCCCTGCTTCTCCACCGCCCCTGCTCCTCAGCCAGTCCTGCTTCTCAACTGCCCCTGCTCCTCCACCAGTCCTGCTCCTCCACTGCCCCTGCTCCTCCGCTGCCCCTGCTTCTCCACCGCCCCTGCTCCTCCACCAGCCCTGCTTCTCCACTGCCCCTGCTCCTCAGCCAGCCCTGCTTCTCCACCGCCCCTAGTCCTCCGCCAGCCCTGCTTCTCCACCACCCCTGCTCCTCTGCCACCCCTGCTCCTCCATTGCCCCTGCTCTGACCTTTGCCATGACCTTCACATCCCCTGCAAATTTCCTCCTTCAGCCGTGCATGCAGATCATCTCCCAGGATGCCCTCCTCAGAGACCTTTCCTGACCCCGTCCCCATGGATCCCGTCCTGATCGCCACTTCGCCGAGAGAAATGACCAGGTCACACCAAGCAGAAAGACGGTCCTGCCTGTCTGCAGGCAGTGGCTCCAGTCCCTCTGCACCCCGCTGTCCGCAGCCTCTGCTGACCCTGCCTGCCGCCCCCAAAGAGCTCTACAGACTCACAGGTGGCACCCGGCCAATCAGTGGTGAGCACCAGGAAGGAAAGGTACACAGGGCGGGGTTGTGGGAAACAGGGAGGTGGAAGGCAAGGATGCACCGGGAGCCGGACCAGAGGGCGTGCAGAAGAGTTCCTGGCAGGGGAACAGCAGGCATGGAGGCCCCGGTGGATGGGTACAGCGAGCTCAGGAGGAGGGGCAGGGTCCAGGAGGGGTGTGGCAGGGAGGGAGGTCAGGAGGCCGCAGGGTCCTGGTGGACGGGTACAGCATGCCCAGGAGGGGGGGCAGGGTCCAGGAGGGGTGTGGCAGGGAGGGAGGTCAGGAGGCCGCAGGGTCCTGGTGGACGGGTACAGCATGCCCAGGAGGGGGGGCAGGGTCCAGGAGGGGTGTGGCAGGGAGGGAGGTCAGGGGGCAGTAGGGCCCTGTGGAGAATGGCGTTTAGCTTTTTAGGGCCGTGGGAGCCTCGGAGGGTTTTGAGCAGAGCAGTGACTTGATTTGCTAAATTGAGTGCTTCTGGTCCCATTGGCTTTTCCCTGTGAGCATCTGAACAGCAACTTTCACCCTGGCCACAGGCATGAGCTCTTTGGGGCAGACCGGCTTAATCCACATGATGTAGTCTCTCTCACTTCTGCAGAAATCAAGGTGTCTGCAGGGCTGCAGGAAAGAAGCTGTTCCGGGCCTCTCTGGAGGTGCCCAGCACCCCTGGCATGCAGGCACCTCGCTCCAGCCCCTGCCCGTCCTCACACAGCCCCCTCCCTCTCCTTCGATGACACTTGTCATTGGATGAGGATGTGCCCGAAAGCCAGGATGAGCTCATCTCAGTATCCTTAACTAACATATCTGCAAAGATCCCTTTTCCAAATGAGGTCACATTCACAAGTCCCAGGTGGACACGTTCTGGGGACACCACTCGCCTCGCCACAGCGTCTTTCCACCAAGCGGGGTCTCCTCGCCACAGCGTCTTTCCCCCAAGCAGGGTCTCCACCTGCACTGTGCCCTCCAGATCTCCAAGCGCCCAAACCAGTGCTTGGCACACAGCAGGTGCCCAGTCAGTGTTTACTCAGTGAATGAATACAAGCTCAGCAAGATGAGAAGGCTGGCCCACAGGCCATAGCGGCCCCCAAGCTGTAACGTCCTGTGAGAAGACAGCTGCCCTGGGGCTCCCCAAGAGCCTCCATCCCTCTGGACAAATCACACTCACAGTACTGGGCTCTGAAGAGCCGCCCTTCATCTGCACCTCTGCTTTTTTTTTTTTTTTTTTTTTTGAGACGGAGTCTCGCTCTGTGGCCCAGGCTGGAGTGCAGTGGTGCGATCTCGGCTCACTGCAAGCTCCGCCTCCCGGGTTCACGCCATTCTCCTGCCTCAGCCTCCCAAGTAGCTGGGACCACAGGCGCCCATCACCACGCCCAGCTATTTTTTGTATTTTTAGTAGAGACGGGGTTTCACCATATTAGCCAGGATGGTCTCAATCTCCTGACCTCGTGATCCACCCTCTTCGGCCTCCCAAAGTGCTGGGATTACAGGCGTGAGCCACCGCGCCCGGCCTGCACCTCTGCTCCTTTAATCACACATGGTTCCTTTTTCATGTTTATTGAATAGACATCTTTATATTTTGCGAAAAAATGGGAAACAAAAACCCAAATACCCTTTTGCCTCTTAGCACCAAGAATCTATTAATTCATTGCTTGGCTGAAACCCTTATTTTGACACTTGTGCTTGGCCGAAACTGTTGTACCTGTGTTTCTCTGCATTCTGCTTTTCTTCTAACCATTTAAAAAACTACTTTCCAAGCACCTGCAAAGCCTACACGGTTACCATGCGACAGCAGTAAAACATTTCTGCGCTTTTCCATGACACGGCACCCCCGCAAGCCCGCAGGCGTGTAGATTGCTTACACGTTTCTTGCTATTTTAGAAAATGAAGCTGTGAGCCCTTTTGTAAATTAGGTCTTCCTCTGGGATAAGTTTCCAAAAGTGAAACTCTCTGGTCAAAGAATTTTTTTTTTTTTTGAGACGGAGTCTCGCTCTGTCGCCCAGGCTGGAGTGCAGTGGTGGGATCTCGGCTCACTGTAAGCTCCACCTCCCGGGTTCACGCCATTCTCCTGCCTCAGCCTCCCGAGTAGCTGGGACTACAGGCATCCGCCACCATACCCGGCTAATTTTTTTTGTATTTTTAGTAGAGACGGGGTTTCACCGTGTTAGCCAGGATGGTCTCAATCTCCTGACCTCGTGATCCACCCGCCTCGGCCTCCCAAAGTGCTGTGATTACAGGTGTGAGCCACCGCGCCTGGCCTCTGATCAAAGTATTTAATGGGCTTTATTAATCCATTTATTTACAAACCATTTTTAAGAGCCTACACTATGAGCGAGACTCCACCGTACACGCTAGAAGCAGCCCTCAGTGGGGAAGGCAGGCTATGACAAGTGACGGCAGCCCGTGTAGGTTGTGGTCTGTCTCCCGTGGCAGGGCCTGGGATGGGGGCATCTCAGCACCTCCCAGCACAGGGGCAGGTCCCAGGCAGTAGCAGGTCACATCGGAGTGAGGGATAGGAGGCTAGGGAGGGACCCCCAGGAGGCAAGCAGTTTGGATGCTGGGAGCCCTTGCCCTTCTCAAGGCTAACAGCAGTTGAGGAACAGAGGAACTCTGCCCACCCAGGCCATATCCCTCCATCCCATCTGCCTCGGGTCCCTCTTACACTGCTCAGAGATGCTCCAAGCTCAGGCCTCCATCTCTACCCTTCAGGAGTTCCCTGTCTCGCTGTCTCCTGGGGACATCCCAGGCCACAATAATGATGTGTCTATACCTGAGGACAAAGGCTGCAGCCGGGCCTGGGGAGCGACCTGGAGCCAGCTGGTCCTGCCAGTCCTGCCACCACTGCTGTAGGCTGGGACAGCCAAGCCACGGAGCCTCCATGGTTTTTTTTTTGTTTTTTTGTTTTGTTTTGTTTTGACGGAATCTCGCTCTGTCACCCAGGCTGGAGTGCAGTGGCGGGATCTCTCAGAGCCTCCAACTTAATGCACAGCTACACTTGCAGGAAGTCCCTGCAGCCTCCTCCCAGGGCTACGGGGAGTGTCGTGTAAAACCCTGTGTGTGAAAATGCTTTGACAGGCATCAGGTGCTCCAAGGATCTAAGGAATGATATGTAGGGCCCTGTACGGAACGAAGTCAGTGAAACAGGGGCACGTCCCAAAATTACAGGGAAGAGAGATTAATCAAGGTAACACCATTCCATAAGCGGATTGGATCATAGATTTGAATGATCCAGTTTTGTATTTTGAATTTTTTTAGAGAGGGCGTCTCACTCTGTCACCCAGGCTGGAGTGGAGTGACACGATCACAGCTCATTGCAGCCTTGAACATCTGGGCTCAAGCAATCCTCCTGCCTTTGCCTCTAGAGTAGCTGGGACTACAGGTGCACACTGCCAGGCCCGGATAATTTATTAATTTTTGTAGAGGTGGGGTTTCTCCATGTTGCCCAGGCTGGTCTTGAGCTCTTGGCCCCAGGCGATCCTCCTGCTGGCCTCAAGCAATTCTCCTGCCTTGGCCTCCCAAAATGCTGGGATTACAGGTGTGAGCCACCATGCCTGGCCAGATTTAAGTAAACTAATAGGCACCATCTCCTGCCCTGGATCCTAGTCTCCACACTGTCCCATGAACTCTGCCTCCCACATGTGATGACACCAGCCACTTATCAGCAGAGTCACTGCCATGTTGGGAGGGAGTGGGGGGCAGGTGGGTCTTAACCTTCTCCTAGTTCCCACTCCACCTCCTGCCTCCCCACCCCCACCCCCAGCCTGACGAACCACGAACCAAATCTCACTCTGCACATGTGGCATGAAAGGAATTGTAACAATACGGGGTCCTTGACGTCTGGCTTCTTTTCTCATCACCTTTTCATTTTATTTTTTTATTGACGAATTGTACATACTCATGATGTTTGGATCCATATAATGTACAGTGATCAGATCAGGGTAATTCGCTTACCCATCATCTTAAACATTTATCCCTGTTTTGTACTGGGAGCATTCAACATCCTCCTTGTTTGAAGCTGCATGTGATTAGTAAGTGCAGAGTCATCCTAGAGCGGTAGAGGGCGCTGGACCTCATTCGTCCTGTCAGCTGCGATTGTCTGTCCTTTGACAGGTCTCAGCGCAGCGTTCTCACTGTGACCTCCGTGCAGCATCAATCACTTCGTTCCTTTCTCTGGCTCTCTCTGTCCACCGCATGGACCAGCCACCTCCGCCCCCACCCGTTTTCCACACATGGGCCTGCAACTCAGACAACCCCACTCCCTCTCGCTCACCAGGTTTCAATCCAAGCTCCCACTGGGGCCTAGGAGTGTAGTTGGTGCAGCTGCCGCGTGCCCACCAGCCTGGCCCTCCCCACTTTGCCTTACCCACAGCCTCAGAACCACCTCTGGCGCCCCTGGAATGGAGGCCTCCCCTGCATGGATGCTGCCTGCTCTTCCTGGGAGAGTCCTTCTCTCTCGCCTCTGGTCCGAAATAGCACCTGCCATGTCCTTCCTGGCTGTCTCTCAGCGCTGGTTCCCAGGATGCAAAATTGAACGGGGTGCCTCCCTCTGTGGCCAGCCCTGCCCTGCAGGACCTGGGCAAGTATTGGAAGGCCCTCGTTTCCCCCAGTCCCTGCCTGCCCTGTGGTGTTAAGTGTAAAGTAAGAGCCAACCCAAAGGCCACTCAAACACATTTGGTGAACAGATTTTAGCTCATCCAGTGAAAATCCACTTTTGTAATGTGGATGGTGACCGGTGCCACTGGATGGGAAAATTACAATTCATCGCTGACCGGATTCCCTGGGCCCTGCAGGCCGACAGGGCCGTGTGGGGGTCAGAGATCGGGCCTCGGGGAGCAGCCTGCACTTCCCATTTCTGCATTTGTCCCCATCGCTCAGCTCATGGTGCGTAATATTTTCCCACAGAGTTGAGGACGGGGACTCCCTGGCTGTCTCACTCCCACTGACATAACGATAGTGATGACATGGTTTGGCTGTGTCCCCACCCAAATCTCATCTGGAATTGTAGCTCCCATAATTCCCACATGTTGTGGGAGGGACCTGGTGGGAGATAATTAAATCATGAGAGTGGTTTCCCCTATACTGTTCTCATGGTAGGGAGTAAGTCTCACAAGATCTGATGGTTTTATAGGGGAAACTCCTTTCTCTTGGCTCCCATTCTCTTTTGCCTGCCGCCATGTAAGACATGCCTTTCACCTTCTGCCATGATTGTGAGGCCTCCCCAGCCACATGGAACTGTGAGTCCATTAAACCTCTTTTTCTTTATAAAATACCCGGTCTTGACCGGGTATGTCTTTATTGGCAGCGTGAAAACAGACTAACACACAGGGAAACTGTTGTTTTCAGAAACGCCCTGTGTTGCAATACCTGGAAGGTGCTTCTCAATACAGACCTTGTTATTACTCCCGGCTCCCCCAGGGCTGGGCAGCCTGAACCAGGTGCTGGGATCCTGCAGTTATTACAAGGGCAGCTGTGGCTCCAGCCCCAGAACTTCTCCTGTTCAAGAGCACTCATGAGGGTGCAGGAAGAGAGTGAACAGTGACTGTTGGTCAGGCCAAGCGGAGGTGTGGGCAGCAGATGCCCTGTGCATGCTGACTCACACAAGCAGCTTCCGGGCCCCAGGATCTGCCAGGGTCTCTGCTGGCTTTCCTCAGGATGGCAGGGCAGCAGGACATGGTAGAGGCGGCAGTGTCCCCAGGCAGAGAATGGGCATTGCTCCTGGTGTCTCCTTAAAGGTAAGTGGGGGCAGGGAAATAAACAGGCAGAGCACAGACGCTGTTAGGGCAGGAGGCTGCTCTGCGTGACACTGAAACGGTGGATACGTGTCATTATGCGTTTGCTGAAACCCATAGCAGGCACAACACCGAGGGGGCCCTAAAGTAAACTGCAGGCTGGGGGATGACGACGGGTCAGTGCAGGCTCACACACCAGGACAGGGACACTCTGGTGGGGAACAAGGATGCAAGTGTGGGGCAGGGGGCATGGGGAAAATCCCTGCCTTACGCTCAGATTTGCTGTGAACCTAAACCTGCTTTTAAAAAAGTAAGTCTTGGCCAGGTTGTGGTGACTCATGCCTGTAATCCCAGCACTTTGGGAGGCCCAGGCGGGTGGATCACCTGAGGTCAGGCGTTCAAGACCAGCCTGGCCAACATGGCGAAACCCTGTCTCTACTAATAATAAAAAAATTAGCCAGGCACCGGGTGTTGCGGTGCATGCCTGTAATCTCAGCTACTCGAGAGGCTGAGGCAGGAGAATTGCTTGAATCTGAGAGGCGGAGGTTGCAGTGAGCCACAGTCGCGCCACTGGACTCCAGCCTGGGTGACAGAGAGAGACCCTGTCTCAAAAAAATAAAAATAAAAAAGAAATAAGTACAAGTGATGTAATCTTTTCTGGAAGCCCCAGCTGCCCTCCCCTCGTGTGTCCATGGCCACATGCCCCCTCTTGACGAATCAGGAGCAGAGGGGAGGGCTGGGGGCAGTCCGCAGTGGCCACCCCAGAGACGCTCACCGCACAGCTGTGATTGCAAAATGGTCAAGAACCTGCCAACATGAGCCCATGCACTCTACTTTGCCATCAGTTTTTAAAAGCAACATCACTGAGCCATAGCTTCTATACCATAAAATACACCCATTTCGAGTATGCAACTCGATGTTTTCAGGAAATTTACAGAATTGCGTAACTACTGCGGTATGATTTTAGAACATTTCCATCATCTGAAAAGGATGCCTCATGCCCATGGACAGTCACTGCCCGTTCCCCTTCCTCCCAGCCCCTGGCAACCACTCATCTACTTTCTGTCTTCCTGAATTTGCCAGTTCTGGACATGTCAAGTAACTGGCATCATACACTATGTGCTTTTTGTGGCTGTTGTCAAGGTTCATGTACGCGGTGGCCTCGATCCCAGCTTCATTCATTTTATGGCCTAATGAGTCTGCCATGTGTATGCACCACAGTCCGCTCATCCAGTCATCAGCTGACGGGTATGTGGGCTGCTCCCACTTTTTGGCTATTGTGAATAATGTGCTCTGAACATGCATGTACAAGACTCTGTGAGGACATGTGCGTTCAGTGCTCTTGAGCTGATCCTGATTCTACTCATTTATTTTTTGAGGAACCACCAAGCTGTTTTCCAAAGCAGCAGGGCCATTTTACACCCCACTGACAACACACAAGGGTTCCAGTTTCTCCACATCCTTGTCAACGTTGGTTACCATCTACCTTTTTATTACAGCCATTCTGGTGGAAGCCCGACTTTAATTGTAACAAATTATTTGTAACACACCTCACAGCTGATCATGACTGCTCACAGCACCCCAATGTGCCACACTGTCACTGGCTGGGGCCACCGAGCCATGGTTTAAATCCTTGGAGAGCAGCCGCAAATACTCACTGCTGTGCTTCTGCGGCTCTGTTTGGTTGGTGGCCTTTTCCCTGCATCCCTGACGCCAGGACAGCCTCGGGGATAAGAGAAGGGAGCCCAGTGCTCGGCCGCAACCCCAGCACCCCACTCCCCAGCAGTCCCCACTTCTCTTCTCGGACAGCTCCCCCATCTGTCAGGGCCTCAGTTTCTCCATCTGCAAATGGGGGTGATAACAGCATGTAGCTCACAGCACCGTGATATGGAATAAACCTGTAGCGTGGCAATGGCAGTGCTCTGCCCACTACAGACACCTGCTGTCCAGGCTGGCCGTCCCACACCTCCCGCCACTCCGCATGCTGCACAGGCCCCCCTGAGGACAGACCTCACCTGCACTGAGGTGGCCGCTGGCCTGGGCAGCCACCGACACACACGGGGTTTATGCTTTTGGTCTCCAACTTGTGCAATAGGTCAGTTGCTTCCTGGTTTGTCAGAGGCTGTATGATCAATGGAGAAGCTCTTCTATGTGTGTGAGCTTCAGGATGCCTCTTCCAGGATGCCCTGGGAGGCGGCTACTTCCAGGGCAGCGTCTCTTCCTGCCCAGTGGGGTCTGCTCCCGGGCAGCTGTGGTTAATCCACTGCCATGATCTCTGGATCTCAGTCTCCTCTCTGCCTTTGCATGAGCTGCCCTGGGGGGCTGCAGGGTGGACTTGCGCAGATGCCGGCAGAGGGGACCTGTGGATCAGTTAAACGGGGGCGGCTAGGAAACGAGGCAGGGGAGGGTGCAGATCCTGGCAGGAGTAAGGAAGTTTCACCCAAACGGCACAGAGAAGACGGCGCAGCGAATGCACCATCCAGCGAGCATCGGTGCACAAGTGCATGAGCTGAGCAACACATACCCAGCACAGCCAGAGGGTCAGCGGCCCCCGCGGACGGCTTGGTTCCTGTTTAGCCGTTGAGTTGGAGGAAACATTCCTCGGCGGAAAGACGCTGCCTCACGAGGCCCCGCAATGCTCAGCCGTTGGGTTGGGGGAAACAGTGCTCGGCGGAAAGACGCTGCCTCAGGAGGCCCCACAATGCTCTCCTTTCGCAGGGCTTAGGCAGACGTAAGCTGGTGGCCCTGAGCGCCCAGGCGTGGGGAGGATCCTCGGACCCGCGGACAGTCAGGATCCAGCTGCCCGCGTTTCATGCCCCGGGCACTGTCATGATCCTCACTGAGTGGAAAGGGAGGCCTGGGGGTCTGTCGGGTTCCTGCCTTGGTGAGCCCCAACATGCCAGCCAGTGTCTTCTGGACACTTTCCAAAGAGGTGACTTATTCAAACCAGCCCCAGCAGGGCACCTGCTGAAATGCTCCTGGGTTTGTGGGGAGGGCGAGTGGAACTCGCGGAGAGAGAGGGGTAGAACCACAAAGGAGCAAAGCCCACATCTGTCCCAGGAAGTGAGGCAGCTGCAGTGGAAACAGCTCCCTGGGGGGCCACCCGCGTACTCCAACGTGTCTGCCATTGCTGAAGGCATTTCTGCTTTTGCCACACTTTTTGTTTGCTTTTGCATTTTTAAGGAGAATCATTTTGGGGGGATAAAGATTATACAAGTTCATTATGAAGGATTTGACCCATGCAGAATATTCAAGAAATGGTGAGAGGTTATTTGTAATGTCTAAAGTTTCCAAATAGGAAAGGAATTTCTCCACATCGACAAGGAAGGGACAGCTATCCTAGCCAAAGAGAAGGAAAGGATGCAAACAGGCAATGGAAAGAAGAAATCCAGGGGCTACCAGGCACACGGAAACAGGGCACTACCCACTGGAAGCACAGCTATGCCTGGCCCTGGGGACGGTCAGAACGCTGATAATCCCAGGTGTGGGAGACGAGGGCCACATGGCCCCTCCTGGAACCGGCTGCAGTGCAGGCCAAGCTGCGATTCCATGGGGCAGCCAGCCCTACTCAGTCAGGGCTGACCAGGAGAGGCCTGGCAACAAGTCTGCCCAGGCTTGGCAGCTCAGCCCGGGGAAGGGTCATGTCTTGCTCAGGTGTCTGGTGTGACTTGGGGGTAGGCTCTGCTTCCCACCGCCTCTGAGGAACCCAGGCGGCTGAAAGCTCCACCATCCACAACAGGGGTTGGCAAACTTTCTGTAAAGGGTTGGAGGGTAAAGACATCACATCCGGCTTTGCAGGCCATACAGCCTCTGTTACAAATACTCAACTCCAGGCAAAACCAGCCACAGATGACACGTCACAGCTGTGTTCCAATAAAGTTTTATTTACAAAAACAGGTGGTGAGTGGGATGTGGCCCCCGGGCCAGTTTGCCAGCCCTGAGCTAAAACACTGGCAGTCACTGTGGCAAGGGAAGAGAGTGTGTGGCATAAGGATCTCACCATAGCTTATCATTGCTTTGGCCCACTAATGACACTGTCACGGCTATTCCCAGCCTGGGGACAGAATGAGCCACATTGCTGGAAGTACGCTCTGAGTTTCCAGAAGGAGGCAAGGATTGAATATTGATGAACATCAGTAATGCCCAGCACATCCAGCAATGCTATTCTTTGATAAATTTCTCCAAGTAAATTTCTACACAGATCCATAAGGAGATATGTGTGTTAAAAGCTAATTTTCAGAAAAAAAGTAAAATCATGACTCTCATAGAAATATAAAAAGGAACACATTTGAAATTTAGTCTATTCACTTATCAAGGAAGGTATCAGACAGATGTTATCACCAGTTCAAAACAGAATCCAAAGAATAGCCACACTTAGAGATCAGAGATATTTAAATCAATATGCAAGTGAAGGCAAACCGGGCTCTCTCCTGGGGATGGGAGGTATTCACTGGATTTCCACTATACAGCACAGAACATTCCCGTCTATATGAATTCTTTTGTACTGCTATCAGTGACCTACAAGGAACAGAGTTATAAGATAGTTCTAAATGATGACAGAGTAGAATCCAATAACCTTGAGGAGTGTCCTCTAGGCAATGCACAGTTTTCTGTGAACCACAGATATTCTTCTCCATGTGTGAGGTTCTTCCTGCAGCACTGCAGGCCGTCTGGGTACCCACCACCCAGGAAGGGTAAGCGAAACTGGACAGCAGCAAGGTCACTACAAGGTGCAGAAACAGGCAAGCCAGATGCACCCACGGCAACAAGGAAGGAGCTTACAGAGGCAGTGTTGAGTGAAAACACACAGGCAATAGACGTATGACCCATAACCATTTACGTTCCTTAAAAATGCAAACACACGAAACAACACATTATGTCAGAACATATGCAAACAAAAAGATCTCTCAAGCACAGGGAATGCTGGCCTCCCTGGACAAGGGCAATGGGAGTGGCACATAGGGTAAAGTATCTTCACAAACAGGGACAGACACTTCCCACGCCCGATGATGTGAATGCACCGGGGGCACAGAACTGCGGCTGTTCCACCCTCGGTGTCAGAGGTTCCTTCCTCGACATCAAAACGACAAAGTTCAAGGACGTGGTGGCTCACACCTATAATCCCAGCACTTTGGAAGGCCAAGGCGGGCAGATCACCTGAGGTCGGGAGTTGGAGACCAGACTGGCCAATATGGTAAAACTCCATCTCTACTAAAAATACAAAAATTAGCTGGGCATGATGGCGCACGTTTGTAATCCCAGCTTCTCAGGAGGCTGAGGTGGGAAAATGATTGAACCTGAGAGGCGGAGCTTGCAGGGAGCCAAGATCGCACCACTGCACTCCAGCCTGGGCAACAGAGTAAGACTCTGTCTCAAAAAAAAAAAAAGAAAAAAAGGTTCAAGGAAGAAAGGAAAAAAAATTCCAAATTCCTCTCTTCAGAAAAACCATCTACATCAGTGAACAACATCCTGATATTTTTATGCCTGTATATCAACAGAAACACAGGTATGCTTTCATGAAATGGGATCTATCAATGCTATTTTAAATTACATTTAATTTATTTTAATATCAGTTTTCAACATAAGCAAATGAAAGTAAAACTAGTGAATTTTCTGCACCAAAACAGTATGGACCTTAGATTTTAAAATCCTCTGAAATGAGAAAAACAAATGGATTCTGCATATTGAAAGATCACACCATGTGTGCACAAACTATTTCACTTGGAATCACTTTGGTCTGAACACCAGTGATTCTTTTGCCGGACTGCCTTTGTCCACCTTCCTATAAATTAGTTTTACATATACAAAGTTCACAACAGTTTTCATCCCTCTACCACGTTTACCTTTACTTACTGTGGCTGTCTTCAGCCTTTCCTCTAGGGCAGCGGTGTTCACGCGGTAGTGTGCGCTGCAATCACCTTGCTAAACACAGATGCTGCTGGGGCCCACCCACCAGGGCGCCTGAGCCAGCAGGCCTGGGTGCAGCCTAGACACCTGCATTTCCGACAAGCTCCCAGGTGGAGGCTGGGGCCGCTGGTCCAGGAGCCACACTTGGAGAACGATGGATTTCTGTCAATAGCAATTTCAGCCTTGCTATGTCGTTTGTTGCTGTTTGAAATGTATTGGTTTGGTTCTGACACTGTTTCGGTTCTGTTTGCTTCCTGAGGTCTGACATCTTATTTTCATTTCTTAGTCTTATACGTTGTTGACATTTATTTTATTGAATTCATGTTCTTATCAAACTGTTCTCTTAGGCAAAGCACAGGAATATTTTTTTTTTCTGTTCACGAGCTGTGCGTCCTCTGCCTTCCGCATGTTTATCTTGCGCATGCTGTGGTCCCTTCTCCAGCACTGAGTCACGGGTTTCTCTGTGGGACGTTTGCCTGTCACTTGCCCTCCCCTTCCCTGCCTTTCCATTCTCTTCAAGCCCGAGCAGCTCTGACTGGGTCCTCATATGTTTTAACACAGCACTGGAGGGGTTTTAACTCTTTCCACAAAACCTGGCAAAGGCTCGTCTTCCCCTCTTAGCCACAGGAAGCCCAGGCAGTTTGTGTTCAGGCCACCTTCGGGAAGCCTGCAAGGATGGTGGTGGCAGGAGGAGCTCAGCCGAAGTGGAAGAAGGTTCGTTCAAATGCTGAGGCTCTGCTCCTGCTTCTGGAATCCTGTGAAATGGCCCAGACCAGAGCTGGCTTCACCTCATCACAGGGAGAGTGGTGCATCCAGTCCTGGTCTCAGGCCATGCCCACAGGCCAACGCATCCCTGGAGCCTCCACTTCTTACGGAGAGTTTCAACTCACAGTTATCTTCCCATGTCTGCCAGAGGCATTGCAAGACTCCCTGTCTCCAGATCCCAAGCACAGAGGCGGCCTGGGG
Organism: Homo sapiens; assembly: GCF_000001405.40. Taxonomy (NCBI): domain Eukaryota; kingdom Metazoa; phylum Chordata; class Mammalia; order Primates; family Hominidae; genus Homo; species Homo sapiens. The sequence goes on from NC_000002.12 coordinate 239,943,224, forward strand.
CTCCGCTTGTGTACCAGTGGGACTCAGGCTTGGTGGCAGGTCAGAGCCACACGAATCTGCCTTCTGCTCTACTCTGAAATCTTTTGCTTATTTTATTGGCTACTAATTTTTCTTTCTTTTTTTTTGAGATGGGGTCTCACAGTGCCACACAGGCTGGATGGAGTGCAGTGGCGCAATCAGAGCTCACTGCAGCCCCAATTTCCTGGGCTCAAGTGATCCTCCCGCCTCAGCCTCCCAAAGTGTTGGGATTACAGGCGTGAGCCACTACACCTGGTCTTTGGCTACAAATTTTCAAAGTGTATGGCCTTGTTTGTTTTCTGCTGGGATTATTTTTCTAGTTTTTCCTTTCTATTCTGTTAGGGACTGGGGGCAGGACACTGTGATTCCGCTTAATCCTGCTGTCTTTGACATTTTTTTAATGTCCATGAGCAGGGACAAATCTTAGTCTCATAAGAATGTGCCTGATTTGGGAAGCAGGCCTCACTCAGCACCGACCGCCCCTCCTGGCACAGCACTGGCATCCCCTGGTGTTCCATAAACACAGAGACTGAGAGATGAGCAGACGAGTATGGGCCCTGGATGCTCCCTGCAGCCCCTCTGCAGAGCTGGACCTGCAGTCCAAGACTCCTTGGGGATGAGGGGTCTAGGGTTTAGTCCCTGTCCCTGGACAGTGATGGAGCTAAAGGCATGGGGCAGCGTCTGTCCCTTTTATGGGGGGAAGCTGAGGCTGCTGGGGGCAGTGCCTGTCCCGAGATGTCCCCAGACTCAGGTGCTCTGCTCCTTCCTTCCCATAAATCCTGGGCCTCCCCTGTGTCCTAAGGGCCTGCGGCCACCTGGCTAGTCCTGTTGCTGGTCCTCCTCCAGGTGCAGGGCACCGGTGCCCGCAAAATGAGCCACCCTGCCCCTGACCACTGCAGCCAGGCCCCTGAGAGGAGGCACATGACTCAGCCCACCCCCTCCTGGCATTGTTATCCTCCTGCCAAGATCCTGAGGCCATGCCAGAAAGGACCTGGGGCCAGCCTAGACCTTTCCATCATTTCACGTAGGCAGCAGCCTTGCCAAAGTCCCCGGGGGCAGAGCGGCTGTTTGGGTCTGGCGTCTGCTCCAGCCTGGCGTCCCCCATGCTGAGTGTGGCCCCAGGGCCAGCGCCGCAGGCTGAGATCCCAAGGCTGCATCTCTGGCTCGGACCTCTGGTCACGGCTCAGGCTGGGTGCCTGGCTGGCCACCTCCCCTCACAGTGCTGTCAGACTCTCAGTGAGCTCATGGCGGGAAATGATTACCTTTCCATGTGAATTCAGGCCGGGTCTGGACAAGTGAGGAGGTGCACTTTCCTCCACATCTGTTTGAAAGTGATTTTCTTCATGGAACTGGCAGCGCGGATCAAGAAAAATGACTCAGAACCGACAAAAACTCCAGGTCTTCCAAGGAAACAAAATCAAACACCAGTGTGCCTAATGGAAGCCTCTGGCAGCCTGGAGAGTGCAGCTCGACAGCCCCTGGTGGTCCCAGGGCCTCTGCTCGCTCGTTAGCCAGGGTTTCCAGCTCAAGGAGCAAGCTCTGTCCACGCCCAGAGCCACCTGCCCCTGTCCCCAGAGCCTTGGGGCCATAGTAACTTTGGAGGAAACTGGTCCCCAAAGCTCGGCCAACCCGCCACCATCCGCAATAGAAGGCAAAGGCTGCAGGACCACCCTAGGTGGGGGGCACACTGGCCCTCCCAGGCTGCACCCCGCGCCCAGAGCTCATCTCCAGACACAGCCATGGGGGTGACTTCCCAGGGGGCCTGTGGAGGCTGCTTCTTTATTGCAAGGTGCCTCCCCGAGACAGAATTCCATGGTTTTGGTAGCAGACTCCCAGGCAAGCCTCCCTGCCTCTCCTCTCTCTATCCTCTACAGAAACCCAGGCACGTGTACAGCCATCAGAGCCCCGGCACCCCTCCCGCAGGAGGGCCTGACTGGGGAGGAAATGACAAGCCACTTCTCAGGTCACCGGCAGGCGTTGAGCAGGCCGCTCTGCAGACGCTGGGCTCCTTCATTTGCACAACCGCAGCGGCAGCGCCATCATTCCTCCTGCTTTGCAGCCAGGAAGACACGAGCTCACAGATCAGCAATTTGCCCAAAGTCACGCTGCTGCTGAGTGGAGACAGGAAATCAGAGCCTCCTTGCTACCCAGACCAAGCTCCTCACCTCTGAGCGTCGCTCCAGCTCCTTTCAAAGACGCTGGGAGGCCCCTCGGGGGAAGAGCGGACACCCCAACCGGAACGCAGGCTGCACCGCGAGGCTCCCTGCGCCCCACCGAGCCGGTCAGGGCTGCAGTCTACCCCGTATGGCCAGGCTGGGAGGATCCTGGGGGCTGAGGCTCCCTCCAGGGAGGACTTGGCCACACACTGGTCCTTCATGAACAGTTTTCTCACGGAATGGATCGATTGGCCCTGGGATGAAAACCAGCATGTCAGAGCAGAAGCATCTCCAGAGCTTCCACCCAGTTACTTTGTATTTTTTAAACACACAATGAATGTGCACACCAAGAGAAGTGCTGCAGCTCAACCAGGCATCACGGCCAAACGTGCAGAGTGGACCACTCCAGACCCCCCTGAAGGCCGTCCCCAGGCTTCAAGGGCCCACAGGGCTCCGGGACTGCAAGCCAGAAGCACCCTGTGTGCAACCCAGGTGCCTGGAGCAGGAGGGTGGAAGACACTGCGCTGAGAATGGGATCCGCTTGCGGACAGGAAGCAGCCCAGAGCCTCACATAATGAGCTGCACCCCCAGACCAGGACAGGAGAGGAGGGCCCCAGGGATTCCGTTCTGAACAGGGAGCCCAGGCTTCCAGGGCAGACGTGTCCCTTGCAGGTTTCCAGAGAGAGGGGCCACACCTTGGCAGCTGTGTGTGTTCGGCCCCTGCTCCAGTGACTTCTCGAAGTCGAGGAAGGATGGCTGCACGCTCCTCCCACTTGCTCCTCCTCAGCCCCAGCTGGGGCTCCGTCACCCTCCTAGGTGGCACCTGGCCACTCAAGCCACTCAAATCCCAGGTGGTCATGAGCCCTGCACTCCATACCACAGCTCCGGCCCCAGCCCCAGCAGACGGGGAGATGGGTGCAGTGATGAGCTGGGAGGGTTTCCGAAGGGTAGTGTGTTACTAGGGGAAGACGTTGTCCCTTGCCACCCTCTGTGGAATTAGCTCGTTAACCCGCATGCTCTGTATGAGGTGCTGGGCCTGCAAACCCCTCAGTGATGCCTCCGGGGCCCTCCCCGCAGGCACTGCGCTCAGAGCCACGGAGTGAGTCTCAAGCCCAAGGGCTCACTGCAATCACAAACACCCCCACACCGTTCAGGTATCCAGGTCAACACTCACGGACGCTACACCTTCTCCAGCCCAGCTCCAGCTCATCTCGATGAATCCCTTTGTTGTCCACATTAAAGCTTTGAGTTCAACGGCTCCTGACGCTGGTGCAGGACCTCCCTGAAGGAGGCAGGACCGAGGTTTTGTCAGGCACGCCTGACATGGATGTGTGCCCAGGTGTGCTAAATGCACTCACTCCCTTTGGTCAGATTTTGGGGAAAGTCAGAGTGAGGCTCCTGCAGGCAGAGAGAAGGCTACAAGCACAAGCTCTGGGGCCAGAGGGCCCCATGCTGGAAATGCCTGCTGTGTGTCTTTGATGTCCTGCCTAACTTCTCTGAACCTCAGGCCGCCTTTGGTGAAATGAGGATAAGGCCACGGCCTCACAGGGTTGGCGGAAGGAGGGAACCCTGCGTGAAGTGCCAGGGCAGTGTCCAGGAGACGGATGCCCAGCCCATGGTGGTGGGTGCTGTGCCTCCCATGGGACTCCTCAGTCCTGAAGCCCGGTGCTCAGCAGGTAGTGTGGGTGGGATCCTGGGTAAGGAGCTGGGATCCAGGCTGCAGTGCAGCCCCTTCCTCATGGGTACAGAATCCCTGGAGGCCTAGGCCAGGCCATCTGGGGCCGTCCCGCCTGCTCACACTGCTTAGACCAAGGCCCTGGACATTATCTGGCAGCAGGCATCCGAGCCTGGGAATACCAAGAAGTCATACCAGGACAGCCCTATACCAATGCAGGTGCCTAAGGCCTACATCCCACACCAACTCCCAGAGCCCCCAGGGACAGAGCTCCTGAGGCCCACAGAGGAAAATGGCTCAGTGACTGTCCTGTGTGCCTGCCTTCTGCACGCCCCGCTGGGCTTCCTGCAGCCACAGCCAAATGCTCGGCCTAAGGAAGAAGCTGGACAAAGACCGGGAGGCAGCTGCTACCAGATACAGACAGGGACAGTCCCTGCCTCACCAGGGCCCAGTAAGCCCCGCCCTCTCTGCGCACCAGACACAGACAGGGACGGCTCCTGACTCTCTGAGGCCCAGAGCAAGCCCCGCCCTCCCCGCCGAGCCCCAGGCCTCCAGGCCCAGGGTCCTGTGAGGGTCCTCCCGGGGCTCCTCTCACACACCGGCCTTCCTGCTGCCGTGAGCTCCTCCATCCACTGAAGGCCTCAAAGACTATGCAACAGGCCAGCCCAGCTCTTGTTGCCAGATGGCAAGAGGGATGAGGGCTCCAGGAAGCACGGGGTGGTGCCTCAACACGCCCACGGCAGCGACATAACCTGTGGCCCCCAGTGCAAGATGAAAACGGGAGGCTCTGGTCCAAAACTTGTTCAGACTTTCAGGACGGCCACAGCTGAACATTAAATCAAGTGTGGGCCCTTCTTGAGCGTGGGCACTGGGTGAACATGGAGGTCACATGTGCATAGGTGGCCCTGCCCTTCAAGCTGGTCTTCCGAGGCCAAGTTAGCCAATTTACATCCTCTGGTGGTGAGGTGGAGGAGGTGAGGTCGGGGGACAAGCTCTGTCGTCACTACAGCTGTTTGAGCAAAAGTCCAGAGGTTCAGTTAACGGCAGCAAGGTTCAGGATTGTGTACAATTCTTAGGGAAATAGCAGCTCATTTCCACCAACACTTAAGAGCTAGAACCTCCTGGGCCCTGCCCACACGTCCGTCCCTCTTCCCAGCCTCAGCCACGCATTCCAGAGACGAAGCCAGGCTGTGCTCCGGACAATGGCCTCCAGGCTGCTCTTCTCCCTTTGGCCCCTCAAGGCCCTGTTCAGAGGCTCCCTGTGGTCTCATTCAAGGCTGCTCTGCAGCTGGGTCCTGAGCCCCCAGGGGACAGAAAGTAACCGACATCTCCACAGCCTCCGCTCCATGAGTGGCGACGGAAAAGTAACAGGCGTTCAAAACATGCACTCACTTGACGTTGTTCAGGGTCTACAGCCCACTGTCCATTTTGCAGCTGTAAGTGGAGTCGCTGGAAAACCCAATGTAAAAAGCAGCAGGCCTGCCCGAGCAAAGCTGCCAAGGCTAAAAGCCCCAGCCATCTTGAAAGCACAAATACACGTCGGTGGGACCCGGATCCTGACTCGAGCCTCCAGCGTTCCAAATACAAGGACAAACTAGGGATTGCAAAGGTGGCTCAGATGCCAGCCTGACGACGCAACTCAGTATGTCCCTTCATCTTCCACAAATCCAGGCCTCCAGTGTCTGGGACAGAAAAAACTAGAGCCAGCCGAGGTGGCCCTCCCTCCTTGGGGACTTCACCAAGCCTCGAGCCATCCTGGCCTAGGCAGGAGCCAGCAGAGGCCTGTGTATTTATTTTGCAGGGAACAGTTCACACAAAGATAAAGCGTGCAGGAGTCCAGAAGAGAAGGCTCTCTACTTCAAATGCAGTGTCTCAGAAGTCACAGGGCACCCCCTTCTGCCCCTGGAGCCCCCAACCCTTCCTTGCTCCCCTGGAGCCCCCAACCCCAAGCTTCCTGCCTTGCAGGCTTTCTCATTGCTTTAACCCCACGAATGCAATGGACACATGTCCCTCTTTGGGACGGACGTATGAGAGCTCATTATGACCAGGATAGTGTCGGGATTTTAAGGTAAAATCAAAGCAAACCAACTGCTGATTGAGCGACTTCTTCCAACACTGATACGGATAGGAGCTTGGGGCAGGAATGAGCACCAGCATTTGTGTCTGAGGAGTGAGATGCACGGCTCGGAGGGCGAAGCGAGTTAGCAATTGTACAGATCAGCTTTAGACATCCAACCCGACTGGACTACAGCTGCCCAGGTATTTGGTCAAACAAGATTTTTGGGGTGTATCTGTGGGGGATGAGATCAGCATGTGACCTGGTGGATTCGGGAAGGCAGGCGGCACTCCCCAGCGTGGGCAGGCATCCTCCAGTCCACTGGGGGTCTGGAAAGAACAGAAAGGTGGTGGAAGAAAGAATTCCCACTCTCTGCCTGTTTTTTGTTTTTTGCTTTTGTTTGTTTGTTTTTTAGAGACAAGGTCTTCTCTGTTGCTCAGGCTGGAGTGCAAACTCCTGGGCTCAAGCAATCCTCCCACCTCAGCCTCCCACATAGCTGGGACAACAGGCGCGTGCCACCACACTTTTACTTTTTGAAGAGACAAGGCCTCATCTATGTTGCCCGGGCTGGTCTCCAACTCAGCCTCAAGCGATCCTCCCACCTCAGCCTCCCAAAGCACTCGGATTACAGGCGCGAGCCACCATACCTGACACTGGCCTGTTGAGGTGGGACATTGGTCTTCCCTTGGACTGGAACTTGCACCACTGGCTCTCCTGGGTCTCCAGCTTGCAGACAGCAGATCTTGGGGCTTCTGAGCCTCCAGAATCCTTGTAACTGTCTCCATATCTGTTCATCCTGTGGGTCCTGGTCTCAGGAGAGCCCTGACTGAGCCTGAACCTGGACTCACCACATTCCATCTGGGAGACTGGGGAGGTCCCACCCTAGAGCCTATTTTCTTACGTACATAATGGGAGAAAAATCAGGCCGTCCCCACCTGCAGCCAAGCTTGCTGTGAGAATCTAGGGAGGGGGCACACCTCAGAGTGGGCTCACGAAGTGGTGGCAGAGATTTAGAAAGGTTTCCAGTCCTTATAGCCCCTCCGCCCCATGCTGTGTGGCTTTGGTCCACCCTCAGCAGTACAGGCTGGCCCTGTTATAAAGAAGCTGAGATGATGCATCTCCTACAGCCAGACGGCTGCCCACCACTCACAGCTTCCTCAGGGATCCCTCAGGCCCCCGAGTCCTTGAGCGGGCAAGAGGTCTCCTGTGGGCATGCCTTGGCCCAAGCAGGAGGCTCAGGGCTCCCGACCCACCACCTTCTTTTTCAGACGGCTCCAGTCCACCAAGCTGCCCCCTCGGGGCATGACCTTTGGAAATCTGAGGAACGGTTCCTCCTTGCTCCCCGAAGACTCTGTTTTTAGGCATCTGAAGTGTAGATGTAAACATTGACCTTTCCCACTTGTGTTTAGACCTGGTGTCCTCGGTGTAAGGACCCCACACACGGATGAGAGCTCATTATGACCAGGATAGCGTCAGGATTTTAAGGTAAAATCAAAGCAAACCAACTGCTGATTGAGCGGCTTCTTCCAACACTGGTACGGATAGGAGCTTGGGGCGGTGTAAGGGCCTGTGCATGTCACATGGCCACCACGTGCAGGTGAGTGGCAGCCGCACGCCTGTCTGTCCCCGTGGTCGGCTGTGCAGACCCCTGCTCGTGCCTGCAGCTTCATCCCAGTGTCACAGAAACACCACACAGCTCCATTCTGTGATTCAAGTAGGTGCCTGTCTAGTTGTGTGACACTGTCCAACAATTACGGGGCAATTGTTCCCACTGCTCCCATGACTGCTTCAAAGAGGTTTCAAGTCAGCGTCCCACTGGCCACCTGCTGGCCAGGGCTTCCAGTACGTTCCGCTTCAGCCCCTCGTTCCTTTGTCAGGTAGTTGCTGAGCCTGGAAGGAGTGCAGAAGGGCCCTGCTTCAGAGGATTATTGGCTTTTGAAGTGAAAAACCCTAAAACAATGCTGACACTTCCCGTTTCAGTCTCATCTCTGAGTCTGGATTTTCACTGGGGCTCTGGGGCCCTTTCCAGCAAACATCTGACCACAAGACATCAGAAGGAGAGGCTACTATTGAGACAGGGAACCCTGCAGCGATGGGACCCGGGGTGCCCACAGGGCGTGCGGGAGGGGCCTCGGGAGGGCCACACGCTCCTGTGCTGCTGCCCTGGAGACAGGGACAATGGCTGCGTCAGCCACCCGTGGGTTACAGAGGACAGCAGGGGGAGAGACGCAGACATTGATGACTGAGTCGTCGAAGGTGGTTGAGATTGGGAAGAAAGTGGGGCCAGGGTCTAACGAGGCCGTTTCTCTTGTGTTCTCAGGCCTCACTTCTGAGCCTCCATAAAAGAAAAAATGCCCGTGCTGGGCAGCCGTGTCCCAGGGATGCCTGGTCAGGGTCCTCCTCTCGCCACACCCTCCCTGGGTCCCCTCAGCACCCAGTACAGGATGTGCCGGACACTGAGAAGCAGCTATGATGGAGGGGCGGCAGGCTTGGTCACAGCCGGGCGTGGAGAGTCAGGCATCTTTAAAAAACAGGGTCTAGGAAGACTCTAATGGCAAGTAAAAGAAAATGTATATAACTCTAAAGCTATCTTCCTTGTTCATTCCTAAAATTCCTAAATTTTCAGAAGTGATCATAAAGTATTTGTGTAACTAAAAAGGGGAAACAAGCCAGAGGGGTTCCCAGGCCTGGTCCCAACGGCACACCGAGGCCTCCGGCCTGGCCATGCCCTGGGCAGCGGGAAGGACAGTGGGACCCAGGAACACGAGGGCCCTGCTGACGCCTGCCCAGGCTCCTGCCTGGCTCTGTCCCTCTCGAGACCTGAGATGGTGCATGCCCTTTGGTCTCTTTCCCTCGGTAGGTGCTGTGGCATGGGTCCTGGGGTGTGGGCCGGCAGGGGCCAAAGGCTGCTGCCTGAAGTCCCACACCCACTAGAGGTCTGCACAGGAGCCGCCTGTGAGCCCACGGGATGAACCAGCAACACATGTGCCACACCTGCTCGCAGAGGGCAGACAGCCTGGCTGCGTCCTGGAATGGGGGCTTGGTGGGGCAGACCTGCAAGCCCAGGGAGAGGAAAGGCTGCATGAAGGACTGGGTGGTGAGGAGGGGGGCGCAGGGAGGGGGCTGGCAGGGTGGGGGCCAAAGCACAAAGGGCTCTGAAGGCAGAGTGGGGAGGGGGGCCCAGGAGAAAGGAGCAGACCTCCTGGGCAGAGATGAGGATGCTGTTGTCTGTGGAAGGTGAAGAGTTCAGGAGGCCAGCACTGTGCAGCCCGCAGCAAACCCACCCCCACTGGCCGGCAGGGCCCCAACTGTGCGGCTTGAGGCTTTCCTTGGCAGCCGGTGGGCACTCACCTGCAGGCCCCATCACAAGATCTGTAGGTGGGAAGAGCTTCTGAGCACCAACAGCTTCCAGGTACCCCTGTAGGGGTTTTTCTGGGTTTTTTGAACTTCCACGATGGACAAAGCAGCCTCCCCTCTCTTCCTCCCAGAGGCCTCCCTCCCCTGGATGGGCAACCCTGTGCCAGACATGGCTATGGAGACCACCTGTCACCACACATGGGACAGCCTATGTCCACCTCTCCCCACGGTGTGCACCACATGGGGACAGGGATGGGCCTGGGCCTGGGCCAGGGCCCCGGAGGGGTGCAGCCAGCCCACGGCAGACGCGAGGCTCTGCTGACCAAGCTGGCAAGGCAGGGCTGCTCACAGCTGCCAGAAAACGCAAGGCACAGCTGCCGACGCCAGCCCCGCTGCTCCACGCCTTCTCTGAGGCAGAAGGCCCATCTCTGTGGTGGGTGAGACCCTCCTCTCCAGCCACGTGGGAGGTAAGAAGAAGCTGAAGGGCCACCCAGAGCAGGGCCTGTGGCTGCCAGTCTCCACAGGGCCTTCTTGTCGGCCCAAGGTGGGGACTGTGGTGCACAGAACAGGGCCCCAAGGACAGCCGCATCCTGATCCCCAGCTCCTGGGACATGGGACCTCGGGTGGCAAAGGGGCTGAGCAAATGGGGTTGAAGATCTTGATGGGGGGTTTCCTGGACTGAGTGGCCCAATGTCATCACAGGGGTTCTTGCACAAGGGAGGCAGCAGGGGCCAGCAGAGAGGAGAGGTGACTAGAGGAGGGGTCACAAGACCATATACGCAGGCAGCCTCTAGAAGCTGGGAAGGCCAGGAAACCAGGAAAGCTGGGAAGGCCAGGAGCCTGCAGGAGGGACCAGCCCTGCTGACACCTTGATTGGAGGCCTCCTGGCCTCCAGAACTTAGGATAATAGATCTGTGCTGCTTTAGCCGCAAAGTGCAAGGCAGCTGCTTACCGCAGCCCTAGGAAACTGCTCCGCGTTGATCTGGGCTCAGCCCCAGGGAGGGGTGCCTGCCGGGTGACCTGAGCATGGTGGTGCATGAGGCAATCAGAAACAGGAGGGTTTCTCACCCTGCAGGAGGAGCACTCGGTGTCTTCTCCGAACCTCCTACAGCTCTGGACACTCACAGTTTGCTCTCAAGTCCCCCACCTTAGTTCCACTCCCCTTCCACCACCTCCTGTGCCCTCTTAGGTGGGAAAACGCAACAGGCACCGCGAACGTAAGTAGCGGCTTGCCCCAACCACAGGCAGCCAGGCAGAGGCTTGTCCTTAAAAGGCTGGAGGCTTCAAGGCTGTGACCATGTGGAGACAGCACAGCCAACACAGGCTCCTTCAGGAACTGCAAACTTAAAATAGACTCCGCTTCCAAACCCACACACTGGCGTCTCTCCAGGAAGAGCGAGGTGGAGGACGCCCCCGCCGCCTCAGGGCTGTGACAGTGGGGAGTGGGTTCCACCTGCTGGGCTGGGCTAGGCTGAGTGACCGACCGCCTCGGGGCTGTGAAAGTGGGTTCCCCCTGCCGGGACCGCTGAGTGACCACCCCAGGACTGTGAGAGTGGGTTCCCCCTGACGGTCAGGCTGTGACTGCCTCAGGGCTGTGAGACTGGGTGCCACCTGCCAGGCCAGCTGAGTGACCACCCCAGGACTGTGAGAGTGGGTTCCCCCGACGGTCAGGCTGTGACTGCCTCAGGGCTGTGAGACTGGGTGCCACCTGCCAGGCCAGCTGAGTGACCACCCCAGGACTGTGAGAGTGGGTTCCCCCTGACGGTCAGGCTGTGACTGCCTCAGGGCTGTGAGACTGGGTGCCACCTGCCAGGCCAGCTGAGTGACCACCCCAGGACCGTGAGAGTGGGTTCCCCCTGACGGTCGGGCTGTGACCGCCTCAGGGTTGTGAAAGTGGGCTCAACCTGCCCGGCTGGGCAGAGTGCCAGCCAGAGATGCTGCTCTCCTGTGTCCTCACGCGCTCCTTCACCAGCTCCTCTGGAGAAGTCCCCTCAGAGACCCCAGTGAAGCTCCCTGACAACCAGCTTTCTGAGCCAAGGACATTCAGAGGAAAAGCATGCCTTAAGGAGGGCAAGATAACACATACTGCTGAGCCTTTCACTTTCCTTGAAACAGCAGAGGCTGCATATTTACCCATTGGATGAACACACACAATTTTATTACTTTGTTAGATGCAAAGGAGGGGCTGTTTTAAGTTAACTCAACAGTCTGAGGTCTTTCAAGTCATTTCTGACCAGCTAAAAAATAGCATTTTTTTATTTTTTTGTACTCACTGCTAACAAACAGCTGGATAGAGCCCGACCAATACCATCCATGCTCCCCCAAGTGGGTTGGCAGGTGACGACTGGTTGCCAATGTTGGCGACACAGCCCGGAAGTGTGAGTCCTGCGTTCTCACGGCTGCTGCACTGCCGCCCGACCTGCCGCTGCCCTGCGACATTCCCTCCCATGGGTGGTTCCTTTCGCCTGCTGTTGGCAACGGGGATTTCTAGGCAGCTGGGATTCCTTCTGCATCTAAATTACTTTCTCTCAACAAGACTGATTCTTCCCCTTCACAGAAGGGTTCATTTGAATTTGGGCTTTGGCTGGCACATACCATGTTCTTCTCAAATTTTATTTCAATAGGAAGGAGTTTATTATATTTATCCACTAATAAGTCTTCGTGTGAAGTATACAAATACTATGGATAGAAAATATGTGAAAACTTCAAGGTGAGGGTGTCTAAGTCACCTCTTAACACTGGGGCGGGGGGCGAGGTCTGCTATTCTCTCCACAAAACATGAAGGGGCCAGAGTGGGTGGAGAGACCATGAAAATAGACAGCTATGCAAGGTCGCATGACCAATGCCGGCATTTTCCACTTTCAGAATGGCACAGAGAGGTTTCTAGAGAAGGACCATTAGACAGCCGTCCTATGGTCAGCGCTGGATTCTGTGTTGTTCTGAGCTAAGAGCTTGTCCTCATCAGGGAGCTGGTCCACAAGGGACTTTCAGGAGCTGATGCAGAATGACCAGTTGCTCAGTGGTCCAGACCCACTCCCCATCTTCCTAAGGTGGCTCTTGGAGAGCCCAGGACACGGGGGTTGGCACGCGAGGCAAAAGGCTGAATTCAGACCCACACCTTGCCAGACACCCATCCAGAAGTGGCCTCTGTGTGTGGGTTGCTGTTGGCTGACTTGGCCATGAGGACTGAGGGGGCCGCAGGACAGACCAGGGCAGGAAGGAAAGATAGGGCAGGCCCAAGGGGAGCCGAGTCATAGGCTGGGTTCTCAGGGAAGGATGGCTGGCAGCTCCAAACCCACGGCCAGGGGACAGTGGACTCTGGCTCAGGACCCTGATACTACCTCACCTGTGGGCACGGCTCTCAGCAGATGCAACCTCAACTCCAACCTGAGAGACCAAAGTGGGGCAGGGCAGCAGAGCCCGGAGTCAGAGACGGCGCAGGCTCTGTGTCGAGTCCTCCAGAGGAAAGCTCTGCAGCCAGGGAGGCAGGGGCGACAGCAGGGACCAGCCACCCAGGAAAGGGACAGGAAAGGGGGAAAAAAACAGCAAAAGGAGCCAGGTTCCAGGCAGGGACTGGGAGTTTCTGAATGGAAATGCACGCCAGGCCATTCCCGGTACACCCATCACTGACTCCCAAGAGCTAGCACATCTGGACCCCTCCCACGGGTGCAACCCATCTGTCAGGAACAAGCAGCGCTGCGTCCCCAGGGGCTCCAGCGCCTACACTTGGAGGTGGGGCCGGTCATCCCCACCATACATGCAAGACGCACAAAATCCAAATAAAAGTCTGACGCACGGTGATAACTTCTGTTGAATGAGAAGACGTGAGTGGCCATCGTCACACACGGGATGAGGCCATGACCAGCACAGCAGCTGCTTGTCCCTCTGGCTGCAGAGGGGGTAGATCCAAAGCGTGGGGCCTGAGCACGTGGGGTCCTACCCGCTCCTCTTACAACGTCTAAAACAGCAAGATTCCGAAGGTCTTTCAGGTTCCCAGATTTGGACAGAAGGGCTGTGCGCTGCCTGCTGCAATACTGAGAGGAGGAAAAGCCTCCCGTGCTTGGAGGACTGGCGTTGCTCCTGGAGTCGGGACGGCCCAGTGCTAAGCACCAAGCTCACCTTGTCCCAGGAGAGGGCAGACCAGTGGAAATGCACTTTCCAGCCCACTGCCTGTCACAGCCACCTTTCTGTTCGTGCTTCCTAAACCGAACAAAGCTCAATGACAAGCAGGGGAGAGTGTGGAGACAAACGCGCTCGTTCTGGTGGGAGGAGTGGCGTCACGGCGGAGCCGGGCAGCAGAAAACTCATGCTTTGATGGTAGTCCGGCTCTCTACCCTACCTGCTTGTTTTTTCCTTAATTCCCACACTGTGACTCCTGCCCCAGCCAGCTCAGCTCCAGCTCTGCGGACACAGAGCTTGCCAAAGTCATGTCGACAGTCACTGCAGGTCCTCCTCTCCCTGACGCGTGTGGAGCACCTGACCCAGCCTGGCCGCCTCACTCCTTCCCTCGCCTCCCAGGCCCTCTGCACTCTCCTCAGCCCTCCAACACCTACAGTGGGCTCTGGGGGGTGCCCTGCAGCTCAGGCCAGACCCTCCTTGCGGCTCAGACACCCCCCTCCACTGCGGGCTCGCCAAGTCTCACAGCTTTCAGATTCTGCACATGCACAACCCTGCATCAGGGGCTTCCACCTGGGCCTCGCCCCTCAGCCACTGCTAGCATTTCTGCTCTCACTGCCACGTGTCCAGCGCTGAGATGCTGCCCGGGATGCAGGAGGCCCCATCAACGTTCACTGTAAGAAAACCCACATGACCACGCGTAACATGCCAGAGGAAACAGCTTTTTACAAATTAAAAGCTGGGATTTTTAATATAATCACCAGGTATAGTCTCATTAAAAACATGTTTATTCAATGAAACTACATAGCACTAAAATGAGAGCTTCCCAAAATGTAACCAGCAATTGGATCTAACTAACTAGGGAGCTTCAGAATTTTAATTTAAAGATAAAAAGTGTTCACTTGTGAAAAATTTACTATTAAAATAATTTTTAAATTAAGAATTTTAAAACTATACATCAATAGTAAAAGCGAATGAGCAAACTTACTCACATGCTTAAAGATAAAATTTGACAGTTTCATTTGTCTTCCTATTAGAACCCTTAAATCAGCCTCCTTCAAGCAAGCGCAGCCAGCGTGAGCCAGGGGACAGACACTTTCAGTGGAACATTTATGGCTCTGAGAACAGCACCACTCTTTTGGGGACAAGTCCATCACTGGAGCTCCCCGGCCTCCTGGAATTCAGGTGGCAATGTCCAACATCCAAACTCACAGAGCCTGGCATTCCGATGGGGAAGGACAGAAAGGCTGGGACCCTCTGCTGAGAAGAGGCTCCTTTTCCCAAGGGAAGCTCGCTGCTTCGAGTCACACACGTGTTGCTGTTATAAGGTCCTTTGCTTTGACAATTCGAGAGAGTATTAGAAAACACTAGCGGCGTGAGGTGACTACTGACAATCACCTCCTCTGTTTTCTGGCTCATGATTTTCCTAAAGCAAAGCCTCAGGCTCCCGGCTTCTATTTATATCCACATGTAAAGCCCCAGATCACTCGGGCACCTGCTTCCATTCATGGAATTCTGGCCAGCCAGTGGCTGATGCCTACACAAGCTTTTCTTCAAAAAGCCCCAATTTCTGACAGCCATGGCAGCTTTCCCTCCACCCCTATTTTGCCAAACCCCCAAATCTTGCAGATTTATATCCAGTGTGAGCACGGACTATGCTTCTTCCCAGAAAGTAGCCGCCTGCTTGCTTCTTTGCATTGACATTTGCACTGCTAAGAACAGCCAATCCAGAAAGCTATAATTGGTAAGCAGGGCACAGAGAAATTCAAAGCCAATTATTAGCCAAAAAATGGGACAAATGCCAAACAAGACAAGAGCTTCTTCCACTTCTGCTGTAGCAGAGAAACCACCACGAATTCAATTGAAGCGGCGTAACTGAAGGTCCCTGGGTCCACCTGTGGCCTGGAGGCGGCCGCCTGTTTCCCTGCTGTTCTTGCCACAACACCTAGGCAGAACATGGAGGTTCCACAGCTGCCTGGTGGACAGCAGCCAGCAGCCTGGCAGCGTGGGGCTGGTGAGCTGCTGCTGCTATCTACCCAGGCAACTCCATTTTGCTGAGGTGGTCCTAAGTAGCTGCATGTAATCTCTCCTAAGAAGCTCAATGTTCTTAACAATTTGGTTTTAACAGTTGATGGAACAGAAAGATACGTTAGAAAAAAACAAGGACTTTCTTTTCAATACAGAATTCTCATGCCTGTAAACACATGCCTGTATGAATAAAATCCAGACACAAAACCATACTGCTGCAACAGCATGATTATTTCCTGATCTCCAAAGCACTGAGAAGTCCAACATGGAATCCTGGAAAATGCACGATTATTTTGATCCTGGTTTGTTGGTGCTGTTGTTTTAGTTGTAAGAGCTTTCGTGAGACGAACGCATGTACTGCTCTGAAATAAGGAAATCGGGGCATCTCCTCACCTCTTCTTGAGGCTTCTATGTGGAGAGAAGAATTGGACAGTGTTTATTCATCTTTCTCTGCTGAACATGCATGTCATTGAAAACACCAGAAAATCAAACAGACGAATGTCCTCAGCACTACAAATTACATACTTCCCACTCCATCAAGGGAATGCAACCACACAGGGTCAGACGCAAACACAGGGGATGATCAGAGCACCCGAGTCCACACCATGCCGACACGGAGCCCTGCATGGTTGGAGAGCTCTGCCCCTCACAAGGGCAATCCTGACCACAGGGCAGACCTGCCCTCTCACTGCTGAGGACACTACCCGTGCAACCACCAAGGTTGAAGGAAACAGCTAGCTCTTTGCAGCCAAAGACATTAGGAACAGCTAAGATAATTAAAGATGGCTTTCTTTTTCTTTCCTCCCCTCCACAATGGGTTTGTGAAGTGCTCAGAGCAAAAGACACTCTGTGACTGGCCCAATGCCCAGCTGTGCTTTCATTTCATGATTAAAGCTGTTGGTTTCCTAGTGAAATGCAAAACTTCAGCCACTTAAATCTCGACTCCAATTCAAAACTCCTGGGAAACTTTATTTTCAAATTCTTAAAACAAGGAAGGAGGCAGGGAGGAAGGGAAGGGAGGAAAACAAGGACAGACGGAAGGAAGGAAGGAAGAGAAGGAGGGAAGGAAAGAGGCAGGGAGGAAAACAAGGACAGACGGAAGGAAGGAAGAGAAGGAGGGAAGGAAAGAGGCAGGGAGGAAGGGAAGGGAGGAAAACAAGGACAGATGGAAGGAAGAAAGGAAGGGAGGGAAGGAGGAGGAAAGAAGGAGGGAAGGAAGGGGAGAGGGAAAAAGGCAGGCGGACGCAAGGAGGGAAGGAGTGTGCATCTTCTTCGCATGCTCCGCAGCAGCGAGGCCTGGTAGAGCTTCCGCGGGGAGCAGAGCATCGTCCTCTGCACCAGCACTGGAACTACTGCCCACAGGCGGCTGTGGAGTGCCTGAACTATGGCCAGTGCAACCAAGGAACCCAATTTTAAACTCTATTACATTTTAGCTCATTTAAATTTCAATACCCACATGTGGCTAGGAGCTACCATATTGGACACAGTGGAGCTTTACAGTGGAAAACCCACAGTTCAGTAGGACTCACAACTGGCAGCCTGATTCCTAATGGACACAGTGGAGCTTTACAGTGGAAAACCCACAGTTCAGTAGGACTCACAACTGACAGCTTGATTCCTAAACCATGATGCTGAACCACAACCAGCTTGTTTTGGTTTTCTAGGCTTCAACAGAGATGAATAAAGAAATCTGATTTTCTTTCTCATTTCTCAGTTTTGACTGGCAACTTGATTTTCTGGGTAATAAAGAGAGTATATTATTTTGCTTTTGCATCTTATGTCATCAACAGCCTAAGCTCAAATCTCCCTTCAAAGGAGTTTGAGACGCTGAGGACGGCCACGTGAATCTTTCTCAACGTCTCTCTTAAAACATATTGTTCTGTAAATCTGTGGTAATTTTCTCCTTTTGCTATTTCTTCTTCACGTTCTTATTTTTTCTACTCTAATGTAGCACATTACTAAAATAAATACAGTAGGCCTTTAGAAAAACTCTTCAGCATAATGTAAGCCTCAATTAAACCACACCACACCAAACAGGGCCCAGAGCAGCGTGTGTGCACGTGTGCAGTTTCGACGTGCCCGCACGCACATAGACGTACGATGGGGAAATTCCCATGGAAACACTTTTATTTCTGGAAGTCAGAAGAAAAACAATGTGCACAACCTGAATGACACAGAGCGGCAGCGCTGAAACCACAGGGGCTGCCGAGAGCTGGCCTTTCACAGCAGACCACTGTTTTCCAGTGAGAATGGTGGGCCATTCCAAAACAAAGCTAAAGGGTTCCAAACATCCAGAATGGAAGCTGCTTCCCCCAACTCCATTACCTATACTACAGGATGGATTGCTTTTTGTGAGACCCCTTCTTCCACTGTGCAATTTTTGCATTATTTACCCTCCCCCGATCTTAAAGCTATATGGCGTCCAGGAGAGTGCGGCTGATGCAGCTTGGCCATCACTGTGATGCAGCTGGAGCAGAAGGCGGCCCGTTCACTTCAGCCAGATCCACTTGTCTCCCACCTCGGTGTTGTACCCAGGGCTGTACTTGCGGCCCGGCAGCTGTGGGGGAAAAAGGCATTGGTGCATTCTGTTTAACGTGAATGAATGTTTCCCCAGCTCATAGTTCAATGTCTACCCGGCAGATGCCTGTACTTCATGAGTTCCTTCAGCAATGCTGGTGAGCACATGATCTGTGGCAGGTGTCTCCTGTGAGTGCAAGGATGCCACAGGTACACAAACCACAACCCAGCCCTGCCTGCCAGAAGCTTCTGTCCTAGGGCTGGGAGCCACAAATGGAAACGAACTACTGAGTGTTCTCATTAATGTCAGGAGGGTGACAAGAGCCACAGGAGGGGGACAGAGAGCAATGGGTGGCACTTAGGGGAGGCCCTGAGCAGGGACAGCCACGCAGACACAGGGGTGGGGCTGGGACCCAGGAACCACAGTTCACCAACTGAAACACCGAGTTCTCTCTGAAAAAGCCCCGCGTGAAATTCCCTCTGAAGAGGGCCTGCAGAGGCCGGGCCGCTGGCTGTAAGGGGCCCTTGGCGGAGTAGGAAAGTGAGTTTCATCCAGGCCTTTTAAGTAGACATGGGCAGGGTTCAGGAAAACCAGCAAAGGAGGGGGAAGCACTGCAGGACTGACCCTAGCGGGAGCCACTGAACATCCAGGAGCGACAGGACGACAGAGCCCAGGAGGAGCGGATGCTGCCAGAGAGGCCAGTGGGGGGCTGAGCTTGGCAGTGATGGAGCTGCAGAAAGGATGTTACAGGCCCCACTTCTCCCACCATCTGGGAGAGATCAGGGGCTCAGGTGGCGGTCCACAGAGGCCAACCTCACAGGGCACAGGGAGATCTGGGGGGCAACAAGAGCCCCTGCCAGCACAAAGACGCCTGTTCATGAGGGTAGGCGGCCAGCACAGGGCTGGCTGAGACGGAAAGAGGAGTGTTGCTCCGCAGGACCACCTCGTTGCGGAGCCAGGAGAAAGCGCTCAGCACGGTGTGTGTCGCCCAGCGATGGCAGGTGGGAAAATGATGAGTTTTTTCATATTTTCAAATCAGCATGGGCACACAGTCAATTTGTGTACACACACACACACACACACACACACACACCCCTTCCAAATTCTGCCCTTAAGAACAGGTACTAAAACCATTTTTAAAAGAATCAGCTTTTCCTTTATCCTAATCAGCAGCAGGCATTCACAGCCATCCACACAGCCATGGCTGCCTGGATCACAAATCACTGAAATGTGCCTTGCCTGGCCTCTGCCACAGTGGCCACGCAGTGACAGACGAACACACAATGCATCCTATGAAGCAGCAGACAGGTCGCCCCAAGACCAGCCATCTCACACACAGGACAGGCAAAGCTCTAGGATCTTCAAGGCCCAGGAGCCACCCTTCCTCCTCCCCAGAAAGCCTCTCCTCTCCTAGGTGCACAGCTGTGAAGTGGGACCTGGAAGTGGAGGGGCCGGTGCTCTGTTAGTTCATTCTTGCACTGCTATAAAGACATACCCGGGGCTGAGAAATGCAGAGAGAAAAGAGGTCTAATTGGCTCATGGTTCTGCAGGCTGTGTGGGAAGCATGGTGCCAGCATCTGCTTCTGGGAAGGCCTCAGGAAGCTTCCAATCATAGTGGAAAGCAAAGCAGGGGCAGGTACGCCACATAGTGGGAGTAGGAGCAAGAGCAAGAGCATGAGGCGGGTAGGGGGTGGGAGCTGCCATATACTTTAAAATGAGAGGTCGACGCGCACTCTGTGAGAACATACTAATTACCTCCAGGAGGGCACCAAGCCATTCATGAAGGATCTACTCCCATGACCTAAACACCACCCACCAGACCCCACCTCCAACAGGGGATCAGATTTCTACATGAGATCTGGAGGGACAGACATCCTAACTACATCAATGCCCATCTAAAGGCGGGGGGGAGGGTGGCACAGCCAGCCTCCAGCTTTCTGGCCCAGGATACAGTGTGGATACAGACGGTTTTGTTTGGGTGCCAGGAGAATTCTGGGACACACACAAAAAAAGAAAAACCCAGCTCCTTCAGGAGTTTGAAATCTGAAGAGAGACTGAGATGAAAGCCCAGGTCATTCAGCCAGTGATGCCAAGACAGCCCAGGGGGTTTGGTATTGTGGGATCCCAGGAGGGGGCGCAGGCAGCTAGTCTGGCAGAGTCCAGGGAGGCGTCAGGAGAGTGAGGGACCCTCCAGGGCCAGGGGGATCCCCCAACACTGCTGCTCGAACTACAGGTGTCTACAAGTGGCAGGAAGACCGCAAGAGAGGGACGTGACTTTCTGGCTTCACAGTCTGACAAGACCTTTGGCCTAAGTTGTGACCTGTGTCAGACGGGCTGTAGGTGCTATTTCTAGACCGGGGAGCAGTGACGGGCACCTGGGGCTGGCCTCAAAGGGCCTGACGGGGTCAGGAAGGCCTGGGTGAGAGAGAGAAAGAGCTGGTCAGCCCCAGGGAAGGTAAGTGTCCGGTCTGCTTATAGAATATGTGCAGGGTGTGGGGGCTACATGGCGGGTTGCCCCATAGAGATGACCCGTGGGCAGTTGGAAACCTGCGTCTGTGGCTTAGAAGACAGGGCTGTGCAGCCACCTCCCAGTAACTGAGGGAGGCAGCGCCATGTGAGCCGACCATCCAGGGTGCTGGACAAGAGAAGAGGCCAAAGAGCAGCACTGCATGGCTGAGGCCTGAGGCTGCAGAGGGACTGAGGAGTGAGGCACACAGGCCACCGGAGGAGCTGGGTGTGACCACGCGTGACATACGGGGCCTCGCGTCACGGTCACCAGATGGCCACTAGCTCTGCACGAAGACAGGAGGAGCGGGGTGGGAAAAGACCACACTAGCGGGGAAGCAGTCAGCAGCTGAGGAAGGGGACACAACACCTGGGCCACCTTTCACACGCCAGGTAATGGCACGTATGTCTATGCCTGCACGCCCATGCATGTGCAGGGGGCTGGTAGGCGGGGTCTCTGCATCAAGAAGTGGTGGAGATCTCTATCTCAAGATGCCCAGCCTCCAGAACCTGTGAACACATGAGCTCACCTGGCAAAAGGGCCTCTGCAGCAGGAGACTGGGAGATCATCTGGGTTATCTGGGTGGGCCCCAGGCCATCACTAGGGTCCTCAGAAATCAGAGAAGGAGATGTGACAATGGAAGCAACAGCCACAGTAATGTGGGGCCAGGTGCTGAGGAATGTGGGCGGCCTCTAGAAGCTGGAAAGGGAAAGGACACCAATCTCCCCTTGAGCCCCCGGAAGGAGCCAGCCCCGCCTGCACCGTGATTTTAGAACCTCTGCCTCCAGAACTTTAGGAGGATGCATGTGTATTGTTTTAAGCTGCTAGAGAGTGGTAGCTGGCAGCAGCAGCAGCAGACGACTCCTGCCGGGTGTCTGCTTTTTATGATGGGAGATACCGGGTCACATCTGTACACCAGGAAGAAAAAAACTGTGCAGGGGAACAGGTCGAGGATGCAGGAGAGTGTGGGTCAACCCCAAGAACACAAACCCGGAGGGAGGGGCAGGCCAGAGAGCTGTGAAAGCAGCAAGGCCCTCCAGGAACACTGCCGGCGAGGACACCTCCAGCAGAACCACACTCAAACACGACTGCCGCAGCCAGGAAACGGTAACGCTGTAGTTGGTTCCACATCTGAGAGGTGGTCCTGCCAGAAATTCATTTCTTTTTCCCTAAAGGACCAACTGCAGAATTAAGCCCAAAGAACAGAAAGTTGACACCTGAACAAAAGATCACCGAAAGGTTTTCCCGTTTAACCAACCTGCTGCAAACCCACACGACGGCCAGCAGGCGCCTCTCTTAAGACGCCCTGGGTCAGCTTCCCCAGGGTTTTTCAATTAAAGTTGTCATTTAATGTTTTACCCAAACACAGGACCAGCCACGCAGGTCTGTTCACAGCAGTACTGACAGAGGAAGGGCTGGGTTTGGGACAGTCTGGCTCCATTTTCATCTTTGCAAATAGAATTTTAAATCAGAGCAGATAATAGAAACTAGCAGAATACCAAACCTGCTAAGTCCAGCCAGTGGCCATTAATTGTCTCGGAAAGTTTGTGTCTGGACTTCTCAGGCAGCAGTTAACTGGCCTTTGATACCCAGGAGGGTTCTCAGATCCTGGGGTCTCTTTTCAGTGTTTTAGGCCAACAGAGAACCATGCGGGGGGGGAGGGGTTCATTTGCAGCATCTCACACCAGGAAAATGCAAAATCATCCACTTTGTTTACATGTCTACTTCACGTCTGTATCTGCTAATTTAAAATAAGCCTTCCACCCCCAAAACCCAGTGCTCATTCATCACATGAGAAAACGCGCATGATAACGCCTCAGGGAGGAAAGCAGCAAAGCCCGTTCCCTCGCAGGGCAGCCTCACTCCGGGAGCCGCAACGGGCCTCGTCAGACCTTCCTCCCGAGCCACGCTTTCCCGGATCTGCTCGTTCACGGTGCCCGGGTGCGTGACACCCATGTGTGTGGCTGTGCGTCCAAAGGTTGAGATGCAAAGGGCATGCGGTGAACTATCTCAGGTGAACTATCAAGGCCGTACACCCACTTTAAAATGAAAAGAAAATCATTTTCCTCCTGTCAGAAGTCAGGGCTTCTGCCGAGTATACACCGGGTGAGCAAACCAAGAATCCTTAAGGAGCAAAAGAAGAAAGAGCGCCTAACAGAAAAAGGAACAAACCCCTCCAATGCTCATCCTCTGCAATCCCCTCTACTGTACAATGCGAACGGAGTTTCCCTCGCTGGATCTCTAAATTCAAGGCATTTTGGACTCATTACATTCACAGGGCTCTGATAAGTTTAACACTTTCAGGAGGCTCTTTCCCTGTATTCCATTTTCCATTAGAAATCAAAAAGGAAGTTTACTGAAGGGAAAAAAAACCTCAATAAATTACAAAGCCAAACATTCCAAGTCCTCTTCCAGAGCCAAGCAGCTAAGCTGCCCTCCACCCATGACCCTGGCGTGTGTCAGTCCCTGGTGGCCCACCGGGAGTGTTCCAGGGCGAGGCCTGGAGCTGGGAAGGGATTTTAGACAGTGCACTGGGAGGCACCCTGCCCAGTCACCGACAACCTGGGCTGACTCAGTGTACAAACCAAGTTCCTTTCCCTAAGGGCTGCTGGTCACAGGGGGCTGGGCTGGAAATGACAACTCCCCCTGGCCCCCGATGGAGCCCAGACATGGAGGATGAGCAGGGTGGGCTTCCATTCCAGGCTGCAGAGGGTGTGCACATTTGTACTAGCAGATACAAAATGACACATGAGGGTGTGCACACTGCAGCCCAGCCTGCTTGGGGATGTGGCCCAGCCTGTTTGGGAATGTGGATCTGTACTTTCTTCTCCCGGAAAACCCCACAGGACCGGACTTGTTCCCACCCGTGCATCCTGATTCATATACAGGAAAGACTGGAGAAGAGACAGTATTGGACACGCTCATCAAACCCACTCGTGATTTCCCCCAAATATCTGTGTGCAAATCTGTGTGTCAGAAGTCCATGCTTAATGTAAACTAACATGATGATTTTCCTGACCCTCACAGTTAAGAGGGTGAATGGCACACACACACAGGTGCTACCCTCTCCCCCACCAACCGGAAGGCTACAAAGAAACCTGAACCAGGCTGCCTGAGGGAGGGGCCCTGGGCGGCTGGGGAACAAAGAAGGAACATCTCTCATCTTTTGAATTTTACAGCATGTGCAAGGATTTCTTTTTTTTTTTTTTTTTTTTTTCCCTAAGAGAGAGAGATTAAGTAACTTGCTGAGGGTGGCACACGGCCAGTGTGTTCACAGAGCTAGAATTGGAGCCGTGTCCCCTGGCTCCTGAGTCTGCTCCTAACCACTGGCCCATGCTGTACATCACTCTGTGCCTCTTCCAGCCTAGGGCTGTGTCTGTTCCCAGTTTTCCCGTCATAAATAACACCGATGTGCCCCCTCTAGATTTATGTGCTTGAGATAAATTTCTAGAAATGGAACTGCTTGCTTAAGGAAAAACAATAAACAGAGCAATAGATGCTGACGCAGCCATCGGAATGGGTTGAATTTAATAACGCCAAGATGCTGCTCCAGATCATTATGCTGCTGCTTACACTTCGGGGCTGATTCAGAGCCTTGGTTTCTCGTTATGAATTTATACCAGGCTCTTGGCCTTTTACTGCCTCATGCATGGGTCGGCAAACTGTAGCCCACAGATCAAATCTCGCCGCTGACTGCTTCTGTAAATGAGGCCTCACTGGCACAACCTGGCCCATGCATTTACACACTGGCTGGTGGTGCTTTCACACAGCACAGAGCTGAGCGGCTGTGAGAGGCTGTGTGGCCCGCAGAGCTGGGAACCTTTACTCTCTGGCTCTTTAAAGGAAACCTTTGCTGATCACTGGCCTAAGAAAGTACAGGAAGGTAACAACAAGACAGTAAAGCTGAGTCCACGACGTGGTTTAAGTTCACTTAGCCCACAATTACTTCCTAAGTGCCCACAGGTACGAGGTCCTGTGCCGGCTAAGTGCCTACAGGTGCCAGGTCCTGCGCCTGGCAACAGCGGGGAACAGGGTGATTCTCCAGCTCCAGGTGAGGTCGCAGAGGCAGCTGAAACGTGCTGTTCTTTGATCCAAAGTGACGCCACTGAGTTTGTGTGATTCAACGTAAGGACTGGATGAGTTCTGATGTTAGAAAAGTGTCCACTTCTAAATGCTACAGCCAACCTGGGATCTGTGCCATGAGGGCCAAGGCCGCACAATGAGGTTTCTCCCAGGCTCTTCTCTTGGGTGCACAATTTAGACATGCCCTATATAGTGCTTCAAATGCCAGCTGTTCGCACAGAAATCAGTCAAGGAAAAAAATATACACACACACACACACACACACACACACACAGTCACTCATTCTAATGGAGGAAACTCCTTCTACTGGTGAAACGCTGTGTCCTAACTACTTTGAGAGAGATGAACGAAGCCAGTCCTCTCTTCTCTGGCTAGAAAAACCTAGAAATGAGTTGGAATGTGGGAGAAGCCCAAAGTAGAAGATGGAAGGTGATGGAGGGCGAAAAGGGTGGAGAAATCCTACCTGACCAACACGGAGAGAGGCTTCAGGTGCAGACAGCATGCGGATCAGCAGGGAAGAGGTGGCCATTCAGGAGGAGGGAGGAGGCAGCAAATGCACGCAATGCGCAGAGCACGGCCTCCGCTGAGCAGCGAGCACAGACTTCAGCTTTGTGGTCTTAAAGAAGCCCTGACATGGAAAAATGCCCCCTCCCGAAATACACTTCAGACTTCAGTTAACGTGAACTATGCAGCTCCTGGGCAATCAGTTATACTGTTAGGGCCTAAGTGAGAGGCACCAGGCCAAGTAGTAGTCAACAGTTTCCTTTCATGAGGCAGTAACAGGGTCTGTACTTGCCTCCCAGCCAGATACATTTAGAAACTGGAGAAACTGAGTCTGGTGGTTGCATCTGACTCTGGGCAGGACACAGTGACTAGATTTTACGGAGTAGAGCACTAAAGGGGTGGGGCCTAGGCAGAAAAAGAGCTCCAGAAATCTGCACAGGGGACCCACTCGGTCTCTGGCTGAGTAGCCATCAGTGTGTGCAGGGGGTAAAACTCCATGAAGCTGGACAAAGTCGACTTCTGGGAAAGAACAGTTTCCAGGGAGTTGCAAGCAGATGACTCCCAGAGTTCACTTAGGGCTGAGAGTCGGCGAGCTCCCACTGGCCAGAGCAGAGGGGCCTCTCGCTGCACGCATGCAGCATTCAACAGGGACCCCATGGCCATGCCTTGATACTGGGCTAAGCCCTTCCTGAAGAAAGCCCATTGCAGGCTCACCAGAAAGCTGAAACATCAAGCCTCAAAAGGTTTACACTGACTTGCAAGTACCTTAACTGCTGTCAGAAAAAAAGTTCTAACACAGTTCAAAGGAATAGAACAAGATCTAGCACTCAAAAACGTAAAATTTGCAACGTATGGCAAAGCAATGAGACATCTCTCGGCGTATGAAACAGGAAAATGTAACCCATAACAAGGGGAAAATATCAAGCCAACTCAGAACTGACAAAGACGATGAATTAGGAAACAAAGACATTACAACAGCTGTTATAAAAATGTTCAGTATGCTCTAAGAATTAAATGAAAAACATAAGGAGAGAACTGGAAAACATAAAAAGCACCAAACAGAATTTCTAGAGCTAAAAAACAGGATTCCTAAAACACAATTCTATTGGATAAGTGTGGTGGCCATGAAAATGTGCTCTGCCGAGCTCCTACTGCAGGGAGGAAAGTGTGCTCCTCTGCAACGCTCCTGCTGCTCCTGACCCTCAGGATCTGCTGCCTGTTCATGCCACGGCCACGCACGTTACAGAATGTGCCTGGTCAGTGATGGAGCACAGAAGAGCTTCTGGTGCCAGCTGTTCCTGTGGACATGGGACTCCCTGACAGGCATCTTTGGCTCTAGGACACTCATCAGCCTGGCCAAATCTTTCCTGGATTCTTTCTTCCTGTCTCTTGTCACAGTCCCGCAAGGAAGAGCAAAGGCTCTCCTGCCATCTCAGACTTCCTCTCCCCGATCCTTCAAAGGTGTTTTCTTCCAACAGACCTCTTCGACATCTAATCTCTTGGCTTCTGATTCTTGGAAGACCTAAACCAACACAATGCAATTAACAGCATATCATACACCCACAGAAGATAAGTGAGCTTGAAGGCAGAGCAGCAGAAACTATCCAAAATTAGGCACAGAAAGAAAAAGGCCAAAAACAAATGGACAGAGTCACAGGGACCTGTGGAAAATAGCAAGTCACCTAATGCATGGATACATAAGAGTCCCCAAAAGGGGGAGGATAGAAAAAAATCTGAAGAAATGATAACCAAACACTTTCCATGTGTTCTGAAAATGATAATCCTGCCACCCAAGAAACTCAATAAACCCCAGGCAGGATAAATACCAAGAAAACCACGCAGATGCATGCCATAATTAAATTATGAAAAACTAGTAAGAAAAAGATCACGAGAAAATCTTACAAACAACCAAAGGGAAAAAAGGTTCATCAGGGACAAGAACCAAAGCTAGGAAGAACTGCAGTCTTCTCATTAGAAACTATGCAAGCCAAGAGGCAATGGAATATCTTTTATGTGTTGGAGGGGAAAAAAAAACTGTCAACCTAGAATTCTATATCAAAAGAAAATACTCAACAAAATGAAGTTGAACTATATATTTTCAGAAAAGCAACAGCTAATAGAATTCACTGCTCCCAGATCTGTTCTATAACAACTGCTAAAGGAAGTTATTCACACAGGAGAAAGATGATGCCGGGTGGAAACTCAGGTCCACACAAAGGAATGAAGCACATCAGAAATGGTAGAGGGAAGGATAAAAGACTAAAAGACTAAAAAATTGTTTCAATCTCTTTAAAAGATAACTTACTGTTTAAAGCCAAAATCACAACAGTCCATTGTGTGGTTTCTGTGAAAGTATATGAGAATAACAGCACAAAGAACACAGAGGGCAGGAACAGCTGTGGCCTCGGGCCAGATACCTGCATTCTGTGTGAGGCGGTTAAATGCTGACAAGGTGTGGATTGACTGTGACAAGTTAGAGTTGCCCGTGGTGAAACCCTACAGCAATCATCAGAAATGAAATAAAGAGGGGTAGCTCGTAAGGCCACAAAGGAAATAAGATGGAATTACAGTACATAACCATTCTAAAAAGAACTTAGGAAAAGATGTAAATGTGAATCTCACCTGCTATTATATATGGTTGAAATGTAAGGTAAGAATGAGCAGGTAGTTCAGCCAGAGAGGGCACCTCACCTCCCTCTAAGAAAGTTCCTATCCAGGGTTTGGCTAATAACAACAGATGTCACTGAATCATTCATTTTTATGGACAAGCTTCTCTGTGTCATTATTTCAGTTTTTGCAAAGACAGCCTCTAACACTTAACAGCCCTACTACTGCTCTAGGCAGTTACTTATCAGAGAACTACAGTAATGAAAGAAGTGCCACATAAAAACATTCTCAAATGCTACTTTGTAAGAAGAAAGCAGAAAAGAACTTATTTGGTGAGTGAATGTGATTAACTTGATAGTAGATATATCTCAGGAAATGTCATTCAGGAGAAAGCCAAAGAAACCTCCTGAACAAGCACCTCCCCGCCCAGGTACATCGCAAGGGTCTCCAAGTAGGTCTTCCTTGAGTGTGGCAGCTGACTTGCTATTCCTGGCCAAGGCCATGGCTTTTCTCTACTGAACACCTATGCCACTCACTCTTTTTGAAGTGCTGTCCTGAGCCACCTCTGCCTCCTCGAATCCTGCCATGAAATAATGCCCCTTCCTTCTCAGAGCTCCCTTCATCCTTTGACTTTTCTTTGGTACTCATCACAAAGTTATGTCCAATGCAATCATTGATACACTTACTGATATTAGTGGGCAGCCTCTAAGTAGAAACCTTTTTACTAGTGTTATTTCCTGTGACCCTGACAGCATGAGGTAAAGGAAGGCACAGTCTCTGTTTTAAAAGAGACAGGGTGTTCAGAGACTTGACTTGCCTACGGTCACGTGGCTAGCTGGTGGCAGGCTGAAAGTGGAGCCCCGATCTTTTAATGATCAAGTCCAGGATCTTTTTCCCACTACAGCATGTAAATATTCGTTGAATTAAATTGTAACTTTTAGTGTGCTAACTCTTAAAAATAACACAATAAGCTCTTTCCTCAATCACATACTACTTATACGAGGTTTTACTGAATTCCCCTCATTCCCTCCAATTTTCCATTTATCTGTCAATCAGCATATATATAGTAAAGGTATGTTGCTCAAGGTCTCAGCTATGAGATTTCTTGGGTGTCTGTTAGGTTATGGTCCACAATCCACTCTACCCAGATAAAGGTGACTCCAATCTTTCTGCAGGTCCTTTCGTATGTAACTCAAAGCACTTCTCTTGGGGGATGTTTATATCCTAGTAGTCACCTCAGGGACATTCAAGGATGCTCAGTTTCCCAGCTGAAAGAGTTTTCATGAAGGATGTGTGTGTGTGTGTGTGTGTGTGTGTGTGTGTACATGTATACATATATTTGTAAATATATTGATAAATATTATACATATAAATAAATATGTGTATATTCCAGCAACAAACCCTTTATTGTATTACTGTAAATATATAAATTAAACAAAAAAACGATTGAGTGAGGGCCTGTGTACCGGGTGGGCTTCACTCTGCTGGGGCAAGCAATGGGTTATGCCAAGCATGACTGGCTCCCCTCTCTCTAGATGCACTAAGGAGCTTCAAAATACTGCAAAGTTCTGGGGTGATTTGGAAATTCCAGTTTCCAACTCCTATTTTCCATTATAACATATAAATGCTAATCAATTCTGCTTGGAGTTTTTCATTAATTTTAAAGAAGAGCACTATAGATATTAAAGACACTTCTCTGATACACAATTTCCCTTAATTTCCATTACTGTAGAACACAAATCGAATGTAACAAAATTGGCATAAATTTTCAAAAAATCTTTTAACAGTCAACTTTCAAAAACCATATTTTTATTTTGAAAATGTGTGTTCTATTTTTTAACACATAAAACTATAGCTTCCTACAAATATATCATTATTTAGCTGTCATATTTGTTGCAATGAGTATTAACAATAGTTCAAATGTCTTAATCCTCCTTAACTCTTATTAGCTGTGAATAATAGAAAAGCTCCTAACCTAAGTGCTTGTTTTAAACCTGAAAATGGTATGCTTTCTAAAAATTCTAAAGTAAATACAATCATATGTAACACACTGTAAAGTCAGGGCACTTGATTTTCCAGATTGCATGTAAGACAGTATCTTACCACTTTCCATCAGTAGACAGGCAGATACCACATACCACAGCAATCACATACAAACCAATGGACCTGGTAAAGATCACCTTTTATGCTCATCATCTTCTTCGAGGGACACATGCTGATAATTTTCCATACACAGAGATGTAAATAACTCGGGCATACAGATTAACGCCGAGTTTCTATGATTAATTTCCACAGTGCAGGTGGCAGGGCACAAAGTGGAGAGAACACTGAAGGCATTACGCATTTACTTTCAAACTTAATTAAGTAACTTATAAACTGAAAATTTGTATTTTAACACAACTAGATACCAAACTGAGTTCCAAGTAAGGTCTGAATGTCATGAGGAACCTAAAGCAGTCACGTCTGGCCTTCCGTCTCCCGCATGTTTAGGTAAACTGATCCTAGTGCCTTTCTGTAAGGTGAATTTCATAAAGGCAAGAACATACAGTATTAACATATTAAAGTTAATAAAAACATCTCTGTTTTAAAAAATGGTAAGGGAGAACTCAATACTGAAAATGAAAACAACTTGAGATAGTAAAAGAAACAAAAATAGCAGGCGAGAAAACAGAAGATTCTGTTGTCCTAGCAACTATCTTGGACACGATCAGCTTCAAGGAGGGAACGATCAGCTTCAAGGAGGGAACGATCAGCTTCAAGGAGGGAGCACAGTATCTTAACAGCATCTGGCTTCCTTCCATTGAAGAGACTGAACTGGTAAAATAGAAACCAAATCACAGTTTGTCTAATCCAAAGAAGGGCTGTACAGAAATAAAAAGTGACCTGATACAATGTTTAAAACGTGACTTTAAAAAATCAGCAGCCTGTCCTGCACACATTCAGTATTTTCATGAACTTACACAGGGTCAATTCCGGGCACAAAATGAGGAGGGTCGCTAAGGAAAAACATGTTCATATATATTGCTCAGACCCCAGGTACACATGCCCCACTGAAAATGCTGCTTTACTTATTTATTTTTATTTAATTTTAGTTTTTTTGAGATGGAGTCTCACTCTGTTGCCCAGGCTAGAACACAGTGGCAATTCTGGCCCACTGCAACCCCCGCCTCCTGGATTCAAGTGATTCTCATGCCTCAGCCTCCCGAGTAGGTGGGATTACAGGTGCTCGCCACCACGCCTGGCTAATTCTTGTGTTTTTTAGGAAGAGACAGGGTTTCTCCATGTTGGCCAGGCTGATCTCCAACTCCTGACCTCAAGTCATCCGCCCGCCTCAACCTCCCAAAGTGCTGGGATTACAGGCGTGAGCCACTGCACCCAATGAAAACGCTGTTTTAGATGAAAACTTGGATTCCTGAGGCATCAGTGCCCTAGCGCTGGGTGTCGCCTAGAGTGTGGACAGGTGCCTGAGAGCCATCAGGACACTAGCCAGACAAGTGACAAGACAAACACTCCAAGGTCACAGGATCAACAAAACCAAAAATCATAAACCCTTCTATTCATATGAAAATCTAAGATCCACTCTGCTGTGAAAAGGTCTTTCTTTACTCGTCTGTGTACCCATGTCACCAGCATGTTCATCAAATGAGAGTGTGGATGTCCCCTCCAAATCTCATGCTGAGATGTAACTCACAGTGTCAGAGGTGGGGCCTGGTGGGAAGTGTTTGGATCATGCGGGCTGATCCCTCATGAATGGCTTGGGCCATCTCCTTGGTGATGAGTAGGCTCTTACTCTGAGTTCACACAAGACCTGGTCATTTAAAAATATGTGACACTCTACCACCAAAGATCTGGTCATTTAAAAATACGTGACACTCCGCCACCAAAGAGCTGGTCATTTAAAAATATGTGACACTCTGCCACCAAAGATCTGGTCATTTAAAAATATGTGACACTCTGCCACCAAAGATCTGGTCATTTAAAAATATGTGACACTCTGCCACCAAAGAGCTGGTCATTTAAAACTATGTGACACTCTACCACCAAAGAGCTGGTCATTTAAAAATATGTGACACTCCGCCACCAAAGAGCTGGTCATTTAAAAACATGTGACACTCCTCCGCCACCAAAGAGCTGGTCATTTAAAAACATGTGACACTCCTCCGCCACCAAAGAGCTGGTCATTTAAAAATATGTGACAGACACTCCGCCACCAAAGATCTGGTCATTTAAAAATATGTGACACTCCGCCACCAAAGATCTGGTCATTTAAAAATATGTGACACTCTGCCACCAAAGATCTGGTCATTTAAAAATATGTGACACTCTGCTGCCCCATTCTCTTGCTCCTGCCTTATTAGGATGTACCTGCTTCCCCTTTACCGTCTACCATGATTGTAAGTTTCCTGAGGCCTCCCCAGAAGCAGAAGTTGCTATGCTTCCTGTACAGCCTGCAGAACCGTGAGCCAATAAAACCCTCTTAAATAAATTATCCAGTCTCAGACATTTATTTATAGCAATGCGAGAACAGCCTAATACAACCCCCACACCTTAGTCTGTGCATGGTGCTCACCCCAGGGGCCCTGCAAGAAGCAGGGAAATGGGAAGCAGCATGGCCGCCCGGCCACACTTGCCCAAATGTGAGTCCTGCCCTCCCAGAAGCTGCAGGACCTCAGAAAGCCACTGTGTCAAACTGCTCATTTGCAAATGGGAATAAGAATAATAGTGTCTTCTTGTGGCAACAGCATAGTGCCCAGCACACAGAAGGTGCTCGGGGTGACCTGGTATTGTTACCACTGCGATCAGCAGCAGAAGTGGTGCCCTCTTCAGCCTCAGTCTCTCTGCTCTTTCCCCTTCTTGTCAGGTCCTATTCAGCCCATGACACTCCAGCCCCCAGCCCATAATCCTTCCTTCCACCAGCCTCTCCCCACCTCGCAGGCCATGGCTGCCAGATTAATCCTAAGTGCCTCCTGGATCAAGCGTCCACACTTCCTCCCTATTGCCAGCCACCCTCCTGGATCCCAGACCGTCGGTTCTGTATCTCTCGCTGTTCCCAACCAAAGCCACAGCACCAGCCAGGAAAATGTCATCTTAACCATCACTCCACATCATCCATTTAGTAGTCCTACCTTGAGCTCTGGGTCTCTGTTTTAAAATTTATCTGATAGGGTTTCTAATAGTCAAGAAGTTACTCTAAATAAAGCCCATAAATCCTCAGTATCTATGAATCTTAAATTCTGGTTCAAATTCCAACATCTCTGACCACCTTTCTTAATCATCCCATCAACGCTGATGAGAAGTTCTTCACACTGCAATTCCAGGCTTGGTTACATAACAATGTGCAATGCCCTCTGACTCTGCTATATTTGAACTCCTCGGGTTAATCTCATGCCTGCTGTAACCCCCACGTGGCTTAGGATGGAAAGTAAGCTCCACGGTCCACCCTGAGACCCTGTGCGATCTCGCCCCACTCGCCACCCTCCCCACCTGTTCTGTCTCCTTTCCCTTCACATCATGGCCCTTGCCGGCCATGCCCTGCAGCCTCCGGCCTTCACAGCCATCCTCCTTCTCCCTCAACTGCCCCCCCCAAGACTCTACTTGGCAAACTCATACCCATCCTGTGAGGTGCGAGTCTTGAGACCCCAGACACAGCAACCTACCGCACATCCCTACCCTCTCACGGGTCCCCACAGCCTCTGGGATTCCATCGCATCATCTGCGCACGTGTCTCTGCCGAGTCTCCAGGGTGTGGAAACTGGGTTGTGTCTCCAGCCCTGGTGCAGTGTCTGGCACTGAGTGCGGTGAAATGGGGGCCAGACGAATGCACAGGGAAGGTGGAGCTCCCGCCGACAGGCTGAACAGCCTTGAGTGTACTGAAGAGTGACAAGGAGGAGCCACAGCAGAAGGCGAGGCGACTCCACCATGCGGAGCCAGAAACTATGAGCTGTGGCAGAGGCTGAGAGCGCTCAGAGTGGCCCTAGGAAGGAGTTCCAGTAAAAAGACATGATTCTCTCAGTAAGAGCAGCTCCCAGAACACTGGCAACTTCTGGGGCACCACTGATTTAGACAACTGCAACCCAAACAGCAGCTGTGCACCTCTTAGAATTACACAAGGGCAAGCAAAGCAAAAATTACAGAACCCCAAGAAGAAAAACGAGTTGGCTGGACCCCTCCCAGACTCAGGTCTTGGTGCCTTTGACTCCATCCAGCCACAGGAAGAGCTGGGAAACCTTCCCCCGCCAAGCAGATCTCCCTAAACTCAGACTGGAAGCCAGGTTCAGGGATAAGGAAACACAGACAAGAGAGACAGCAAGTCTAGAATGGGCAACTGGACCTTCTTCCTAACAGTAACGAAGGCCACTGGACCCCAACTGCCGTCTTCTCGTGTTGTTCAAAGTCACCCATCCATTGGCAGGTGCAGGTGGGCGAGCACAGGCACCTGGGATCCGGAGCCCCATGAGCTGCCACTGCTCCTGCCAGCGTCCCGCCACTGTCCCTGAGTATGGCGTGCTAGGCCCTCTAACTCGCCCCTGACACTGCTCCTGTTTCTGGAGTCCCCATTTAAGGGTGCAGTTGATGGGAAAGAGCAGGCTTCCCAGACACCTAGAAGAGGCAGCCAGGCCCTTCACGCAGGTGAGAGGATTCACAGGGACCTGAACCACTGTGTGGAGATCTGACTCCACGAGTGCTCCACAGCTGGACGACCGTGCCCCTTAAAGGCCAGTCAAGACATCTCCAAAACCAATCTGTTCCAGAGAGACTCATTAGCCATCACATCCAGGATGTTCAACCATGTATATTTATAATGTTAAGCACACAAACTGCTGCTTTCACGCTAGGAGAACGTAAATATGACACATCAAATGGCTGTAATCTACTGTCTGGAACTGGCCCTGTGATGTGAAGAGCACCAGTGGATTTTAATCAAGGAATGAGATGCTTCAATGACAATGGCCAACGTGGTCACTGGGCCTGGTCAACCACCCAGCATGGGTCAGCTGGCTTTCTCAGCTACGCTCGCAGCACCCTGGATGTAGGTTCTGTGCCTCCACTCCACACATGGCCAATCCAACAGAGTGTCTCCCCATGGGAGGAAAGAGCCCTCACCCACCCCTCCAGCCTCCCCTCAGCAGACTAGGTTGGGGTCCTATGAAACAAACAGTGATCTGGCCTGGCCACGCCTGCTTGGTGAACTGGGATCTCTGATGAGCTGAGAGGCCTCCCTGCCTCTGGGATCCCTGCTTGGTGAACTGGGATCTCTGAGGAGCCAAGAGGCCCCCCTGCCTCTGGGATCCCTGCTCCATCAACGGTCCCATTCCTCTCTTGCATCTTTTCCCTCTTTCCACAAGCACTTACCCTTTTGCCTATAAACACACTGAGAATGCCTTAGCCCTTAAAAACAAGACAAAATAACAAGCTATAGAAGATGGAATCTCTAATTCCCACCAGTCTCCTGACACTTCTCTCAAGGTTCACCTATGACCTGGTCATCAACGCAGTATCCTGGGCATGGTCAACCTTCACCACCCCTGACCTTCCTGCGGCCTCTGACAGACACTGAAGCTCCTCTACAGGCTCCTCTGCTGGCGCCCAGGGCCCACACAGTCTGGCCTGCCTCCTAATACTCTGGCGAGCTTGGTCCTCTTCACCAGCTCTTCTTCCTTTCAGCAGAAAGCTCTTCTGACCAACCCCGATTGGATCACTCACAAGCCAGCCTACACAGGACACCAAGTGGCAGGACCTGCTCCCACTGGCCCACAGGCACTTCTGTCCCTCCCACCAAGTGGTATGAGTCAGTGGTCTGTTTCCCAGCAGCGACGCCAGTTGTACTTGTCATTGCAATTGCAAAATTTAATTAAATGTTATGAAAACTACGCGTCTGAAAAGGAAGAGCTGCTGTTCTGTTAAAACTAGGCTGAAACACTTTGGAACCATTTGATGAAGGTGAGTCGCTAAAATAAGGTCTATTGAAATAGGTGTGGGCGAACCACCTGTAGGTGATTTGGGGAAGAATTCTGTCTTCCCACCGTTTGTATGCTTTTTAGAAACCTAAAAAAGGAGTTTCTGCTTATAAAAGAACTTGAGCTCTAATAAAAAAGTATCTTAAAAGACATGGAGCTCTTTTCATGTGAAAGTTAGAATAACGGCTTTGTTTCAATATATAAGCTCCAAACAGATTTCAGAAATTAGCTCAGACACAGGGTGGGCGAGCCTCCCCAGCGTCACACCACTCCCTGAGAAGTGTGCTCCTGTGTAACCCTTTCTGGGCTCATCCATCCATCAGTAAATTAAATTAAACATAAGGGTCAGGAAAAGATCCATGAGGAAGTATGCCTGGGATTCCTAAATTAAAGCCTTTACACCAAAGTTCCTTTGTTACAAACGGCAAATTCCTATCTTAGAACCCCACCCCACAGCCCACCCCACCCAGCTGCCACTACCTGTCTCTATTGTGCTTTATAGTTAGACCCCAGTGCTGGCTGAACTGGCTCCACCCCTCTCCTCCAGTCACACACACAACTCTGCAGGAGAGGCAACACAGCAGAGGCCCAGGGCTCCACCGTCCGGTGAGGAAAGGCCACCACCAGGCCCTCAGCAGCCCGCTCCCCACCCTGCACCTCTTCCCTGACTCCCTCTGCTGGAATCCTTCAGCAATAGTCTGCTTAATTTTGAAAACCTAAAAAGCAAGAAGCAACTTGGCTGGGCAAGGAGGGGCAACAATGCCCCTGTTAAGTGGGGGCTCTCGGGAAAAGAGACAGTGCCTACTCTCAGCGCCCCCGCCCATAGCACCAGCACTCTCACCTGCACCACCAGGACCCTCCCTGACCGCCTTGGCCCTCTGCCTTTGCCCCCACAGTTGATACTCGACGTGGCAAGCAGAGCAACCCTTTAAACCTGAGACCCAGATGATGCCACTCTCTGGCGCACCAACGCCACCACCTCACCAGGAGTACCGCTGAACTGAGGTCCCCGTGGCAGCTGCGGACCCCGGCTGACCTTGGCCTGCTGCCTTTTCAGCTCACTCCCTGCTCAAGCTCACCCCACCCGCATCACACCTCACCATGACGGGCTCTTCTCTAGCTCCAGACCATGTCCACCTGTTCCTGCCTTCCGGGGGGTGCCTGCTCCCCTACACCCCCACATCCCTCACTCCCCTGTGGCGCCTGCTCCCCTACACCCCCACATCCCTCAGTCCCCTGCGTCAGGTGCCTGAGACCTCTCTCCACATGGCAGCCTCCTCGCTGTGCTTTCTCCAAGACCCTGGCACCCTGTTACCTGTCTATCATCTGTTCTCCCTGCCCACTAGGAGGTGAGCTGCATGAGGGCAGGGCTTGGCTTCACTCTCGGGTGTGGCCCCAATGCTTACAACAGTGCCTGGCACGATAAAGATCTAATCAGGGCTAAGTGCAGAAGTGGTAGGACACTGGGATGACACTGTCGGGCAGGGGGTCTGAAATGTCAGGCTTGGCAGCAGGTATTGGGATAAACTGTCATTCCTACTACCTTAGCACTCCCAAGATGCCTGACTCTATCTCTGGGATAGAACTCAGATTAAATTAAAAGGCAAGAATTCTTTGATCAGCCAGGTTTCCCTTCTGTGCCTTCGGGGTTGGGGATTTAATCAATTCTGCATTCTGGGGGACTGTTCATTGGGTAAATACCTATTGAGTATATAAAATGTAGACTTTCTAATTCAGACAGGTCCTCCACAGAATGGCTACAGAAAGAACCAGCACCAAAACAGGGTTTCCAGTTATAAAGAAAAATAGGGGAGCCTTCCATTTCTAGCAAAACAGCAGCCCTAATATGCAGAAAAGCTTCTTGATATAAAAACCTCTGGAAATGCTTCTACATGTACAGCTGAGCTCCGCAAGAAATCACAAAGGGCTAAGAAGGAAGAGTGAGTGGAAAAGCCAGAGTGGTGAGCTGAAGCCGCGGTGCCCTCGGGACGCCCAAGAGCTGCAGAGAGCCACAAGACACGGCCTGGTGTCCCTGTGAGGTGACTCCTGAAGGGCCACACCTCAGTGCGGGGAGAAGGCCTCCTGCCAGCAAGGAGACCCCAGCTGGCACCCAGTGGTGAAACCATTCTCCACTGGGAATTCGTAACCAGAGCTTCTCTCCACACAGGTTCGAGGGTTGAAATTTGCATTACCTCCAGGGCCTGGAATACCACAAGCAACAAAGGTGCCATCAATCCCTCCCTGCTCCTCAGGAATCTGAGGCCTGGCAGCAGCAAAGGGTCCTTTCAGGAGTAGGGCTGCCAGGACTGAGAAATCATATAGGATACCCGGTTAAAAACCTTGGGACATACTTATACTAAAATACTAGCTGCTCTCAGTTCAAGCTTACCTTGGCATCCTGTACTTCATCTGGCAACCTGACTCAGGAGGGACCCACTCTCACCAAATGCCCATGGATGGAGCCCCACAGGGCAGAAGCTCTGTACCCAAAGTCTCCAACACAGTCAAGAAAAGAAGCCACCATGGGTGAGAAAAAGAAGAAACAACGAACAAGATCAGACAGCGTCCAGAGCAGCGCTCCAGAGACAGAGCATAAAATAACTAGGTTTAAAATGTCTACAGAGAGAAGCAATGGGGGAATTACCAACAAGGAATAAGATCCTACCAACAAGATGCAAATAGCACTGGCATAAAGAAAAATTCAAATCTAGACCCATCTCACAAAACTACAAAAACACTAAAGTCAGAAAAATCAGGAAAATCCTGGAAGAAAAACGAAGACTATAATCCTTAATCTAAAGAATAAAGGTCAAAGCATTACTCGTTTTCCAAGAATCAGAAGTGCTACCTAATAACTCCTAACCTCCAGGTATCAACAAGGACAATACCCATCATAAAACATGCATGCAACGTCCTGGGCATGTTACAATACACAGACCACCTATTTACAGAAGCACAGTGCAAGTATATTTTAAGTTTCTCATGAAATTATAAGGCATAGTTTTAGTAATTTTATTATTTTTAGAAAATTAATTGGGATTATAGAAATTCTCATGTTAATGGCAGAATTTGGCTAAAACACATATTTTCAACATTAAAAAAAAAAAAGTCTCCCAGAAAGCGAGAAATTGCCTAGCAGGGTAATGGGCTTCTAAGAACCACTGCCATGAAAAGGCATCCATGGCCTCCACTTGCTCCAGGAAATAACCGGCTGCCAACTACCTTCTGCTCTAATAGTCACACGTTCTGTGGAATGTCCTCAAATGCTGTTTGCTCCCCTGCAGCAAACCAGTGACCTGACACGTGTACCTGAAGACCGATGAGAAGGTCTTCCCACCTCCAAAGACCAGTGAGAAGCACTTCAGGACCCTCTCTTGTACTCTGCACAGCCCGCTGCGGGTAGGGGATCCCCAGCTACAAGGTTAGACGAAACAATTCTGTTCACCTCGCCTCTGACAAAGGCCGACTTTACTTTTCTTTAGTTACTTGTCTTTTGCAATTTTCATAAAGCAAAACCTGAACTCTTTTCTAAAAAGATTCTTGTCTTGATTGTATTTACTGTTTCTTCTAACGTGTAATTATAGAAAACAGCATTTAATTTTGTTAGCAATTCAAACATCACAATAATTCTTGCTAAACCTCAGAACCTCTAACTGTGACCCAACTAAAAACAACTTCAACTGTCTTTGCCTGGTGGCCTCTGCGAGTTGAGGTGTCAGAGACTGATGGCTCCTTGGGCTCTGGCATGTTCTCCATCTGTT
Organism: Homo sapiens; assembly: GCF_000001405.40. Lineage (NCBI taxonomy): Eukaryota > Metazoa > Chordata > Mammalia > Primates > Hominidae > Homo > Homo sapiens. The sequence goes on from NC_000002.12 coordinate 239,982,567, forward strand.
CTGATGAGATCAGACATACCTCCACCTGCACACATTCCTGTCTCCAGGCCCTATCTCTTCCTATACACTTTCCATTTTTCTAGCTATGCCTGTTGTCTCCAGCTGAACTAGACAGAAATGAGATGAAGGCAACCTGAAACACAAATGATCCAAGAGAAACTACATTTTCATGAACATTTGCCTTCCTATTACACCATTAGTATTTGTTTTCAAAAGAAGGAAAAGAGTTGGAGAAAATGGGTTTTATAGTTAGGGTTTGATTTTTAACGTGTTTTTAGAGCAACAGTTGTTTTTTCCGCTCAGCATCTGATGGAAATTGCTGCTAGCACAAGCTGTCTGTCGGGTGGCCAGATAAAAGGAAGCCACTCTCACCAGGGTGGGGCCTTTTGTTAGAAATAAAAACCCTCCATCTCCTCCTACTCCTGGGGAAGGCCTGCACTCTCTCAGGGGTGTGTGCAAGGAGTTACAGAAGGCTTCACACAAGACATTTCAGTATTCGCTTCCTTGTCTGCTAAGGGCTCTACCGAAGTCACTCAGGTCAGAATGAAGCTCCCTGAGGGGCCCCCTGAGCACAGGCTCAGGAGGGAGGGGACTACCGGAGGGGAGGGAGCTTTCCCCAGTACCCAGAGAAGCCAATCTAGAAAGCAGCTCTGCAACCCATGCAGAGAGCCTTTTGTGAGAAGCCACAAACCTTCCCAGATCTGAAACAGCTGCACATGAAACCCAGAGGGGCTTTGTTCATTCACCTCCAGGTATCCCCACAATGCTGTTTCCAGAAGGAAATGCAATGAGAACTGCTGCTGATGTCTCTGATGGACAAAAGGAATTCTATGAATTTCCAGAAATGGTCATTATTATTTATTACTATTTAATTTCAACTGATCATTTTTTAATATCAAGCAACCGAATTTCCTTAAACAAAATCCTCTAAACAGTCAGACAATTCTTACTCAACAAAGGAACATAAAGGCTGTGGTGTGCATGGGGCTTTCTGGAAAGAGGAAGAGCAGCTTCCAGTGGAGACCCAGCAAGCACGACCTCAGCCAGGAGCCCACGGTCAGGGCCACGGTGCCAGGCTGCACTGACAGCAAGTGCCCCTGATGCTTCACCTCTGTGGATTCCTCCCCAAAACACACAGTCCAATCTAATCGCTAGAGAAACATCGGGCAACCCTCAACTGAGGGAGAGTCTACAAAATACCTCACCAGCACTCCTTATTAAAAACAAAGTCTGAGAAAATGTTACAACCAAGAGGTACCTAAGGAGACATGAGGACCCAATGTCATGTGATATTCTAGACGGGGTATTGGAACAGAAAAAGGACATTAGGGAAAAACTAAGGTAATCTGAATAATTCAAAGTGTGGGCTTTAGTTAACAATAAGGGCCGAATTTGGTGGCTCACACCTGTAATCCCAGCACTTTGGGAGGCTGAGGTGGCCAGATCACTTGAGGTCAGGAGTTTGAGACCAGCCTGGCCATGATGGTGCAACCCCATCTCTACTAAAAATACAAAAATTAGCTGGGCATGGTAGCAGGCACCTATAATACCAGCTACTTAGGAGGCTGAGGCACAAGAATCGCTTAAACCCGGGAGGTGGAGGTTACAGTGAGTCAAGATCATGCCATTGCACTCCAGCCTGGGCGATAGAGTGACAATCGGTTTCCAAAAAAAAAAAACAAAAAACAAAAACCCAGTAAGTATTATTAATTCATTAATTATAACAAGTGTACCATACTCACAGAAGAAGTTAATAAAATGGAAACTGGATGTGAGATATGAGAGCTCACTACTACCGTCACGGTTTTTCTGTAAATCTAAAACTGTTCTAAACATTCAAGTTTACTTTTTGAAATGCTTAGAAATTTAAAAATCGGATTTTCCCAGTCATTTAAATACGATTCAAAATTTTAACATTTCTAAACATTTAATTCAAACCACAAGCCCAATATCATATATTCTCTTAGATTCTCTTTAATGCTCACAAACTGAAAAGCAGACAAAACCACATAAAACACAGTGATTGAAAAACTGCTAGGTGAGCTCACCATGTAACTGTTAAAACGGCTAACACATCTGTCCCCTCCTGAACAACCAAACAGGGGACAATGTAGAAAAGAATTCTACAAAGGCAACATCAGGCTGTAAAGGCAACAGGGCAGGGAGGGCCCTGGATGCCAAGGTCCAGAGAAGAAGCAAACACAGCTGGGCTGCACGTTCCCGTCCCTGAGGCGCTCCCTGGTCCCACCAGCAGAGCCGGGGGGCTGAGAAGCCCGGCAGAGCTTTCAGCAGCAGGAGTGCACTGTGGGGCCAAACATGCAGTTCAGGACCCAACAAAAAGAAGGGACCCTGGCAAAAATGGCCTCTCAGTAAGCGCAAGCTAGAAACACTCCAGACCTCACAAAACGGAAGCCCAGCGTCACCAGCTTGCTTCCTGAGCGCTCTCAGGGGACCTGCCCTGACCTCCATGCCTGCCAGAAGACGGTAAAGCGCATCCTCTCCAGGGTGAGATGACTCCAGGCAAAGTCTCCACAAAAAATGACTGCCATTGGAAAACAACAAAACACCAATGATGAGGCCACCAAACGCCAAGATTAAACAACCCCAAACCAAACGTTAGGGACCAGACCACTCACACAGGCCTACAAAAGACACAGATACTGCAATTATCAGATAATTCTGTGTAACTTTGTGATGAATATGTTTAAGAAATTAGATGACAAAATAATATCAGCAGTAAACTTGAAATTATAACAATGAAAACTCTAGAATCAAAAACAAACCAGGATGAAAATTCAAAACTCAAATATAAGAAATACAGGTCTAACAACAGATTAGAACGAGCTGAAAGGATGATTAGTAACTTGAAAGGCAGTTTAGAAGAACACATCTAGGCTGATGCACACTCAAAAAAAAAAAAAAGACAAGATATACAGAAAGGAGCAGACACACGAAGAATATGGTGCATGGTGAAAAGGTCCAACATATGACCAACTGGAACCGAAAGAGAGCAGAGAGAAAATATGGCAAGAGTAATACAGACACACTGTGGGACGCCAAGGCAGACAGAAAATGTGGCAAGAGCGATACAGACACACTTTGGGAGGCCAAGGCAGGCAGATCACCTGAGATCAGGAGTTTGAGACTAGCCTGGCCAACATGGTGAAAACTTGTCTCTACTAAAAATACAAAAAATTAGCTGGGCATGGTGGCGCATGCCTGTAGTCCCAACTACTCGGGAGGCTGAGGCAGCAGAATCGCTTGAACCTGGGAGGCAGAGGTTGCAATGAGCTGAGATCACACCACTGCACTCCAGCCTGGGTGACAAGAGTGAGATTCTGTCTCAAAAAAAAAAAAAAAAAAAAAAGTGCTACAGACAATGAACACCAGCCAAAGGCTCAAAGAGTGTTATGAACCTCAGGCCAAGTGAGTACAGACGCACATGCACACCTACTTACACAACACACACCCCAGAGAGTATAAATGCATAAAACCAAGTCAGAAAAATCTCTTTTAAAAAGAAGGGGAAAAAACCTGCCAGAGAAATAAGAAATATCTTCCGAAGAGGAACTACCATTAGAAACACAAAAGCCAGAAGTATAAAAAACAGTGAAGTTTGGAAGCACTGAAAGAAAATATTGGCAATTTAAAACTCAATACCCAATGAAAATAACCTGCAGGAATGAAGACAGCCTTCCTTCCTTCAAGTTCAAATGGAAAGCTGTTCTGCGGGACTGGAGAATGCCTGCCTGCACCTGCCTGGGTGGCAGGGATTAGGGACGCCATGGTAGCAGAGACAGGAGACTAGCTACGCCCCGTGGGATTCCGGCAGGTAAATACACTTAGATGACAGGGGCTGGCTTTCTCATCATCTGAGAAGGATATGGACCACGAGAGCACTAAAATGAACCTTGATGTGTTGCACTGGAACTGAAGACACTGGTGTGTATTCACAGTTTTCAACAAATAGAAACACAGAAACAAGTATAGATGTATCTGAATAAACAGGAATCTGGGAGTCCATAGTGATATATGGAAATCAATGAATAAATAAATGGGGAGAAGGGAAACTACTTGCTTCTAGTAGGACACTACCTGGTCATACAGAAAGAACGATAGAAACAGAAAATTATAATTTGGCAATCATCATAGTAATAATTTAGCCAAGAAAATCAATGGATGCTAAAACTACTGAGTGAAAGTTTGATGAGGAAGAGGACATGTACATATTCTCAAAGTATGTCCCCCTCAAAATACTGACTAAATATTAAGAGTAAAAGATAACTTTATAGTGAAGACACCACCTTAACAAGCAATAAAGGTAACAAAAGCAGTGATGGGACAAATGGGAACCATATGCCAAATATCCCTCAAAACCACATTGAGGGATATTCAGCAAGGTAACTGTTCTGTAGTCTTCAAAAATGTCAAGGTCTTGAATGCCAAGAAAAGCCTGAGGAACTGATCCAGATTCAAAGAGATGTAGCAGAGGAAACAATTCAATGCAGGCCATCACCCTGGATTGGCTATTCTTGCTCAGAAGAACATGGCTAGGATAAATGACTGCTCATGAAGAGGGCCTATGGATTGGACAGCAGTAACGTGTGATGCTCATGAAGAGGGCCTGTGGACTGGACAGCAGTAACGCGTGATGCTCATTTCCTGACTCTGACAGCTGTCCTGGGGTTGTGGAGGAGAACACCCTTGTTTGTGAGAATTACACATTCAAGCCACGATTCTCAAACCAGGCGCTGTGCATCGACAGGAGGACTCGCTCGAATGCGTGTCTGGGCCCCATCCCCTGCGTGTCTAGTCCAGGAGGCCTGGACTGAAGCCTGAGAACTTACATTCCCAACAGCAGTTCAAATGATCCTGACACCGAGACCACACTCGGCGAACCATCACATTCAAGAGTTTGAAGATAACAGACCATCATGTTAATAACTTACCTTAAATGGTTCAGGAAAAGTTATTTTTCTTTTTTTAGTTTGGAACATCCCAAACTACCCAAACTAAAAAAAAACAAATAGGTAAAAATGATGATCAAATAAAGACCATTTTAAAAAATAAGTGTGAGAATTTAGTATTAGCAAAAAATTCTTCAGGCAGAAGGCCAAGGATGCTACATGCAGGCGCAGCGCCCAGGGAAGGGGTGGGCAGCCGTGGGGCGAATGCGCAGGCAGAGCTGCCGAGCACAGCTCCGAACAGTCGCAGATGCCTGTGGGACTAACACGTATGGAGAATTAAGACGACCGAGATCATGCAAAACATGCGAGTGGGTACTCTGCTCTGGAACTGGAAAGCTAATTGATCTTCAACATCATTAAACCAAAGATAAATATTTTAATTATCAGTTTAGTAACAAAAAGCTATTAAAAGAATGATAACTAGTAGTAGGGAAATAGGTGGGGTAAATGGAATAAAGAAAAAAAAGAAGAAAAAATACATAGAACAGGTAGAAAAAATATAAAACAGTAAGATAACTATTTACAAATATATCAGTAATTGCATTAAATGTGAACAGATAAATATCCTAAATATTCAGAATAAAAAATTTAAAAATAACTGCAAATTACAAGGTATCCATATTGAATATAAAGACACAGAAAGCTTGAAATTAAAGGACATAGAAAAAGTTACATCATGCATATACTAACCAAAAGAAAGTTTCAGATGCTACATAAATATTGAATAAACTTTACAGTAAGAAGCACCACTAAAGGTAAAGAGGAAAACATCATCATGAAAAGGGTGACCCTCCTAACAAGGCAATTCTAAATTGGTACGCATCTAATCATACGGCCCTAAAACATACATGAGACAAAATCTCACAAAACGGAAAGGGGGCACAAATCCACAAAGAGTGGCAGACTTTAACACACCTCCTACAGGAAAGGAAGGACTTCAGGCACAGGACTGAGATGGTGGGTTCTGCATTGAGATCACGGCTGCTTCTGCCTTACTGGAGAAGGACTGAGGGCAGAGACTAAACCCAAGGAGACCAAGAGGAAGCCGCCGAACAAGCTCAGGTGGGAATGATGGCAGCCTGGAGGTCAACAGGAAGAAGCGAAGCCACTTGTGAAACAGACGCAACAGGACCTGGCCACTCACAAAAGCAGAGACAGGGAACGAACACCAAGTGTGGGTTTTCTGGCCTACACAAGAGCAGCAAGCAAAGCACCAGCTACAGCGTTGATGCCAGGGAAGCAGCAAATCCGCAGAGCCCCACTCAAAGAGGGAGAAACAGCACATGCACTCACACACGTGTACAAGGACAGAAAGGGAGACACAGCACACACACTCACACACGTGTACAAGGACAGAAAGGGAGACACAGCACACACACTCACACACGTGTACAAGGACAGAAAGGGAGAAACAGCACACACACACAAGTGTACAAGGACAGAAAGGGAGAAACAGCACACACTCACACACGTGTACAAGGACAGATAAGGGAGAAACAGCACGCGCACTCACACAAGTATACAAGGACAAAGGGAGAAACAGCACACACACTCACACACGTGTACAAAGACAGAAGGAGGTGAACACAGATTATTAACCGCAGGTGCCTCTGAGAGATATCTTTATGGTTTTATGTGTTTTCCCCAAATCCTCACACTGAATAAAACCACTTCCAAAACAATCCAAAAAATTTACTTAAAAGAAAATGCCAAGTAGAGTAAGAAAGCAAGCAAGGGGATCTACTCAGACTTTCAGTGGGTGCTTCAGGCAATTTGCTCATATCAACTCAGACAATTATAGTAATGCAAAAAGATTTAGATTTCAACTCATCTACATGTTGAAGGCATAGCTTGGAGTTCTGATTTAATACAACTATTTCACTTTTACCCATAACAAACCACAGCCACCACTGCCGCGGATATGGATCGTGCTCTTCCCAGTCCACTGACATTGGGATTTGCAGTGCAGGCTGCAACTCACCCGCTGGTTCCCAGCGAAACTTACACACGCCTCGAACCTAATGGAATCTTGCCAGAACAAATAACTCACTAAGAAGGTATGGCAATTGGATAAGAAGATCAATGACACAGTTGCCCCTACCAACTTCCACCCTCGCTGTCTGTCCCAAGCTCTGCCTGCCCTCCCTATGTCCTCCCATATGGCCTAAGGGCCTTCTGCAGAAATGGAACCCTCATTATTTACAGACAAAGAGTAAGAAAATACCAGAAGTAACATCTGACAGTAAAGAAACTGACATAACAGCTGATGAACAGAGTGTTCTCCTATCAAGATAATATGCCTGATGAAGAACCTTCCAGAAGAACATCTCTGCTCTGGGGCTGTCATCTGAGGACTTCATCAGCTTTCCACACAGAAATACGGGGAAAAGGGAGAATTATTTCAATGAAAAAGAGGCTCCTTCACTAAAACAAACAAAACACAGCAACAACAAAAACTCCTTTCTGGAGAAGTGACTGCATTGTCCCCAGGTGCTGCAGACTCATCCACTGGCCAGCTTTCTCCATTTCCACAGTCTTACCTCTCTGAACTGATGTAAGACACGGTCAGTCTGATGAGCTCCAATGGTGACTTCCGGGAGAAAGATAGGAATGCTTGTGTAATTCAGCACCTCAAACTTATCCTGAACCCTAAAAAATAAGACACATGTGGATCACACCAAACCATCAAAATAAATACAATAAAAGAAGTGTAAGTCCGATTTTTTTTAAACATCCATATAAAAAATCTATATATCCCAATAAATGCTATTCGTTGCCAAGCAATCATCCCAGCAGCAAAGCCTTCCTCCCAAAGACCACATGGTCGATCTGGAGCTGCTTTTTAATATTACTCTCAGAACCTGAGGTAGCATCTTTTAAAAGCCTCAGTACCTACATAGGACGACCTTCTGGGAATGGATGCTGTTTTGGAGACATAGAAAAAGGAGGCAAAGTGTGCTTTAAACACAGGAATAGCAGGAACAAAAAGCTAGAAGCAAATGGTTACATGACAGTGCTACACACAAAGCATGCCCCCATTAACAATTTTCCAGATGAGTGGATCTTGGGGCAGGAACGGTGAGTAGCTTCAGTCCCTCTGGGGTTGCAGCCAGCGTCTTACTGCTCTGTTCTGTATGCTGAGGCCAACATAGGATGGTCTGTTGTACCACGGCTTGTAAAAGGTCTAATTCTCCACTTTTCTTGGCACCAATAAATATACAAATCATAGGATAGTCTCTTAGCTTTATCATTTCATTTTGCTGAATGTTAAAATATTTATACTTTGTTACAATTTGCTTATTTTAAATTAAATATAGTCTGAATATAACCACTATACTTAAAGATTTTTAAAAAGCATTTTTTCAGCTTTTGGAAAAAAAAACATTAAAATAAAGTCTCTTTTCTTAAGGGCTCAAAACAAAGAAAATAATTATTTTCAACAGTCACATTCCCATTACTGAGTTATAAAAGCAGGAGACGTTTCTCATTTGTAATGGCTCAAATGGAAATTATGTGAGTGTATCTGGCTCTCGGCCAGACTTTGTGAGACAGTCCAGGCCCACTGAGCAAACCCACGGCCTGTTCCCCACAGTACCCAGGTAGGCTCTCCCACAAACAGAACAACCTGACCAGAACCCAAGGCTCACGGGATCCATGAATCATGCTTCCACAGACAGCCACAGAGCTGCGAACCTGCGGCAAGCTGAAGATGAGTGGACGGTAGGTATAGCGTCAGGAGCGTCCTAGTAAAAACCGCGTCGCTCATACACGGTTAGTGATCCAATAATGCAAATGCCCCTCCAAGAAACTGCTGCCAGGATAACAATGATCGTTTGCTTTCCTAAGTGTATTTATGTGCGTTTCCACATGGGTAGGCAAATGGCTGTAATGTACATACTTACAGATAAGATCGTTTTCTTAGTTTTACTATTAAGTTGGTTTTACTTGCCAAAAGATATGCAAATATTTTTTAAAAACTCAAGCAAGCAAAACAGAAAGTTTGTGAAGGGCATAAAGTTGCTGTATTTTGTAAGACTGCATTAATTGTAAGACTACAAGTTCCCTCTCCAGAGGAAACTGCTGCTAGCTTTCCTTATGCATTCTATCTAAACACTTCCATGCATGTGTCAATAATCTACAAGTACGTATCTTCTTACTGTTAACACAAATATAAGGATAATTTTTGAAGTGATCTCACAATAAGAAATTCCAACTAAAAATGAAGTTCATATTTTAAATGTTAACAAATATCAATGTAGGGAGGTGACATGGTTCTCTTTACAGTTTGAAAAACCTAAGAAAATGCTAGAAAATGCGAAAGCAATCAGTGGCCTGGACCATGTGTAGTATAGAGAGCAACAGCGCCATCTATGCTTAATTTGGCAACATTACATGTAGTCCCGGAAAATCTTTTAACAAGTAGGCTTCAAACTATTTTTGAAGATTAAAAAAAGAATCTGTTGCAATGATTCTACAATTTATTTATACCTAACCAAACTACCCTTTCAATTTATTACTATGAGCTTAATGATGACTACTAGGAAGAGTCCATGGTATATCTCCAGTAAACTCCTAGATTTAAGTAAGAAATAAAGATACAAGGAATCATTTTATGACTCAGGAAGCAAAAGGCAGTGAAAGAAAATATTCTCTTCACAAAGCACTTAGTTTCATTAAGAAGAATTCAAAACTGATTGAGGATAATATATCCTTTTAATATCATAAGTCACTGTCTAAAGAAGAATATAAAATATACTAGAGCTTGGTTACAATATGAGGTGCTGGGACACGTATTTTAAAACAAGAGTAAGGCAGGAACACAGAAAAAAGAATAAAATTGTAAATAGTGTTTTATGACTCAAGCTGTTTCCCAATTAACTGAATGTCAACACTTTGTCCTATAACATTTCCAAACCCTATTTTTCAGTTTCTCCTGAATTGCAAAGTTCTATCTGAAACACTGTACTTCTGAAACCAAACTCACATGCTACAGTTTCTGTAGCACTGAAATTTCATGTTAAAAAGACGTGCTCCAGGAGTCATGTAAAAATCTTGGCAATTAAGCAAAAAGAAGGTGGGTGTGAAGGTCTGGGCTCTGGAGAAGCAGGGATGGTCTGAGAGGAGCTTGCACAGCTGGAGGCCTGACGTGTCCTCGGAGGTCCTGACTGGACTGAAACCAGCCCAAGCAGGCGCCAGTCAGTTAGGGATGTGGATATGAACAAGACTGAAAAATACAATTACTGCCTCTCAGCACAAGCATAGCTATACACATACACATAATTAGACACTGGCAACACGTAACTGAGATGGTGCAGAAATGTTCTAAACCAATAATTTGGTCAGGTTATGGATAAAATGAATGTCACTGGTAAGCGGCATGTTTACAATAATTATGTTAGAAAATTGGTCATAATTATCACTTGAGTCCCTCAATTGAGAAATGGTACTCAAATGAAAATAAACACAATTGATATTGTAAACTTATGAAACATCTTTGGGGAGGAAGAAAGGCAAAATACCAGGAGAAAAAAGGACAAAGCCATTCATAGTGAGCTAGATTAAAACAACGGAATGCTATAATTGATACACTATGGGGGAATTACAGGATCCTTCTCTATGCTCCGATAAGCACATAACTAAATAACTACATGAATGGTGCAGAATCGAACCAACACACATTTCACACTGTGTTTAGAAAATGACACTGTTACCACAGGGAGGTCAAGTCAGACACAATCCCTTGTCTCCGTAAGTTTGTTAGATGTCATATGATGCCCAGCAGTAGCTAATACTAACAAACAAGGATACCATATACATTCATATAAGTAACAGCCTACAAGAGTTAAGGGAAGGTGTCAGGGAGAAAAAAGGGTGATTACGTCCAAGCTTTAAAGACTGCTAGGATTTCTAGGTAACTACTGGGCAGGTGGTGGTGGAAGAAGGGCCTGGCAGATTGCCTGGTATCCTGGTAGAAGACGCAGAACCAGGGCAGACTGGGATTCTGAATTAATTCTGGGAAAGGAAATTCAGACCTATGACTAAATGAAGATAGGCCACTCAAAGATTCAAGTAAAGAGAAAACAGGGTCACTGTGACTTTTTAAAAAAATAAACCTGGTGGGAGTGGGATGAAGAAATAAAGAGGCAGAGGAGCAGAGACCAAGAACCAGGGGATTACACACCAAGGGGAGCAGCAGTGTTAGAGACAAGGGAGAGAAGTCACTGAAAGTGGCACACTGACCTGCAGGGTGTGACTTTGGGGAGGATAAGGGGGTCAGCAGGGAAAAAGGAGGGTTCAAGCTAGGATTATGGTTGACAGAGGAGTCAAAGGTTCCACCAGGATTCAAGCCTGAACAGACGGCAGGAGGGAAGGCAAGATGGCCCAGGGCACAGGACCACACAGAGGATGCAGAGAGCAGCAGCTCTAGCTCCTGCAGCCCGAGAGGTGAGATGCCCCACACAGTCACACAACCTTGGCAGGCTCGAGCTCTCGAGTCATGGTCTCCTCCTTGTAAAATGAGGGAGTCCCGCCCCACAGAAGTGCTGTGGAACAGACAAATTATTTCCGAAACACCTTCCAGACGCTGTGTTGACATCTACTGTTAACTATGAGATTTCAGACATAACAGCAAAACACGGTTCAGCAGGGTCCTGTCCCCAGCCTCCGGGCCACAAACCTCTGCAACCTGTTAGGAACCTGGCCACACAGCAGGAGGTGAGCAAGCAAGCCAGTGAAGCTTCATCTGTATTTATAGCCGATTCCCCTGCTCGCATTACTGCCTGAGCTCCACCTGCTGTCAGACCAGGGCAGCATGAGATTCTCACAGGAGCACAAACCCTATTGTGAACTGTGCATACAAGGGATCTAGTTTGCACACTCCTTATGAGAATCTAATGCCTGATGATCTGTCACTGTCTCCCATCACCCCCAGATGGGACCATCTAGTTGCAGGAAAACAAGCTCAGGGCTCCCACTGATTTTACATCATGGTGAGTTGTAGAATTATTTCATTATATATAAGAATGTAATAATAAGAGAAATAAAGTACCCAATAAATGTAACGCACTTGAATCATGCTGAAACCATCCACCCATCCCCGCCCCAGTCTGTGTAAAAACTGCCTTCCATGAAACCGGTCCCTGGTGCCAAAAAGGTTTGGGACCGCTGCAATAGAGCAGTTTAAAGAGAAGGTGGAGGTTTTTTAAAGCAAAGTTTTGAATAATAGAGTATATCATTTAGGTAAATTTACAAACACACACACAAATATAGGCATCTAGTCCAAAATGTTAACAGAGTTTTAAAAAACAAAGAGGGAACTTCCAGCTTCAGCTCCAAAGGGTGAAGGCTGGAAGCTGTAATTTCCATCCTTCCAATAAGAAAAAACTGAAAATCAATGGCCTTTCCTGGACTAACAGCAACAATGAATTGAGTGATTTTATAGCTTATAAAAAGTGGAAGAGGCCGGGTGCGGCGACTCATGTCTGTAATCTCAGCACTTTGGGAGGCCAGGGCAGGCAGATCACTTGAGATTAGGAGTTTGTGACTAGGTGGGCAACATGGCAAAACCCCATTCCTACTAAAAATACAAAAATTAGCCAGGTGTGGTGGTGCACGCCTGTAGTATCAGCTACTTGGGAGGCTGATACATAAGAACTGCTGGAACCCAGGAAGGGGAGGCTGCAGTGAGCCAAGATCATGCCACTGCAGCCTGGGCGATGGGCAACAGAGCAAGACCCTGTCTCAAAGAAAAAAAAAAGTGGAAGGAATGGCAGCCATGTCACAGTGACAGCAGGAGGAGCCAAGAAGACTGTGCCGTCGGTACCTGCAGCCCCATGGAGCAGCAGCACCATCACGAAGTAGACCTAGATGGGTTGTAAATGTATACTGGAAACTCCACAGCAACCACTACAAACATTTTTTTAAAGTACAATCAAGATGTTAAGGGAAAAGATAAAAGAGAATCTTATAAAATGCTCAATGAAATCCAGAGAAGGCAGAAAAAGAGGCAGGGAGAAACAACAAATGCAGCAAACAGAAAACAGGGAAAAGCATGGTAAAATGGAACTTGATTATCTTCACGCTCACTTCTAACATGAATGGTCCAAATACAGCAATTAAAAGACAGAGACTGTCAGAGTAGATTAAAACACAAGACCCAATTACTACTTACTATCTACAAGAAAACTAAAGACTCGAGATAGAAGAGGAAAAAAGACACACCATGCCCACACTAATTGAAAGCTGCAGTGGCTATATTAAATTCAGATAGAGCTGACTTCAAACAAGGACAAACATCAGCGAAAAAGAGGGGCATTACATAACGATAAAGCGGCCAATTCTTCAAGAAGATAATAACCTAAGATAATAAACTATGTACCTAACAACAGTACCTCAAAATATATGATGCAAAAACTAATAGAACCCAAGGGAGAAATAGACAAATCCAGCGCTGTTGGAAATTTAAACCCAACTCTCAGTAACCGACAGATCCAGCAGAGAGAAAATCCGTAAGGAGACCGATGACCCCAACTCTGAGTAACCAACAGATCCAGCAGAGGGAAAATCAGTAAAGATACCGATGACCCCAACTCTGAGTAACCGATGGACCCAGCAGAGAGAAAATCAGTAAGGATACCGATGACTTGAATACCACCGTCAATCGGCTCGATCTGACATTTATACAACACTCCAGCAACAGCAGAATCTACACTCTTCTCAAGCTGAATTGGAACACTAATCAAGATAGGAAACACTGGCCATAGAAAACCTTAATAAATGTAAATGGAGAGAAATCATACACAGTGTATTCTCAGACCACAAGAGAATTAAACTAGAAATCAACAACAGAAAGATACCTAGAAAATCCCTACATGCCTGGAGATTAAACAACACACTTCTAAATAACATGTGGGTCAAAGAAAAAGTCTCAAAATATTTTTTAAAACATTTTGAACGAAAATAAAAATACAACTTATCCACATTTGTGTGATACAGCAAAAGCAGCACCTACAGGGAAACTGACAGCACTGATGCATATGCAACCATTCTTCTGTTGTCCAGGGCTTCCTTCCCAGACCACCACTAATACCAAAATCTGAGGATGCTCAAGTCCCTTACATAAAATCATACAGTATTTGCATATAAACTATGCACACACTCCCCACACACTTTAAATGAAGCTTGTCCAACCCATGGCTGTATTCAGCCCAGGGCAGCTTTGAATGCAGCCCAACATAAATTCATAAACTTTCTTAAAACATTGTGAGTTTTTTTGCCTTTTTTTTTTTTTAACTCATCAGCTATCGTCAGTGTTATTTTATGTGTGGTCCAAGACAATTCTTCTTCTTCCAATGTGGCCCAGGGAAGCCAAAAGATTGGACACCCCTGCTTTAAATCATCTCTAGAGTATGTATAATACCTAATGCAATGTAATACAATAATATAGTATTATAATATCTAATACAATGTAAATGCTATATAAATAGTTGTTATACTGTATTTTTACATTTTTATTATTTTTTTATTGCTGTGTTATTTTTATTGGCTTTTTTCCCAAATATTTTTGATCCAAGGTTGGTTGAATCCAAGGATGCGGAACCCAGGGATACAAAGGGCTGACTATATTAGAAAAGAAAAAAGATCTAAAGTCAATAAGCTTAGGAATCTATAGAAAAAGAACAAGTGAAGCCTAAAGAAAGCAGAGAAAAAATAATAAAACTAGGGTATACATCAATAAAACAGAAAACAACTGGATAAATCATCAAAACAAAAACCAGGTTCTTCGAAAAAGTTAATAAATATGAAGGGAAAATTCACAAAGAGCAAATAAATAGCCAATAAAAATATAAATTGAAGTTTAGTGTTTATAAAATGCAAAGTAAAACAAATACTTGTATGGGTATCAGAATCGAAAGTTTTTGTTTGCATTTTGTTTAATTATATTCTTTATAGGGAAATTCAGAGAACCAGGTCCAAGTATGAATACTGGTACACATATTCCGGAGAATCATTTTGCAAAAACTCAATAGCTGTAAAATGCGTTCATATACTCTGACCACTTTTATACCTTAAGTAACCTGAAATTGAACAAGAAGGGGTACTACATGCTCTTTACTGTATTATGAACATGAAGAAACTGAAATAATCCAAGAGATCTATTTTAAAGAAACAGTAAATTATGCAGATTATGTAGTGTCGGAGAAGTCAAAACTTTTTCTGTAAATGGCCGGATAGCAAATACCAGGCTTTGAGAGCTATATACAGTTTCCATCACATAATCCTTCCTTTTCCTTCCAATCCTTTAAAAACGTTAAGGATCATTCTTAGCAGCTGACGGCTGGATCTGGCCCACAGGCCAAACAGTTTGCCAAGCCCTGATTTGCATCTCAATCAATGGTAAGTGCAGCATATATGGGGAGCCATGAAAAAATCAAATTTTAAAATGTTTAACAAAACAGGAACATGCTCAAAATATTGGAAGTAGAATACAAAAATACACACAAGATATATTTAGAAATATATGCACACACAAATATTTAAAGACTGGAAGAACCTGCATTCAACTGTTAATCCTGGCACTGTGGTGGCAGAAGCGCAGGTGATTTGATTCTATATTCAACCTTTGTTCCCGACTTTCTCTTCCAAGAGGGTGTGCCTTTGGCCTCTCATCCACTTTGTCATTTCAGTCCCCTCACCCCTCCCTCCTTCACTTTCCTCCTTACCCAGACTAAGCGTCATGGTTCACCACTACTCACATGCGATTTTGTCTGTGCTCAGTTCCCTTGC
The DNA here is from genome assembly GCF_000001405.40 of Homo sapiens. Lineage (NCBI taxonomy): Eukaryota > Metazoa > Chordata > Mammalia > Primates > Hominidae > Homo > Homo sapiens. Next base: position 239,998,319 of record NC_000002.12, read on the forward strand.
CCCTCTCTTACAAAACCTCAGTCCTGTTAAAATCCCAGGCTCTGCCCAAGGTAAAAAACCACATCTCCTAGGTTCGGATTTGCCTCCCCTGCCTGAAGTTTTTCTGCCAAAAGCACAGCTCTTGCGCTCTCAGAAAGCCTTTCCTTCGCCACACACAGAGCAGGCCTATGCTGCTGTCTGTGGCAGGGCCTCCTTGCGAGGCTGGCCCTTGGTTGGCTTCTGGAAACTCAGCTTCTAAAAAGTGCCCCATGCTAATGAGGCTGGGCAGCAAACTCAGCCCTACCAGGGTACGATGGGAGTTATGGAGAACACCTGCCTTCTTTCTGGGAGTCTGGAACCTGAGTAGTTGCGAAGCAGAGGATTCCTACGTGACCAGCCCCCAGTAAAAATTACGGGCAGTGAGTGTCTAAAGGGCTTTCCAGGCAGAAATACTGCCCATATGTTACTGTATTTTTCACTGCTTGAGAAAGTTGCTCAATCAATGTGTCAGTGTCCCTCACAGGAGGAAGAGCCTGTGCATGGATTTCTCCAGAGTCCAACATGTCTTTTTTTGTATTGATCTGTCTGCGTATCTGTCCTCATTCACTGTGATAAATCTTATTCTGAACAGAGATAGGCAGCTACCACAGAGGGAGCCCCCAAGGCTCCAACCCACAGCACACAGGCTCAGGATGCTGCACCAGGTAAGGACCACATGGAGCTGAGCTGCTGGCAGAGGGGAGGAGGCTGTGGGAACCAAGGAAGCTACCAAAGTGAACTTGGGTCTCCGAACTCACCACAGAAGCGGGGACTCCAGGAATTCTGTGGCAGGTTGTTTCTTTCTCCCTCTACTTTATATGAAAAACACCTGCAGTGACCAACTCAAGACTATGAATGGTCATCACCGCACAATGACATGGTGGCTGCCCCTGTTTCACGTAGGGATGCACGTTTTCATTCTGGACAGGGAACAACGGTGAATGCCGACCGTCCTCTGCATTCTCTGGGTGGACAGTCTGGGGCTGTTTTCCACCTGGCCCTTTAGATCTCCTCTCTACCATTCCTCCAAGGTGCTCTGTGCCCAGAGGCTGGCTCCTTGCATCCGAGGGGCTCTACTGCCCTCTGACTTCAAGCACAGCTGGGTGGATGATTGTTCTGCTGGTTCCCTGCATGCGGGTTCCCCATCCCCCTCGGGCTCCATCTGATGCTGGACAGCCTCTTCCATAGCAGCAGCAGCAGCAGCTCTGGACTCCAAAACCCAGTGCCCCCGCCCTCAACTGCCAGTTTCCCACTGTGGATGGCCTGGGTGTCTCACCATCCTGTTGCTTCCCTCAACCCTGCCCTGCTCTTTATCAATGGTTCCTTTACGTAACTCTCTTCTGTTCTCTGGTCAAATGTGCCATCTGTTTCCTACGAGGAACCTGACAGCTGCAGCTAAAGCTGAATTTTGGGAAAATGGAAATGTTACGGCAAATTCACAAAGTTATACTGATGGAGAGTGCACAACAGAGCCTTCCCGTGGCTTTCCTGTGAAACCCATGTTGTTTGTACCATGTGACAGGTTCCTGCCGGTTTCCAGTTATGCACAGCATGGCGTTTCCATCCACAACAGGTCACATATACAATGTGGTCCTACAAGATTCTAGTGGAGCTGAACACTTCCTATCACAGCAGCTGTCACAGCGCCGTGGCTCAGCGCATGACTCCCGTGTCTGCGGTGATGTGGCATTGACAAACCTACTGCACTGCCAGTCGTGGAAGAGTCCAGCACATACAATTATGTACAGTACAGAATACCTGATATTCTCATCAATGACCATGTTACTGCTTTAGGTTATTTACTATACTAGACATTTCATCGTGATTTTTAGAGTACTCATCTTACTTATTTAAAAAAGTAACTGTACAACAGCCTCAGGCAGGTCCTTCAGGCGGCATCCAGAAGAAGGCATCATTGTCACAGGAGGTGACAGCTCCACGCGTGTTACTGCCCGTGAAGGCCTTCCAGTGAGAAAGGTGTGGAGGTGGAAGACAGTGATACAGATGCTCCCGACTCCAGGTAGGCCCAGGCCACTGTGTTTGTATCTTAACTAACAACAACAACAACAAAAGTTTAAAAAGTAAAAATAAATAATTTTAAAAATCAGAAAATACTTCTAGAATAAGGATATAAAGAAAGAAAAAAATTTAAGTTTATAAAGAAAGTTATAGTAAGCTAAGGTTAATCTCTTACTGAAGAAAAAAACTTTTTATATAAATTTAGTGTAGCCTAATTGTACATTGTTTACAAAGTCTACCACAGTGTACGGTGATGTCCTAGACCTTCACATTCACCCACCACTCACTCACTGACTCACCCAGAACAACTGCCAGTCCCGTCAGCTCCACTCACGGTACATGCCCCAGACGGGTGGACCATTTTCACCTTTTATACCATATTATTTTTTATGTTTAGATACACAAATACTTACCGTCGTGTTACAACTGCCAACAGTATTCAGTACTGTACCATGCTGTACAGGTTTATGGCCTAGGAGCAACAGGCTCCACCACACCACCTAGGTGTGCAGGTTATAGCATCTACGCTTGTGTAAACACACACTATGATGTTTTCACGATGATGAAATCGCCTAACGACACCTTTCTTAGAACATATCCCTGTCGTTAAGCAACACAGAACTACATACACAAAGCAGTGCTAAGCCCTGTGGTGCTCAATCCTGCAAGGGTGGTGAGCACATCACTCGGAAGGTCAGCTCTCCCACCAAGGGGCAGGGCACACTGGGAATCTGGCTTACAACAATCAACTGCACTGGGGCATGCACAGAAAAAAATATGAATAGCATCTTCAACACGGTTGTCTTTAGGAGGTGGGTTCGTTCAACTTCACTGTAGATTTCCATAAAGCGTGAATTGAGGATAATTAATGTAAATTATTTCTAAGATCAGAAAAATACTACTTAAAAAGTAAAAGAAAAAAAGCTTAGTATTAAAGAACAAAAATATTAATGGAGAAATGTAAACACATCATGCATCTACAATCAGAGTATAATAATATACCATAAACAGTATCATAACATAGTCCCTAAAACTTTAGTACTTATGATATATACACATGGTTCTGAGCCTTTCAAATTATTCCCACATTTAATCCCCACAACAGTCCTATGAGGTAGCTTCTATTTTCTTCCTGCTTTACAACAAGGAGACAGAGGCTCAGAGAGGTTAGGCCCCTTGCCCAGGGGCACAGTGACAGGTGAGTGGCTGAGTCCCTCTCAAGGGATCCTTCTGACCTGGTTATGAAATGGTGAGTCTCTGGTATTACAACAATCATTTTCTTCTCAGAAATATACTTTTATTTTCTCCTCTTGGTCTCCATCACCTACGCATCCCTGTCCTAAAGTTAAAATTACTCGGAATAAACCAATGTTTGATGGCCCTTGCCACAGTTCACAGCAAAGCACACACTGACTTTGCAACAAAAATGGCTGCACAGGGAATAATCAGCTGACTTCAATGACTCAGAGAAACTTCTACATTCAGACACCTCAGAGGACCCCTCTAATTTCTGGTCGGTCGCCCTGTCAATCAGCAAACTCACGGCCCTCAGGTTGAAATGTGTTGTCCACCTGGAGTAGGCACTGTAACCCTTGGCCATTGTCTCCAGGATGCAGAATATTTATTCAGAGGCCAAAAGCAGTGCTTTGTGCTTTACTTCCATCTCCTAGTAATGGCTCAGAAAGACAAGGAAGGCCGGCGCAGTGGCTCCCGCCTGTAATCCCAGCACTTCTGGAGGCCGAGGCAGGTGGATCACCTGAGGTCAGGAGTTCAAGACCAGTCTGCCCAACATGGCGAAACCCTGTCTCTACTAAAAATACAAAAAATTAGCCGGGTATAGTGGTGCATGCCTATAATCCCATCTACTCAGGAGGCTGAGGCAGGAGAATCGCCTGAACCAGGAGGCAGAGGTTGCAGTGAGCTGAGATTGCGCCACTGCACTCCAGTCTGGGCAACAAGAGCAAAACTCTGACTCAAAAAAAAAAAAAAAAAAAAAAAAAAGACAAGGAAAGCGGGTTTTGTTGTTTGTTTTACTTTCTAATGGAAGATTTGCTAGATTCCTTTCAAAAGACTTTCTAGAGAGCCAATCATTTCAGTAAGCTACTTTTAGATTAACACCATTTTATACAGTAGTCAGTATATGGAATATAATATATGAAATTTATATTTGTTTTTTCCTTCAATACACATGGCCTAGCACTCTACCTCACTGCCATAATCTTACATATGGAGGCACAGGCAGATAAAGTGACTTGTCCCAAGTCACACAGCCAGCTAAGGGCTGACCTGACCCTTCCCGTCTCCTCAGTCTGACATGAGGACCCCACAGTGTGCCTACCTTGCTCACCCTTCAGTATCCATTCCACTAACTAGAAAACTGATTTTGCAAATACTATTTTAACAGGGGGGCAGGAATTAACAAACTAAGTAGAATGACTAGTTTTTTTTAATGTAAACCTATTTTTTGCTTATTAATGCTGTACTAAAAACATCAAACAGAAGTGAACTTCTTTTGAGAGACAGAGTCTCTGTCGCCCAAGCTGGAGTACCGTGGCGTGAACACAGCTCATTGCAGCCTCAACCTCCCAGGTTCAAGTGACCCTCCCACCTTAACCTCCCAAGTAGCTGAAACTATAGGCATGCACCACCATACCCAGATAATTTTTAAATTTTTTGTAGAGATGGGGTCTCACTATATTGCCCAGGCTGGTCTCGAACTCCGGGGCTCCAGCAATCCTCCCACTTGAGCTTCCCAACGTGCTGGGTTTACAGACGTGAACGCTGCCTGGCCAGAAGTAAACTTATTACACATTCTGTTTACATTTTGATCAGTGAACTTTTAGTGACATGTGCAGTGAGCCAGCTGTCCCTCTGGTCATCCTAGGAGACTACTGTATCACTCACATCCCATCAGGCAGAGAAAGAAGGTAAGCACCAACGGCCTAAGAACACCAACATCACAGGGCCAAGAACAGAGCTGCCATCTGTAGGCACCAACTTCCTAATTTACATCCAAACGTTGAGGAGAGGGAAGTTGAGTGCCCCGGCCATCCTTGTGCCTCCAGGCCCTCGAGAGGCAAAGTGTTGGTGCAGTCTGCACAGAGCATCCTGGGTAGAGGCAGGAAGCAGCACAGGGCAGGCTCAGGCCAAGGGCTCGAGACTTAACACAAAAGGCAGATCCCCAAATAGCTACTCATGTTTCCTGCATTTTCACAAGTCAAAGACCCTCAAATTACTCCAATCTTGATTTATAAATAATCAGAATTATGATACAACAGCACTTCTCATTACAAAATCATCTCTGAATTTTGTAGAATTTATAGCCCTAAAAGAAATCAAAGTCACTCACTCCAGATACATCTCCTGAGTGCACGCTGGATATGAGGCCTGTACCAGGAACTGGGCGTTGCAGTGATGAGAAGCAGCAGGGGGTGGGTGGTGGAGGACAGACCCAAGCAGGATGAGATTCCCGGGTGGCCAGCACCAGCCAGGACAGAAGAGGCAGAGCTGGGGATCACCGGTGGGAAGGTCAATGCACAGAGACACTGCAAGAGGCAGCCGAGGGATATTTGCTGGGTGTGCAGGGTAAAGGTCTGGGCCAAGACCTACGGTGGTATCCACGCTATCCACAGCTGTGTGACTAGGTACGTCCTCAAGAAACTGAATTCAACGGACGAGACACTGCCCGGGGTCACTGTGCCTGCCAGAGCCCAGCAGCAGGCAGAAGGAACCAGAAAAAGAGAGCCCGGCCCCAGAAGGCAGCAGCTGGTGGAGGAGTGAGAGAGTGGGGGAGGAGGAGGGCATGGAACCAGGAGAAGGGAGTGGAGAAGAGGGGCAGCGGTGCTGCTTCCAGGGCCAGGGAGCAGCATGAAGACAGACAAGGGTCTGCCGCATCTGGAATGGCGAGGCCGTCTCCTTGGCAGGAGCAGTTTCAATAGAGTGGTGCAGATGAAGACAGCTTTTTTCAACCTTACCTAATCGGTATGGTTTTTGTTTTTCATTTAATAGATACCAAAGAATCCACACAATAGCTGAATGGATATAAGTCATATCGTATTACTCCTCTGCTTCAAACCCCCAAACGGCATCTCATCTCATCAGAAGAAAACCCACCAAACGCACCAAGACCTATCCGCCTTCTGCTGTGGCCTCCCCTCCTAGTCCTACCCCCTTCTGCAGTGGCCTCCCTTCCTAGTCCTGCCCTCTTCCACCGCGGCCTCCCCTCCTAGTCCTGCCCCATTCCGCCATGGCCTCCTCTCCTAGTCCTGCTCCATTCCGCTGTGGCCTCCCCTCCCCACACTTTTTCTGGCCACACTGGCTTGGCTGCTGGGCGCACCTTCCCACCACACTCCTGCCTGAAGAGCCTCTGCACCTGCCAAGCCCCTGCCCTCTGCTCACCCCACGGCCCACAGGACCCAATCCTGGCCTCACTTAGGCCTCATCCCGAGAGAGGCCCTTTGTCACCCCTAGCTACTCACCACCCTGTTACTCAGGGTTACTTCTCTCCCTGGCCTTTGTGACCTGACGCAGTTTTATCTATTTGTTTACTCTGTCTCACCTACTAAAACACATTTTCAAAGACATCAAGAATTTTATCTGACACTATATCTCTTAAATCTGGAACGGTGTTGCACATAGTGGAAGCAAAATGCCTGTTAAATTAATAATGGCACTCAATAAATTAAGTATCAGACCAGGGGATTCAGGAGCTGTTTGGAAGAAAAAATACCTCTAAGTATTGGGTTGGTGCTGCTAACACCTAACTTGAAACATAATTATTTCAAACTTCCCTAAGTTTCCCCATCATGCAAGTAGACCCCAGACATGCAGCAGCCCCCACACAGATGCACTTACAGTAATCGCAGGTGGTATAAAGTGCGATTGTCCTGCTTGAGCCACGGCCCTTTATCGAACTTCAGGTATTCAATGTCCTCTACCACCTAAGACAGGAAAAATTCCAATTTAAACAGAGAACCCCATTTTAGAAATTTAAATGAAATAACTTTTTTTTGAGACAGGGTCCGGCTCTATCATCCAGGCTGGAAAGTAGTGGCACAATCACAGCACACTGCAGCCTTGGCCTGCTGGGCTCAAGCAATCCTCCCACCTCAGCACCTCAGCCTCCCGAGTTGCTGGGACTACAGGCATATGCCACCACACCTGGCTGATGTTTGTATTTTTAGTAGAGATGGGGTCTCACCACGTTGCCCAGGCTGGTCTCAAACTCCTGGGCTCAAGCGATCCTCCTGCCTCAGCCTCCCAAAGTGCTGGGATTATAGACGTGAGCCACCATGGCTGGCCAAGAGGTAACATTTTAATACATTATAAGCTATGAATATTTGGCAGGAAGAATCACACCGTAACAGTCAGAATGGAAGTGAAGCTGGCTGACCTTTAATGAAATGGTGGGGTTGAGTGTTGCATCACAGTATGGCCTTGCCTAGCTAACACTCAGGGATCAAGTAGGACAGACATTACCCTGCAGGCTGGGAGAAAAGGACAGGTGAGAACAATGAAGACTAGGGGAGAAAAATCAGCCTTCAGGACAGGCTACTCATTTCTTCCCAAGTAAGTTCCTTCTAAAAGGCAAAACCTAGCCCCTCAAAATGACAAAAGAATAAGATACAAACCCATTACCTAGAGAGACCTAATGATCTAGGTGCCCGGCCTCAAGGCTGGCTGTCTACACAGTCTGACTTTCCAGAGGAGTAATCTTTCCATACGCATTCTCTCCTCACAACAGGCCAAACTCATGAACCCTCTTTAGTTTCGGGAATTTGAGTAAATTCAAAAATGAACTCAAATAACATAGTATTGGAGACAAAACGTATTATTCTTCTTCTAAGATACATGCCACCTAAACAGTCTCTCAAAGGTATATAAATACTCTAAAAACAGAAACAGAAGGCGGAGGAGAAAATGAAATGTAATTTAATCAGTCTGAGTAGAATAAACCAAGGTCTCAAAAGAACTTTACAACTGGTAGTAGGAGAGCCTGGGCGAGAATGCAGGGCTTCCCTCTGCAAGGAGAATGCTACTCTCTGTGCAGAAAAGCTCAGTCAACCTCCCTCTTCTCACCCTCCCAATGCTGAGAGGCAACTGAAGCACGCTTGTCACCCCAGCAGCCAACTATGCAAAGCTTCTCTGTTACACGGGCACCACTCACACTTCAAGACCAGATCCTGAAACTTGTATTTTCTTCTAGAATTGTTACACCTCGTTTTGTTTTTAGTAATTTATGCTTAATATATAAAATACAAAATAAAAAACTTGTTTTTTAACAAATGGATGCTCAGTTGCCTCAGTACCATTTAGGAAACAATTTTCCTCTACTTCATTTTTGTAATTATCCTTTAAGGAACTAACTTTGCCAAACTGAAGATACTTACACACAGGTGCATACATGTTTCTGGACTCTTGTTTTGTTCCATTAAGCTCTTTATTAATTCTTGCATTAACACCACAATGCTCTCCTTACTACAATCGTATAGTTTGTTTTTGTATGTGAGAGGGCAAATGTTCTTTCGTTATTCTTCTTCAGATGTTTTAATGTTTGTCTGGCTGTTATTCATAAAGTTCCCTGAAAACTACACCAAGATTTACTAGACTTTCACAAAACACACGAATTTAAGGAAAACTGTTATCTTTACATGTAAATCTTTCCCATTAACTAATCCAACTTTCAATTTTCCATCTCTTTAATAAAAATGGTAGAGTGGATGACCCAAGATTCTGTGACATCTGTAATTTTCAGATCGTAGAAACCGAATTACTTGAAAGAAACTCGAAACCTCATGGCCAGGGGAGTGTGATGATGGGTTTGACTGGCACTGCTTTCAGGTGATAAAACAGTGATGTTTGTTAAGACCAGTGGGAATCTAACTGACGATCTGATTTGCAAGAACCTTACACATGAATCAAATGTAGGAATAACTTTCAACTTTTCAACCATTTTCTTACCTTTTTTGAATCTTGAGCTTCCCTTGCAGAATATTGTAAAACCTCACATTTTTCACTGTAAGAAAAAACAAGATGAAATTCAGTGTAAACTTTTCCAAGCTGAAGTTAAATGTACAAATGAATACATACCGCTAAAGTCTCCTGCTCAAATTTAAAACCTCACATTCTCTGCACTGGGCATTGTGCTGGGCATGTGAGGGTGCATTAGAGCTTGACTGGTTCAGGAGGACATGTTAAAAGCCAGAATGTTCTCATGGCTGGCTTGACAGTGACAACAGCAGGACCATTTCCTCGTTTCCCTTCTCCTGACTACACTGCCCCCAAGCCAAGGGCGTGACAGACCACAGCCATCACTGTCCACAGGAGCAAGGTACATGAGCCATGTCAGCAGCTGCACATACCATCGCCAAAGGCAGTGCCCGCTGCACGGAAGGACAACGAAGCCCAGGGCCTAACCGAGCACAGGCAGAAGGCATCTTTACACCAGAGCACCCTCCACAGCCCAGGGCCTAACCGAGCACAGGCAGAGGGCATCTTTACACCACAGCACCCTCCACAGCAGGGCCTAAATGAGCACAGGCACAGAGGGCATCTTTACACCAGAGCACCCTCCACACATTTAGGATGTAAACATACAGGGTAAGTAAATACTCCAAGAATGTACAAGCTATTTATTCTCATACTGAAATCAGCATCTGACCCCTACAATGGTACCAAACAAACTTCACCAACTCTGCTGACCATCTTCAACAGACCACTGGTTGATTAAATTACGTAGTACAGGTAAAGTGCTTGTATTTTATTAAGTCTCATCATTACTGACTCACATCACTTCCAAAGTGTAGGAAAAAGAAAAAAGTCTTCAAGCTCTACAATCACTCAGTAACACATCTGTTCCACACAAGTCTATAACTCACAATTCAGAGTCATACAACTGGATAACAGATTCTTACTGCAACGAGATCACTGCACTCCTCACAGCACCCTTAAGATCAACATAAATGGTCAGAAACTGCAAGCAGAATGAACAATAAATCCATAGTGAGGAAAGTAACTTACTGCATTTGCCATTAGGGCTGGCAAGGAAAAGGCCACACTAATTACAGGACTTGCTGTATTGCTTCCTGAACCTCTACAGCTACCCATTGTTAATACGAAGAGAAAGGCACAAAGTGACAAAGGAGAATAATTCCCTCTGCAAGTCACCTAAGTGAATATTCAACTGAAGTGTATAGGAGACAGAGGTCTTAAACATCCCTGATGAACAGGGCTGGCACAGAAACATTATTTGTTCTCACACAGCAATATGAAAGGTCACAAACTATTTGACATATTTGCACAAGAGTGGTCATGAGAGATCAGGACGATGTGACAGTTTCGTTCAACACACATAACTGAACAGACATTAGCTGAAGCCCCACCAGGAGCCAGGTGCTGTGTGGGGTATGGAAGGTGGGGAAGACAGGGCTCCTGCCCTTAATGAGCTCCAGACCCCAAACTACCTGATGAGAGCAACCTGGAGAGTCCATTTTCTATCTTCTGTGCGCCTCCATTCAGCATGCTAACAACCTCGGCAACAGACAAATAAAACCGCCTCCGTCCAGTCACACCTGCCTCTCATTCCCACTGCCTTGTGAAAGGAGGCCTAAAATAAGAAGGTATCAAGTGTGGAGTCAGGGATCTGGAGGAAACCCCCATAAAGGGCTGGGCCAGCAGTTCACGTGCAACCTCAATGGTGGTTATTCCTATAGGTAGCTCAGGGCCGAGGAGAGCCACAAGCTGTATTACTGAACCCCCAAGTTATTTCAATACTTCCAGAGCCTCCCCAGCTCCTCACCCACCTTAGAACAATCTGAAACAATAAAGACAGTTACAAAACTCGCTACATGTCAGGCTGGTCACTCAGTGCTCCTCTTCTTGTCTCTGAAATCTCAGAGGTGACGATTCTTTCTCAGAAAGGCCTTCCCTACTCTGTCTTGTGTACCTCTGTGTCTCAGCTAACACTGACACTGGGAGCTAGCAGTGTTGGAGCTGAGTAAATAAGTATATGTTGAACGCGGGAATGGCCAAATGTTGGTGAAACTAAGTTGATACTCATTAACACATTCACAATTAAGGTAATGAGGAGAAAGACATGTACGCCTAAGATCTGGGTCATAAATATTGACAAAGCCAGAAAATACACATTCCTATGAGAGTTAGCTCATTGTACCTCTTAAAATCCCACAATACAAATATTTTGGAAAAGGCTGCAATGCTCTTTATGCATTCATAAGCAACAAATACAAAAACAGTGAAGCATCACCATGTATCAGCACGTGACAGAGAGAAGGGCTAACACAGGAGGAACTGCTCAAAGACAGGAGACACAGAACTTCAACGGAGCCATCATCTTGTCAGGTCAATCTGCTTTATTTCAAATACTAGTATTAAAACTAAAAACATTTCTCTTATTTAGTTTTGATTTTACTGTTTATTAATTATCTATGATCTAACAATATTGTCTTCTAAGGTCTAACCTAAGATCTAACAATAAAAATATTCAGTATTTAACTAAACAATGGTTTAAATATACAAGCCCGGGAAACCTAATATTGTTTCTGTTGGAAAATAACTCCTGAATTCTAAAATGCTAATGGCCAATAAATTTTAAAATACAACTCGTCATAGGTTTCTTGCAATTTTACAAAAAATAGTTTCAGCCAAATTTCATAGTGAATTTCTATGAGAAAACTTTTAAGATCCAAGTCCATCACAAAGCTGCAGTTTGATCTTGGTCTACAATTCAGCACTTAAAATAATGCATACTGCATAGAGTACATCTGGTACTCATTCTTCAATGTGTGACAAATGACCCCTACATCAAGTGGCTCCCATCAATCCATACGGCTTGAGCTGTCAGATAAGATCTACTTTAACAATGAACAGAGACTGTATCTGTTCCTAAAACAGGAGTTAAAAACACAGCAAGACCAAGTGGTAAGAAATAAATGCTTGAGGCTTAACGAGTCTATGAGGGCGGCAAAGTAAAAGAAACTCTTGCCCTGTGCACAGGCTGAAACCAGCCATTATTTTGCTGATGTTGTAGCTAGAAACTCCATTTGAGAAATTATGACAAAGCTCTTTCTCAGTGATGTTTTTGAAGCCAGAAGATCTCCAAGAGTAATTTTTGAGCCTGAAACTCTAGGGTCAACTATCTCTGTTTATGCTGTTTATTCACGTTGGCTCTAGATACTTCCCTTGGTATTGTGGCCTTGGAAATAGGGCAGTACAACAGGTTAAAAGGAAGCCAGAGGCCACCCAGTCTTCTTACCACCTAAGAAAGAAACGCTCACCACAAACAAGCAGAGATGACATAAACGTTAATACTTACGGTACAGAAAAAACTCCCTGAATAGAACATTTCTCTTATTCACTTTTGATTTTATTATTACCTATGGTCTAACAATATTATCTTCTAAGGCTGTTCATTGTAAATATTCAGTATTTAACTAAAATAAATGTAAAAATAAAACTTTTTTTCTAAAATTGCTATACTTTTGTTTTTATTCACAACTTCAGTTACTTTGAAATTTTAAACAACAAGAACATGAGATTTTTAGGCACCGAAAGAGGCTTAGGGTTTTAAAAAGTATGAGAAATAGTATAAAAATCTTCAATTCAAGCATTATTCAAACAATCTGAGTTTAACTGGACGTGAATGAGTGTGGCAGACATTCCTTACACACGAATATACCCAAGGAGCGCAGAATGACAAGCCATAGGATGAGTGAAACCACATTTTCCATGTGCTTTCAACAAAGAAAGAAAGGGGGAAAAGAAAGAAAAACAGTCTGGTGGTGTTTCCTTCATCTAATCCAAACATCTCTCAAGGACATCAATTAAGAATGTCTAGAGAAAGTGTTATCTTTCATGAATTTTCTCCATGAATACACTTCCAATCAATCCTTCTAGGTAAACACGAATGTTTAGTTGCCACCTGAAGTAAAAATACACAAGTTCTCTATGGTAAAACCTGTCATGGAATAGAGCTTGGTTTACTTCTAGCATCAAAAAACTTCAGAAATATAGCAGAGCAAAAGTACTGACAAGATAAGCAAACCAAAACAAATAAACCAATAAACCCCACAAAAATCAAACTGAAATGTCTCCTGTTTTTCTTATTTATAAACATCAGATTAAACATCTCAGACAATATCCACTGCAGTAAATAAGACAGAAAACTCCCTGGGCTGTTGGGGCCTAAGAAACGAGTGGCGAAGAAGTTTTAGCCCTGTAAATCAGTCGTGTGTTTGGCTCACCTCATCTCAGGGAGAAAGGTTTTCTTATAGGCATTCTCAATGTCCTGTAGATAGGCAGAGGTGATCTTCATTTCATGTGGCTAAACAGAAGCAGAAAAATCAAACTGGGAAACATTTAGAGTTCATTCTCTTTGACCTGTGCGTATATAAAATGCGAAGACAATCACTGACCACCATTTTCTTACAACTCACACCGGGCACTGTGGGGACTGCGGGGTGACAGCAAAGGGTCCCAACATCAGCTAGAGTCATTCTCCTTCTACTACAGTGAACACCTGAGCCTGCCCAAGTGCTCCCATAGCGTGACTTTCTCCACACATTCTAAGATGTATACTTAGGGCAAGAAAGATGCCTGTTACGAAGCAGCACTGCCTGTCTTTCCTGTCTGCCTCGTGCCTGAGTGCAGGAATGAAAGAGCACCAAAAATTGGGGGCAGCGGCCTGTCTGTCCGCCATCTGTCCTCAGCACACTCTCTTCTTGTCACCTGACTCTCCCTGCATCTCTCCAACTTGCTCGCCACCTCCATCGCTCACCCATCTCCCCGCAACCACTTCTCCCACTTTCTACGGCTGTCACCTCTCTCATCATCTGAAATGCACTATGCGAATTTCAGAAACTTGAATATCTAATTATGAGTAGCAAGTTTTAAAATTTAAAACTCCTTACAGTCTCACACTATCTTCTCAGCCCGTTTTGTTTTCTTCACATCATTTACCTCTATTTGATGTATTTATTTATCTCCTTGCTTGCTGTAGGTCTCCCCCATCAGCATATGAGCTCACGGGTGAGGACCTCATCCACCCTGCTCACTGGTATGTCCCTAGCACCAAGCAGGGTCTAGGACAGGGTGGATGCTCAATCAACACTTACAGGAGAGAGAGGAAGGAAGAAAGAAATGAATAGGCCTGCGGTTTCAACCTACAAAATGATGAAAACATTCTAAAACTGGATTATGGCAAGAGTGGCAACAACTTGGTAAATTTACCCAAAATCATTCAGTCGTACCCTTAAAATGGGTGAATTTTATGGAGCATAAATTATACCTCATTAAAGCTGTTCAAAATAAGAAAAACCCTATCATTCAAAGAATATTTACTGAACATGTATTAATTCCAGTAATGCGACGGGGCACAGGGAAAGGATGATACAGGCAATGCTGCACTTCATTGCTCTGTCAAAAGGGGGAAAGGCAGTAATTGGGAGTTCTATTTTCCAATAAGGACTTGGTGTCTGGGCAGAGACCATCTTTGTTCATCTTTGCAGCCTCCTAGGTGCCTGGCACAGGCGCCTTGCATATAGGAGGTGCTCTGTATTAGAGGAGTGAGTGAAATCAACAAAAGTATAAAAGAGGTGATATGATTCTAAATCTCTATCATTAGCTATGTGCCAAGTAGAATAAGATTAAATGTTAACTGATTATAAAAGAAACTCTAGTGTAATATAAGCCCATAACATGCAACATAACACAACCATCTCAGAAATCTGACCTGAAGTTACTTGATAAAATATGTAGTTATTGATCACTTTGACTGTTTTCTTAGAATCTAGAAATGGTTTTCGGATATTCCTATCAGTTATTCCCAAAAGGTGCAATACTGAGACACAGACTGCATTGAAATAAAAATCAAAATAAGAACACAGACTTACTGATAATGTGATGTCTTTTATAAAATGGGGTAATTTTACCTGATGACAGTATTGAAGACTTTACTTGGAAAAATTAAGAAGTTGACAGCTCTACTTTAGACCTCAGAATTATTTTTGAAATACTGTTTTCCCAGATAACAAAAGAATTATCTAGAGAATGTTAAATGTATGACTTTGTTTTTCTCAATAAATGTCAGCATAATAAGCAAAGGTGTCCAGTTAGTCCACTGAGAAACAAACATTTTGAACTTGCAGTTCCCTCCTTTTGCCACTTGATGGAAGGTTCTTAGAAGTCTAGCTATACAACATACTTACAAGCATATGCTTAAACAATAAAAGTTCCAGAGTGGCAATAGAAAGGCATACATAGACATCTCGCTGTTTCTACTATTGCAACAGAGAAGGAAAGTTAGTCCCATGGATCTTTCAGGAGCAGCAAAAAATAACCAGAGCTTTACTGTTGCCCTGACAAGAACCCACCATCCAGAGAGGTATTTCCTGAGCACCTACAAGAATTCCGGCACTGAGGATGGGCATCAGAGTGAGGAACAGGCAGGTAGCCCTGCATTTTCATCACAGTATCAAAAAGGAGACCATATTCTCCTCCAGGAAAAAATAACATAGTATTAAACAAGCAGTGAAACCCCGTCTCTACTAAAAATACAAAAAAATTAGCCGGGCATGGTGGCGTGCGCCTGTAGTCCCAGCTACTTGGGAGGCTGAGGCAGGAGAATGGCGTGAACCCGGGAGGCGGAGCTTGCAGTGAGCCGAGATCGTGCCACTGCACTCCAGCCTGGGTGACAGAGCGAGACTCTGTCTCAAAAAAAAAAAACAAAGAACTCGCCACAGGGCAAAGACGGTCTTTGTTTCATCTCAGGATCCTCCATCAAGCCGCCAACAGAGCTACCAACGGCCACAGGGTCACTTCAAAAGGCGTTGCTTCGAGGCCACCTAATTAAGATCCAATGAAAACTACAAAGAGTAAATGGATGTGTGTGGATATCACTGCTCTACTGTTCTAGAATTGGTAAGTAAGAAAAAGGGGGAGAGGCACGATTTGCGTTAAATAGATTGAAGTGATGAGGGATATTAGAAATTGCTTCCAATGTGGAAGAAAACGATAGGACACAAAAACCTCATCAGAGAACAGAAAGGTACGTGACAGAGGGATGGAGGACGCTCTGCCAGGAGGCCCTCACCAGCCTCCCAAGTTTAAACAGCTGAGGGGACTCGGGGACCACAGTGGGACCGCAGAGCACTGGTGGGCGGCAGGCCCGCAGGCTGTGGCACCAGGCCGAGCCATGGGGTCTCCCCTCCACCCCTGCAGATGCCCTCTCTCAAGTGGGAACAGGGTGTGTGTCACCCTCCTCGTGAGGACTGGTAGGAATTAGTATAAATGCTATTAAAACAGGGCTTTTAGTGCTGATCTACATTCAAAATAGAGATGCTTGGCCTTTGATTGAAAACTGCATTACATCTCCTTTCTTCTGAATCCGCCTCTGGACCTCTGGAACGGGCACATCGATGTAAATCACCAGGTGGGGGGGCAGGTAATCGCAGATGGTGACGCTCTTCACCTCGTTGTAGTGGTCCACACCTGGCACATAGGAGAAAGGGGCGCTGTCACCTACCAGTCCCCACACGGGTTTCCAAAACACACTCCTCCTTGAATAAAAGGGCAAACATACACGCAATTCTCAAAGCCACGTACCAATCTACAAACCCTATCTCGGTCACAGTTCTAAGCACTGACCACACACATGGCATGTGACTGTGCTCCAGGTGCCACGGGGCATGTGCAGACAGCAGCTGTGGTGCCCACAACCCTGAAAACAGGGCTTGTCGCCTCCACTGTATTTACAAACCAAAGGTCTGAGGCCCAGAGAAATTAAGCTACTTACACAGAGTAAAACAGCAGCATTTAAACTGTGACCTTAATCATCCTAAAAGACAGATCTTTAGCACATCTTAGCCACATTTAAGGGTTCACTTTTGCTCCTGAGGCAAGACGTAGGTCACGCAAGATGGAGGTCACAGTTCAGTGATCTTTGAACTGAAATATATTCCATATACTTGCAGTATATATGTTGCAGGTATATAGTATACATGCTACTATATTTCTTCACAGTAATAATAGATACAAGAGTCTGGTCTTCTCTGAAGAATAAAGAACAGCTTTAAATACTTTATTTTTCAAATAACTCAGCTGAAAATCATCAAGCTGCATTTATCCCGTTTCAGTAGTATAATCAGCTGCACAGAAGTATCTACTGAGTCAGATTTAGTGACAACATGAAATTGAAAGCAGCTAAGGCTGAGGAATAATTCTCCTAAAGTGATCACTACACAGAATGCATAATCCAGGGGGCACCCGCAGGGCCCGTGCCACCCAAGGGAACCCTGCCGCTCTTCAGAGCACTCTGCACCTGCACATGCTCATGCACACCCGACCTCCCAGAAGCCAACAGAGAGTGCACGCCAGTGCATGTGGAGAGGCCATGCTGAGAAGCCATCCCCTCTGCAGCTTTTCACGTGTGGAACCTTCCAGAAGTGACAGATGGCCATGCTAGGGTCCACAGAAAGACAACTATTTTGCTTTAAAGGAAATGGGCTGGGCACAGTGGCTCACGCCTGTCATCCTGGCACTTTGGGAGGCCGAGGTGGGCGCAGATCACTGGAGCCCAGGAGTTCAGGACCAGCCTGAGCAGCATGGTGAAATCCCATGTCTACCAAAAATACAAACATTAGCCAGTCTCCTAACCTAGTCTCAAAATAAATAAATAAAAATTTTAAAAATTAAATTAAAAAAAAAAGTTCCAGTGAGCATTCCTAGTAACCTCACTCTAGAGGCAACTGTGGGATGAGCCTTTGGCTCAGGGTCAGGAACGGCACGAGCTAAAGAACAAGGAAGACCACCCAGGAGGAGGTGTGACAAAGCAAAGGACGGAGGCTGCCAGTGGAGTACCGTTCACCTGAGCATACAAACACAAACCCGCAGCCAGGCAGAGCACACGGGACCTCGGGTCTGCTTCCTGACTGCTGGACCGGTAGCAGGCCGGTCTCTCCTGCTGCTGAGGTGAAACCTCCCTTCACCGAGTCTGCTCTCACCCTGCTTCCCACCCTCACCCTTACTCCTGTCAGTACACCCACTTCTCAGGTGGTCCCCACCTTGCTCTATGCCACCTGTCCTTTAGCCAACATGATCTGCTTTCCCCCAGCCCAGCACTCAAACGACTCTGGCTAACATCACCAGCCCCCGAAAGGTGAAACGTGACAGTCACTTCTCAGTTCCCATCAGAGTCACAGCACATGTGACACCAACAACCAACCCTCCCCACATCCCCTCTGCTTCCTCCTGTGCACCTCTGATCATTCAGCTTCAATCCCTCAGTGGGGGTCTCATCACCCCAGAAATGGTCCCCAAAGGATCTGGTCTCAGCCCTCCCCCATCACCCCTTGGGCTTTCCCAAGGAAAGCATGCTCACGGTCAGTGCTGGACCCCCAACGCCTGCAGACTCCAGCCCAGGCCAGTCCTCAGACTTCAGCAGACACTCAGCAGATGCCGACAGGTATCTCCTGCCACCTTGCCATGGGAACCTCACACTCAGGAATCCAACGCCCAAACATGAAGCCACATCGGTCCACTGCCCCTGTGCATCCTTCCCCCTTAGCGGCCCACTAGCCAGGGCAGGTCCACGCCACTCCCCACTGTGCACACAGGAAACCACCCACCCAGGCCTGCCCAGTGTCCCTCCTGAGCGGCAACTCCCACTGCCCAGTGCAGCCTCCCTGCTGTGCACGCCTGTCCCACCCCAATTTCCTCCCAGATAGGCTCCTTCCCCTTCCGTCTCTCCTCACCAAATGCATCCTTCAGATGAAGGCCTGCAACCATTTTAAACTCACATCTAACCATGTCTCTGCCATGCTAAAAATCCTCCAGTGGTCCCTCACTAGTTTCAGGACAGAAGCCAAGCATCCTCGCCGAGGCGCAGCTCCTTCCTCGTGCAGCCTCATCCAGCATCATTCTCCCCCAGCACCCAGCCCTCACTATAGGACACCACCACCAGCCTGTGGCACACGCAGGCTTCTCCACCATCCCCACACGTCCCTCACTCCCACTGCGCTACAGATGACAGGCCATTCATCAAAACAGCTGTCCCTGACACTATCCCATCTCCCAGCCGGTTACACATTTCTCCTATGTGCCCCCAAAGCACCCAGGAGTAATGCTCAGGAGTGCTAAGTACACTTTATTACAATGAACCATCCCCATTGGTTCAACAGCCCCCAACCCCGGGCCCGTGGGAGCCTTGTCTTAAGTTTCTTCATATTCATATCCCTAGCACCTAAGAGAGCCTGCCACACCACAGGCACTCCAGAAACACTTGCTGGTGACCTGACCCGCTGCTCAGCATGTCCAGGGAGGATCAGCCCCTATCAGAAGCACGGGCTTGCAGTGCTCTTGCGGGCGGCAAGCTCACAGGTGGAGTACCGGCAACACCAGGACACACAAGCAGCCAGAAGCAGGCGCCTCCTCCACAGAATGGTCACCTGGCTTGCTTCGGCCTCCTCTTTCATTAATCAACAGTACTTCCTCTGAGCTCCCAGATTCCAGCTTTCCACTGGCTCCAGCCACCCCAGTCTACAGATGAAAATGCCGTCAGTCAGACTGTCCACCAGGCCTATTCAACCCACCGCCCAACACAGTCCTAGTCACAGACACCCCAACCCCACCCTGACTCCTCAAGGTCAGCCTGCTTCAAACCAGGGGGTCTTTGTTCCTTTCCATTTGCCACTTGTCAGACCTTCCCCAATACAGCAACACAAAGCTACTGTCCTGAAAAACGGCAGCGTGTCAGAGGGAAGCACTGTGATGATGCTGGCAACTGGCAGGGCTAACATCCCAATTCATCAAAATCACACACTAGAAACTGGAAAGTCTGTTACAATTAGAGCTACAGCCTAGGTATTGCTAGGGCAAGCTAAGAGCGGGGGAGGTTCTAACGGGAGGCTGTGGGGGCTGCACTTTAAGCTGCGTGTGTTTGAGGTCCAGGGCTCCAATCTGCTTTCACAGGGAGACATGACAGCACAAAAGACACCTATTTCAGGAGGGAGAAAGGGTGGAAGATACTTAGGAAGTTCCTTTTTCCAGCGGAGACCGATTAAGTAATGGCATTTATTCATCTATCTAACAGACATTCATAAACACAGTAAGTGCAAGGTGAGTCTATCACAGCCCTTGCAAAGTCGCACCACACACCCAGAAGTGGGTCTGCAATGCTGACTCACACTGCTTTCGGATGAATCCCTGGTTGTACATCGCCTCCAGGAACACAAAGTCACTGAAGATGGAGCGCTCCAACACAACACCTTGTCCTGTTTAAACATAGGCAAACAGAAATTGAAAATCAGACAGATAGCAAAGCACTGTCAACTGATCACTGCATTCCAGAGAAAAGAAAATAACAATCATTTACAATTCCATTTCCACACCAAAATACTGAAAAGAACATAGACATATTTGTAAGTGGGAAACCATTTTCAAAAACTGAAGTATCTTTTCAGTTTTGAGCAATATAACATCGTTTCATTAAGTCAGCTATAACAGAAAGCATCCGGTTAATACAAAAAGTGCTTGTTTTTAAATAACGTATTCCACCCCTACAGTGCCCACCCCCATCCTGCTCCTGCCCCCACCATTCCAGTCAGATCTACTGATGTTGGGCTACTTCTCAACCTCACCTCTGTCCACTCCCAGCCTCACTGGCTGTGTTACTATCACAGCAGCCCCGACGGACACTTGTGCAGCTCAGAGCACTAGTCCCCAGGGTCCCCAGCCAGCCTCCTTGCAGTCAGCCCTGCTGTGTCTGGGCAGAGGCCTCCCCTAATCTTCCTACCCAGCCTCTCCCCACAGCCTCCTTCCTCAGAGCAGCCACCACTCACTTGGGGCAAGACATTCCTGTTTCCACATCGAGTCTTCATCCCTCTACTAAAACACAGGCTTCCCTCCCTGTGGCGCCCTTAGCTCCCAGAATGGGTCTGGCACACAGCAGACATGCACTAAATATTTAATGAATACGTTAACCCAGTTCCAATTTGCCCCAAGAATACTGAGATGGGAGCAAGCTGCACTTTTTTTTTCTAAATGGGAAATAGGTTACTATAGCACCAAAAAAAGCAAGGCTTTATTTAACAAGTAAAATGTTTCTTTTTCATTTTAAGAAATGAGTAGTCAGAAGACAGGGTTGAAGAATGCTTTAAAAAGAACGTGGAGGCCGGGCGCGGTGGCTCACGCCTGTAATCCCAGCACTTTGGGAGGCCGAGGCGGGCGGATCACGAGGTCAGGAGATCGAGACCATCCCGGCTAAAACGGTGAAACCCCGTCTCTACTAAAAATACAAAAAAATTAGCCGGGCGTAGTGGCGGGCGCCTGTAGTCCCAGCTACTTGGGAGGCTGAGGCAGGAGAATGGCATGAACCCGGGAGGCGGAGCTTGCAGTGAGCCGAGATCCCGCCACTGCACTCCAGCCTGGGCGACAGAGCGAGACTCCGTCTCAAAAAAAAAAAAAAAAAAAAAAAAAAAAAAAGAACGTGGAGTAAGCCTGGATGTCAGTGTGAAGTCCACGCTACGACATCAGCTCCTGGATTGGCTCCTGGTAAAGAACCTCAAACCAGAAACAGCAGACCACATTGTTTTCTTAGGAGTAACACTAACCAAGATCAGGGTTTACGTTCATATAAGAAAAAAAGAAGCACTAATAAAATGTTTTCAACTTTTTCAAAGCAAGACAATAACTCCACCACCGTACAACTGTGTAGATACGTGTCATGGACACACACTGCATCCGTGGAGACCTGAAGGAGCATAGGCAGCGGCTCCTAGCTCAGCTCTGAGAAGAAGCCTGTGAGCCGGCCACTCCCAGTGAAAACCACATTCTTGTTCTCACGGCTCAGACCCCATGAAGCCAACCCTAGTGGCGGCTGAGCTTGTGCGTGAGAAGCTCATCAGGGGCACTGCCAATCAACGAAAGCAGCAAGCACTGCAATATAAAACAGACACGAAGGCCCTAAGAGTCCACCCATCTCCCTCTCTCCGCACACAGATGTGCCATTTGCTGCTACCTGTGAACTGAGGACCGCCGTGGCATGGTAGCTTTGACCAAAAATTGGCAGTGCATCTGCGGTCCAACTCTCAGGATGTCTAGCATGCACTGCTGTTTCCCAGAATGATTACAGTAACCCGTCGCTGGACCCTAACCTCATTCTGCACACAAGTAGTCCATGTTCATGCCCTTTCATCCACCTTCCCTTCCTCTCCTAACTATACTTTCTGATCCCTGTTTCCGTCTCCCAGGCTCCCCAGTACACAGCTCTTCCTTTCTGCTTTGGATACCTTCAAGGGAAGCATCCTCCCCTACTGCACTGGCCTATGGGACCCTGTGTGTTCTGCCTCCCCCCGTCATCTTATCAAGATTCACGTCTGCCTCGTGGCTTTATGGTGATTCCGGCCTATCTCTGGGCCCTCCGGGACAACCCTATGTTGTTGGCATCCACATCTCTGTCTGCATGGCACATGCACAGTCTTCATAAGTGTGATCCCGTTTCCTCCTGGACACTTCTGTGCTCTCTTTACCCCTTTGTTTTGACACATTTCATATATAAATGAATATGTAAGTATAGAAGCTTAAAGTAGTGCCTTGAGAATTCTATACAATCCATAAATCTCACTCCAGTATCCATAGTGAAACAGCATTAAATTAATTCTGAAGCAAAAATAACACAATCTCAAGAAATTCATGATCTTGTTGGAAAGACAGAACTCACCTCATCAAACACCCTTAAAGGAAAGCTCGACTCAGTGGCAATTTAACGTGGTTGAATTCTAGAATAGTGTTCAAGTACAGAACAGATCTAACTGCCCAGAAATACTGCACCTGTGGTCAGCAAGTGCTCCAAGGCATCTGAGTACTGCAGCAGGCGACTGCTGTACAACCAGGACTGCAGGCGGTAACTGTTGCCATCATTGCTTCTCGGATCATCGTAAAATTTCTCCAAACTACAGTTGCCATTATAGTCGGTGGCGAGGGGCTTCCCATCTCCTGTGGTACTGTCTGGATAATGAATCCCCGCTTCAGGAAAGTGCTTGAAGCCTGAAAAGAGAAACAGTCGGATGCAGTCTGATGCACATCACTCACTCCCCGCAGGGAGCAGTGGGGACTAGCCAAAACACACAGCCCGCCCGAATCTCACCGCCAGGGATGGAGCCAATGACCTAGAGAAAGTCACCTACATGCCTGGGTTTCATCACGTATGAAGGGAACACACAACATATACAAGCAAGCATGTGAGCGAAAGAGCTTGCACAGTGCCCTTATCCAGGTTCCTCCTGAAAGGACTGCTCCCTGTAACCACAGGAGCCCCCTCTAGCGGGCAGCTGCTGTCATGCAGGTGCTACAGAAAGGTACAATGGACACTCAGCTGCACCAGGAGTCAGGAAGGGGCTCTAACCTTGGCTTTGGGACCCAGCTATGTGGCATCTGCTCACTCAGGAGTACACCCATCTGTGAGTGAGTACCATCCTCGGCTCTATTTCAGAGGCTGTCACAAAGTTCAAACACGACAGTTTATGTGGAAGTGCCCTGCTTACACTGCCCACATAAAATTCCAATTCAAATTGACAACCAGCATGGATTTTCACAAATTTTCCAAACATAAAAGATTAAAAACAGCTTTTTCTTGTTTCGTTTTATAAAACAGCTTTTTCAATAAACAAAAATGTGAAATACCCACCTTAGGCCCAATTATTAAATATTTAATATTATTTAATATTAATATTGAAGAAAAACCAGTGAAATAAGCAACCATATATCTGAGAAAAAGGTATCATTCTGTGTAACATAAAATCATACCTAGTTTCTCTGCTATTTCTTTTGCAAGTTTGCCTTTTCCAGTACATATATTGCCATCTACAGTTATCACTCTGCTGCGTTCTGTCAGTCTTTTGCTTGCTTTATCCCCAAGTAGGAAATGCCACATTCCATAGCGCAGTTTGCACTGCACACTGCTATGAATTCCTCTCTGAAAAACACAAAATCACACAGCAGCACATTGTGACCACTCTGGTTCCTGTAGGCATTAGTAACTATTAGGTAAAAATACCAAGAAACCTCTTAGTGATAAAAATGCCAACATCTACATCTTTATTGCCTATTAATTTGTTTAATTATCTGTCTATCCCCCACCACTCTGTCCATGTAAGTTTCGTTAAAGGCAGATATACTGTCTGTTTGTTCACTGCTAAATCCTCAGGCCCTGGAACAATGCCTGAAATTTTTATTAAATATGTTTACTATGTTCAATAAAAATTGGAGGGAGGGAGGGAGGGGTGGATGGATGGATGGATGGACGGACAGACGGGAGGAAGAAAGACAGGGATGGAGGGAAGCTCAGGAGTGAAGGGAAGGGAATAAAAAACATTTCTCTAATCCAAGCTTCTGTCCCCATGTCCTGACCTCGTTACCCCACTGCCTATTAAACAGCTCCACCTAGATGTCCTGAAGGCACCTGAAGGTAACAGAGCTAAGGTGAAATGCAACATCCATATCCTAGCCCCCAAGTCTGCTTTCCCTCACAGCAAGGAATATCCACTACCTAACAAGCAAAAGAGAGCAAATTTGAGTGTCGTCTTTGATACCTTTCTCCTTCCTTCAACTGCAGAATTACACACAAAATCCTAACTGTTCAGACTCTCTGGACACTGCATCGCCTCCCTATGCCATGTGCTGACTCTGTCGGCACCCTCACACCTCTCATCTACAAGGCAAAGACCTGCTTCAATGCCTGTCTCCAGCAGCCCAATTTACTCTCCACACTAAAGTGGGAACATTCCTTCCAAAAAAAGAAAAGAAACATAACCAAAAGTAAAACAAACTGAAGAAGTTCAACAGATATGATGGGGTAATAACCTTACTATATACAGAAATTGTACAGAACAATAAGAAAACAAAGAATAAAAACACACAGCTTATTTTAAAATTATAAAATATAGCCAAAAACCACATGAAAAAGTGGTCAACCTTGCTACAAAAAAACAAAAGACTATTAACAAGGAAACATTAGTTTTTCATGTGTCAAAATGAGAAATAATTTAAAAAATGATTACAGAGTTAGGACAAGACAATGAGTACCATCCTAAACTGCTAATGGTAATGAAACCTAGAGGACGCTGGGTCTACAGCATTAGGAATCCATTCAAAGAGTATATACATAAGATTGACCTATAAGGATGCTCAATGAAGTATGATGTAACACCAAAAATGCAAATAGAAACCCTTAAATGTCCAACAACGGAGGAATAGTTAAACAAAATTAAGGCATATCCATATTATGGAATACTAAGTACTCAGAAAAACACAAAAATATTAAAATACTTTATAGTGAAATTTAAATAAAACAGGAGAATATGAAATATCAAGATATTTTTCGATCTTGATTTGATAACTGAAGAGTAAGGAAGAAACAAGTTACAAAACAAGGCAAAGCAGACAACCCAATTTAAAAATGGGCAAAAGATGTAAACACCTCTCGCAAATGAAATTAACGCAGATAGCAAATAAGTATATGAAAAGATGAACACTGTATATCATGAGATATTCCAAAGTTGAAACAAGATACCACTACGCAGCTATCAGAATGGATAGCAATCCAAAGTAACCGACAGCCCCGCATGCTGGCGAGCACGCAGAGCAACAAGGAGAGCCTTCACTTCTGGTGGGAGTCAAATGGCACAGTCACTCTGGAAGATGGCTTGGCAGCTTCTTAGAAAACTAGTCTTACTACATGAGTAATCGCTCTTCCAGGTATTACCCAAATGATATAAAAATGTATTTCCAAAAAGAAATCTGCATGTACACGATTACAGCAGCTTTATTCATAATTGCCAAAAACTTGAAGCAACCAAGATGCCCTTCAATTGCTGAATGAATTGAAGTACATCCATGCAATGAGATATTACTCAGTGATTAAAAAGAAATGAGTTACCAAGCCACGAAGACATAAGTGAATCTTACATAGATATTTCCAAGTATTCAAGGCGTCTGAAAAGGCAATATATTGTATGATTCTAATTATATGACATTCCAGAAAAGGCAACTATGGAAATGTTAATGAGATCTGTGGTTGTCAGGGGTTGGAGAAAAAGAAGGGTTTAATAGGTAAAGCAGAGGGGAATTTTTTAAGGCAGTGAAGCTACTCTGTACGAACCTATAATGGTGGAGACATGCTATTACACACGTGTCAAAACCTATAGAACCTTATAGCACAAAGAAAAAATCCATAGAACCTTATAGCACAAAGAATGCGCTCAATGTATGCACATTTTAAAAAACGCATTAGGTAGAAGGATCCCAAGATGTAAGGCAGAATGTGACAAAGCAATCCAACTGTGTTACAAATGTATGAAACGATTTCACTGAAGAAGGTGGGGGCAAAATGCTAAGAAATGAGAGTAGTCAGTCAGAGTAAAGGCAAAAGGAAGCGGACACAAGCACTGAACTCCGTGTCTGCTCAACATGGCATCACCCAAGCACCCAGCAGGGCCCGACCTTTAAACGGCTCTTGACAGGGCTGCTACGTGAATTATCTAATGACAAGCGCGTGTGCCCCCGGCCTGCCACCTGCACACGGGCCTCCCGCATCAGGGCAGCCTCGGGGCCCTGATCACCTCCGCGCTCCAGCGTTTTGCTTAAAGCTGAGATAAAATGGCCTGGAGAAGCTCGTGGCCCCCTGAGGTCTGTCCACGACCAAAGACCAAACAATTCCGGAGGCAGGAGGGGTCCCCCAAACCCACCCGGAGAGCGACCTGGGAGCCGCCGCCAGAGGCCGGGGGAGATGTGGAACTGCTCCCCACCCCGCCACCCCGCCACCCTGCCACCCCGCCACCCTGCCACCCCGCCGCCCGCTCACCACGCGCTGGGCGCCCGCCGCCACGACCCGGGCGGACGCGGACGTCGCTGCCAGCTTCAGGAGCCGCAAGGCCATGGCTACCCGGTCAGCTCAGGATCAAGGACCCAAGGGGACGCGGTCGCGACGGGGCCCTCTCTCGCGGCCGGCGCGCTGCCGTGACGTCACGGCCGGGGTGCCCGCGGCGCCTGTCGGGAACCTTCCAGGGGGCGGGGCCGCGCCGAGGCCCTCGGGGGCTTCCGCGGAGACAGCCAGTGCGCTGCCAGGGTCCTGCGGGTTGGGGCGAGGGCCGAGAGGTGGGAGTTGGAGGTGAACGTGGGGGCAGCATGCTGGCTGCCCGGCCCCTGCCTGGGTTCTGAGTTGCTGCGGTGTCGCGGGAGCTGAGGCCGCCCAGGGCGTGGAGCGACTTCTGCGTCTCGTCCCAGGGTCCTGTGCTCCCCGCAGAATCCCCCAGGCGCGGTGTGGACGTCAAAGCGACCTCCTAGAGAACATTCCTAGCTCTCAGAACGTTCTCGCTGGGGAGGGAAAGTGGAAAAAGAGGGGGCGAGGAGCGGAGGGACGGGGTGGGACCCCTGTCGCGGGGCGCCTGTCAGGGAGAGGGACCTGGCAAGGCCGGCCTGGGTCGCCTCCGGAGCTGAAGGCTAAGTGGTCTCATCCAGGGGACCTGCTGTGAACACATTGAATAGCATAGAAAACAAAAGCACACGCTCCAAGTCCATCTCTTTTTTTTTTTTTTTTTTTTTTTTTTTTTTTTTTTTTTTTTGAGGCAGAGTCCCGCTCTGTCGCCCAGGCTGGAGTGCGGTGGCGCCATCGCGCTCACTGCAAGCTCCGCCTCCCTGGTTCACGCCATTCTCCTGCCTCAGCCTCCCGAGTAGCTGGGACTACAGGCGCCCGCCGCCACACCCGGCTAATTTTTTGTATTTTTAGTAGAGACGGGGTTTCACCATGTTAGCCAGGATGGTCTCGATCTCCTGACCTCGTGATCCACCCGCCTCGGCCTCCCAAAGTGCTAGGATTACAGGCGTGAGCCACCGCGCCGGCAAGTCCATCTCTTAAAATGTGCTCCCGTCAGGACCTGGGCTCTGGGCTCCACGAAGGAGCCTTGCATGTGAGGTTTCCTTCCAAGTATGCCTGCTGTTGGGAAGGGTTTTTATAATCTTTTGTGTTCCCCAGGCTTTTTGTTCTTAACCCCTTAAATATTCTTTAACTTTGTTTTCAACTTTTCAGAAATGATCATGCGATTGTAAAACAGTGGGAATGCAGCTGTGTAAACTACGGCCGGTTCTATGGATGTTTCTATAATTGAAGAATTGCTTTTTGTCAAAAATACGGATTCCCGGTCCCCAACGCAGGAGGGTCTGGTTTTTAGATCCTGGAGGGCACCTGAAATCCATTTAACAAGCTTTAGGGTTCATGTCTGCTGTTTTTTGCCTTGTTTCCTTTGCATTTTTTTTTTTTTTTTTTTTTTGTGCCTTCCAATGGATACAGTACATTTTTTTAGAATTCCATCTTGATTTACTGATAATGTCTTGGGAAATATCATTATGTATAGTTTTCGTAGTGGTTCCTCTAGGTATCACAGCACGCAGACGTAACTTCTCACAACCTGTTTGCGTGGATGTTTTGTTGTACCTGAGCGAGTTAGAAAAACACCACCTTTGAGACGAATTAAGAGTCCTTTATTAGCTGGCGACCGAGAGACGGCTAACGCTCAAAATTCTCTCAGCCCCGAGGAAGGGGCTTGATTAACTTTTATACCTTGGTTTAGGAAGGGGGGGGGGTCTAGTTAAAACAATTTTACAGAAGTAAAGTAGTCAAAAAGTTAAAAGGGTAAATGGTTACAGGAAAGTAAACAGTTCAAGGTGCAGGGGCTTTAAGACTATTACAAGATGATAGACCCGGGGCTTTGGGCGTTATCAATCGGACAAATTCCTGGGAACTGCGGATGTAGCTTGCCACAGTATCTTACCAGTTAATTGCATTCTTGGATGTGGTGGGAGTCAGCCTGCACAAGTTAAGTCCTTGAGAAAGGGGCTGCCAGTGAAAGAGCCAAGATGGAGTCTGTCTGGCTCTCTTAGCTAAGGGAGAGTCAATTCAGGTGGAAACAGGGCTAGGTGATTAAAGGAAAAGGGAGAGTCTGAAAACAGTTAGTAAAAACCAGGTTGGGCATTACAGTTTTACTGGTTCAAGGGAAGTATTACTATATACTTCCCCGTCCCTCCGCTTCTCGCCCCCCTTTTTCCGTTTTCCCTCCCCAGCTAGAACGTTCTGAGAGCTAGGAATGTTCTCTAGGAGGTCGCTTTGACGTCCACACTATATTAGACAGCATGAAAATAACTTCAGACCCCAATAGACCAATATCTCTCGTGAACTTAGACACAAAAATCCTTAACGAAATGTTAGCAAATTGAATCCAACACTATATGAAATGAATCATACACCACAACCCAAGGTGGTTTATTCAGAAGATGCAAGGCTAATCTGGTATTTGAAAATCAACCAATGTAATACACCTTACCAGCAGGTGAAAGACGAAATCTATGACCAGATTGCCTGATGCAGTTTTCTGCATCACTTGACAAAATTAAATACTCATTTATGATAAAAACAAAAACTGCTCTCAGCAAATAAGGACTAAAGGGGAGCTGCTTCAGCTTGATAAAGCACATGCGTGAAAACTCTGCATCATTGTACTTAATCATGAAAGACTGAATGCTTGCCTTCTAAGGAGGAAACAAGGCAAGGATATCTGCTCTGCCCACTCTTATTCAACAGAGCACTGGAAGTTCTAGTAATAGGCCATGCAGTATGGCAAAAAATAAAAAATGAAATTCATACAGATCAGAAAGGAAGAAATAAAACTGTCTATTTTTAGTTGACATGACTGTTCACATAGAAAACCCAAAGGAATCTACAAAAACCTCCTGGAACTAATGAGTGAGCGCAGCAAGTTTGCAGGCTGCAATGTCAACATATGAAAATCAGCTGCATCCTATGTACTAACAACAAACAGAAGGAAACTGAAATAAAAGATGGAATACCATTTACAGTTGCTTCAAAGAAAATATAATATTTAGGTCTAAATCCAGCAAAACACACACAGAATCTGCATATTAAAAAGTACAAAACACTGATTTAAAGAATGAAGACCTCAATAATTGGAGGGGTTTACTATGTTCATGGATTGAAAGACTCAACAGAGTAATGAAGTCAGTTCTTCCCAAATTGATTTTTAGGTTTAATGGAATTTCTAGCAAAATCTCAGCGAGGTTCTCTTGTAGACATTGACAGGCTTACTATAAAATTTATATAAAAATATAAAGGCTGTACAATAGCCACAATAATTTTGAAGCAGAAGAATAAAGTGGGAGGAGTCACTCTTCCAGTGTTAAGATTTACTACATAATCATATAAATCAAGACTGTGTTGTATGGATGGAGGGTGTGATATTGATAGATACGTAGATCAATTTAACAGAACAGAGGATCCAGAAATAAGCCAGCACAAATATTCTCAACTGACGCAGTAGTGCACCACACAATGACATTTGGTGAATGATGAACTGAACGGCACATAAGATGGTGGTCCCATAAGATTATGACATTATATTTTGACTTACCTTATCTGTGTTTAGATGCATAAATTATGGATGAGCACAGTGGCTCACACCTGCTGGGACAGGTGGGACAGGGTTTCACCCAGCATAATGTATTATGTATATATAATACACAATACAGTATATGCATTATCCCAGTATATGTATTATCCCAGTATGAATGTATTATGCATTGTGTATTATACAGTATAAATGTATTATTTATTATGAATATTGGATAGCAATGAGAATGCATGAATTATTGTTACATGCAAAAACATCAAGGATTCACTCAAGCAACACGGTGAATGAAAGAAGCTGAACATAACAGGGCACATACTTTATGTGTAAGCCCCTCAGAAACACCAATGCTAGCATCTGGTTTTGGAAGTCAGGACAGTGCTTTTTGTGGAGAAGGGTTAATGACTGGGAGAGGGCGTGAAGGCAGCTTCTAGTTCTTGATCTGGGAGCTGGTTCCATGAGCACAGTCCTTTTGTGAAAACATATGCAGACGAAGGCTTGTTACTTGTGCACAGTTGTGTAGGTTTGTTAAATTTCACTTAGTTCTGTAGGTTTGTTAAATTTAACTTAAAAATTAATTTAAAGAGCACAAAGTGCCACATACAATGTTGTTTCATCACTACAGATTTTACTCTAGGACATTTAGTTGTCTTAGTGTGAAGTTTGACCCAAGCCCAAGGCCTTTTTCAAGGCGTCCTTAAATTCCTTGTTCCTCAGGCAGTAAATCAAAGGGTTAATTATTGGCGTGACAACAGTGTACACGGCAGAGATGAGCTTGTTGGAGCTCTGGGAATCAATGGCTTGGGGCCGGACATACATGAAAAGCAAGGCTGTATAGAAGACGGTGACCACGGTGAGGTGAGAGGCGCAGGTAGAGAAGGCTCTCCAGCAGCCGGTGGCCGAGGGGATGCGCAGGACAGCCAGGGTGATGTGCCAATATGACAGTATGGTGGCCAGGAGCGGAAACACCAGGATGATGAAGGCCAGGATGAAATCCACCAGCTCTGCAGTGGAGAAGTCCGTGCAGGCCAGCTTGAGGATGGGGGAAATGTCACAGAAGAAGTGGTTCAAGACGTTGGAGCCACAGAACGTGACGCTGGAGATAAAACAGACCTTGATCATGGAGATGGTGAAGCCACTCACAAAGGAGAAGCCCACCAGCTGGAGGCACAGCCCCGGGGTCACAAGGACGTGGTAGCGCAGCGGGTGGCAGATGGCCACGTAGCGGTCGTAGGCCATGGAGGCCAGAAGCACACACTCGGTGCACACCAGGGAGCTGAAGAAGTAGAGCTGCGTCATGCACCCGACGAAAGAGATGCGTTTCTGCTGGAGGAGGAAGCCCTCCAGCATCTTGGGGGTGATGTCAGACACGTACCAGATCTCCAGGAAAGACATGGAGCTCAGAAAGTAGTACATGGGCCTGTGGAGGGAGGTGCTGCTCCAGACGATGAGGATGATGGCCAGGTTCTCCACCAGGACAAAGAGGTAGGTGAGCAGGAAGAGGAGGAAGAGC
This sequence comes from Homo sapiens, assembly GCF_000001405.40. Lineage (NCBI taxonomy): Eukaryota > Metazoa > Chordata > Mammalia > Primates > Hominidae > Homo > Homo sapiens. The sequence continues at coordinate 240,030,353 of NC_000002.12, forward strand.
AGGTACTGCAGCCCTGGGGCCGTGGGGAGGCCCACCAGGATGAAGGTGCTGACCTTGGTGACATTCTCCCCACTCATGCCTCTGTGCTTGGGAGCTGCAGGCCTACAAAACATCAAAGAGCAAGAGGAAAGGGCTGCAGGGCAGCTGAGGCAGAGAGAGAGTGGAGCTGGACTTGGATGGGGAGTTTTGGTGCAAAGAGAGGCCACGTGGCTCCCCAGAGCACCAGGAGAGAGCAGTGATCTGCTGATCTTCTGAGTTTTAAAGTAGAAAACTTCTGTGTGCTTGCATTTACATATAACCATGAAGTAGGAATGAGGAAGAGAGTATATGCTGAGGAACAGAGCCGGGCAGCTCCAGGGTGGGCAAAACCCAAAGCTCTGAGTCCAGGGGCACTACCAGTCCACACGTGCCTGGGGCAGCTCTCAAGATCCAAGTGGGCATGGACACAGAGCTGGCCCTCCTTAGGGTCCTTCATCTGAGGGTTCCTGCAAGTCGGGGCAGCAGCCTCGGCATGAGGTGAGGGGCTATCAGCCTACCAGGGCAGAACCCCAAACTGGGCTAACCAGCCGGAGGAATGCAGGGAGGGCTCCCAGGAAAGGGCTGCCTGGCTCTGGGGGACCTGGTCCACAGGTGGGGGAGAGAGAGGGTAGCCACAGCCCCTTGCCCCACAGGGCATCTGGTGGTTCTTTTCATTGGCAGTCTAGGTGGGTTGAATGGCAGACTTCCACCAGCTCACAGCTGGGGAGGGTGACCCCAGGTTTCTGGCCCAGGATGCTAAAAATTGATGAGAAGACTAGGAGAGGGCCAGGTGGGTGCCGAATAATCTGGAGTCTGTGCTGGGGAGGCGTGGTGCGCGGCACTTACTGGAGAGCCTCATGGTGACGTGTAGGGGGTTGGCTAGACAAGTCGAGTTCATGGAAGAGTTGCAGGCTGAAAAACAAACTTCTAGAAGGGAATTGCCCAGGGACAGGTTTACACTTGGAAACGCACCTGTACTCCTGCCGTCTAGGGTGAGCATTCTGTGGGAACCCAAGATCATCCACTGGGGCGGCATGGCCATTCCCTGCCTTAAAATGCCAGCGTGCAGTTCAGAGTTTAGGATCAATTTCACAAGCATTTACTACTCACTCCAGTCACCGCCTACTGTCTCCCCAAAACAAAAGCAATAAGAACCCCTGCCATTAAAGGGGTCTCAAGATGTGAGTCTGAATGTAGCCTCTCTAGACACCATCCAGGGTGGTGACTGTGTCCTCTTCCCAGCTGAGTGGCCACAGGGGGCTTTAAAGTCCACAAGGAGGAAAGTTGGGGTCCACAGGAGCTCCTTGGAAGGCCAGCAGCCCCCACCTGTTGACTGGGTTTGCTGGGGAGAGCTGGCGGTGGGGGTAGTGAGCTTTGGTTCTTGTGCTTTTAACCCAGAACAGTAGAGGCACCTATAGATTTCTCTTGATTATTTGGATAGTGGTAACTGATCATTAGTGAGTTGGCTAGTTAATACCGGATTGATTCATTAAATTGAAACTGTGTTACTTTACAAATTCAGGGCCCTTTACAGCACACTCTATCCATCCCCTGAACTTGTTAGACAATGGCTGCATTTTCTTTTAAATAAACTTTTTATTTTGGAATAATTTTAGATTTACAGAAAAGTTACAAAGAGAGTGCAGAGAGCTCTGGGAGATCCTCCATTCAGCTTCCTCCAAGGCTAACTTCCTACATGAAGAGGGTATATTTGTCACAGTAAGGGATTGATATTGGTATTACTGTGGACTAAACTCCAGACTTTGGCTTTCATCTTTTTTTCCCTCGAATGCCCGTTTCTGTTCCAGGGTACCCCATCGCTGCGGGCATGGCTGCCTTTTTAACTTGGCTGTACCTCCCTGGTTTCTGTGGACAGACTGAAAGTCCAAGCGGACGCTGCCGAGGGAGGCTGGCATCCTCTCATCGTAAACAAGGTTCTCCAATATGTTACAAAGACTGTTTTTGCCCAGTCACAAATTCAAACCTAGGTCTCCAATCTGAGAGAGGAAAGTGAAGCTTTCCGTACCACAGAACGGATGTATTTTGGGGTGGTCCGTGAGACGGGTACTGCAGTAGCTCCTCCCGGCTGCACCTACCATCAGCCTGCAGCCATTTACTCTGATGCCTTCCCTGGTGCCTGGCAGAGCCACCCAGAACCAGTCCTCGTCAATGATGAGTGAGCAAATGCTGTCTGCCCCATTCAGCCACCTGAGGCTGCTGGCTGATTCTGGGTATGATGTTAGACATCAGGGCATAACCCAATGCCTGTGAATATGTACCCAGCACAGTACTCAAAAATGCAAGGGCCATTTATGGAGCATCCATGAGCCATCCTGCTTGGTGCTGGCCGTGAGACTGCAGAGGGGAGTCCCTGCTCCAGACTGTATGTGGGGGGCATGTGGAGTGGGGATTGTCAATCACACACATAAAAGAAGAGCTCTCTCCCCATGCAAGGAATACAACGTACCCTAAAATCACAGCGAAAGGAGCCCATCGGCAACATGGAAAGTGCTGGATCCTACCTGGGGCGTCTGGAAGCCTCACTGCAAACGGCTGCAGCTGCCTGCAGGAGTGAAGAGTGGCTTCTGCCTGTGTCCAGCAACTCCCAGTCTGGCCACAGTGACCAGACGAGCCTTGAACATGCTCTTGAGAAGTGGGCTGCCTGAGGCACTGGGGAGAAACCACTGTGGCTTTTTCTGATGAGCATAGGGACTCCAGGGTCCAATTATCCCCCTGATGATGGAAAGGCCCACACTGCCAATTAGGTGAGCCTGTGCCTCTGGGGCCAGGCTGGCCCCTGCCTGGCTGAGGGCACCCAAGCAGAGGCTGTTGAGCCCGCTCCTGGCTCCCTGTTTGGGCCCTTCGCCCTCCTCAGTGGCTATCTATCTCCCACACTCCCTACTGGAGGAGCTGCTGTCCATGGGCCACCCTTGTTCCTGCACAGCCCGCACCCTCTGAGGGAAGAATTTGTCCCACCTGACCTCTGTTTCCTCTCTGGTCCAATTTTTCCGACCTCCCCTGTTCTCGCCACTCTAATTCCATGGCCCCAGGTGCTCCTCAGATAGGCTGGCTCCTGCCACCCCGCTTGGGGCTTTGGGACTCACTGTGCCCTCTGGAATGTTCTCCTTCCGCATCAGCCCGCCCCCTCCCTCACTTCCTACAATCCCACACCCAGCCAGGACATTCCTTTTTCCTCCCCTGCCAGATGAGGAAAGGGAGAAACCCTCTCTGGCCTCTCCCAGCTGCCAGGGGAGAAACCCTGTCTGGCCTCTCCCAGCTTCTGGGGGCTCCTGGCTTCAGGGTCTGTGGCACCAACACTTTGATCTCTGCATCTCAGGTCACGTCACCTCCCATGATCTGTGTGTCAGATCTCTTCTGTGTGTCTCCTTATATGAGTGTTTATTATTTTCAAATTTATGCATAATAGATGAATATGTTTTTGGAGTACATATGATAATTGAATGCAATTATAATTTGTAAATATCAAATCAGTGTAAATGGGCTATTCATCACCTGAAATATTTGTCTTTTCTTTATACCAGAAACATTCAAATTATTTCTCTTATGACTATTTTGAAATATGCAATAGATTACTGAAAACTATAGTCACCTTACTGATCTCTAATGCTCAGTCTTATTTCTTCTATCAAACTATACATCTGTATCCATTAATCAACCTCGCTTCATCCCGCAGTCCCCTATACCCTTCCCAGCCTCTCATAACCACCAATCTACTATTTCCATGAGATCCACTTTTTAAGCTCCCACATATGAGTGAGAACATGCGATATTTGTCTTTGTGCCTGGCTTATTTCACTTAACATAATGACCTCCAGTTCCATCCATGTTGCTGCAAATAACAAGATTTCATTCTTTTTATGGCTGAATAATATTCCACTGCATATAGTACCACTTTTTTTAATCCATTCATCCATTGAGGTGGACACTTAGATTGATTCCATATTTTGGCTATTGTGAATAGGGCTGCAATAAACATGGGAGTGCAGATATTTCTTCAATGTATTGATTTGCTTTCTTTTGGAGATATACACAGTAGTGGAAAGGTTGGATTTTATGGTAGTTCTATGTTTATTTTTTTGAGAAACCGCCATTGTGTTGCCTATAGTGGCTGTACTGATGCCCACTTTCACCACTTTTGTTCAATCGTAGTACTGGAAGTCCTAGTCAGAGCAATCAGGCAAGAGAAAGAAATAAAAGGCATCCAAATTGGAAAGGAGGAAATTATATTAGTCTTGTTTGCAGACAACATGATCTGATAGTTTGAAAAACCTAAGAACTCCACCAAAAATAATGTATATTCATCAACAATGAATGAGGGTTCTGCTTTCTCTACATTCTCACCAAAAACTATTATTCCCTGTCTTTTTTAAAATAAAAGCCATTTTAAATGGGATGAGATGGCATCTCACTGTGGTTTTGATTCACATTTCTGTGATTATTAGTGATGTTGAGCATTTTTTTACAAACCTGTTTGCCATTTGTATGTATTCTTTTGAGAAATATATATTCAGATCTTTTGCCCATTTTTAAATGAGATCATTTGGGTTTTTTGCTTTTTTTTTGCCACTGAGTTGTTTGAGCTCCTTATATATTCTGGTTATTAATCCCTTGTCAGATAGATAGTTTGTAAACATTTTCTGTGGGTCGTCTCTTCACTCTGTTGATTGTTTCCTTTGTTGTGTAGAAACTTTTTAGTTTGATGTAATCTTATTTCTCTGTTTTTGCTTTGGTTGCCTGTTCTTTCCAGGTCTTACACAAGATCATTCTTTGCCCAGACCAATGTCCTGGAGTGTTTCCGCAATGTTTTCTTCTAGTGGTTTTATAGTTTTGAGTCTTAGATTTAAGTCTTTAATCCATTTGGATTGAATTTTTGTATGTGGTGAGAGATGGGGGTCTAGTTTCATTCTTCTGCATATGGATATCCAGTTTTCCCAGCACGATTTATTGACGAGACTATCCTTTCCTCATCATATGTCTTTGGCACCTTTGTTGAAAAGGAGTTCACTGTAAATGTGTGGATTTATATCTGGGTTCTCTATCCTGTTCCATTGGTCTATGTGTCTGTTTCTATGCTAGTAACATGCTGGTTTGGTTACGGTAGCTTTATAGTATATCTTGAAGTCACGTCGTGTGAGGCCTCCACCTTTGTTCTTTTTGTTCAGGATTGCTTTGGTTATTAGGGGTCTTTTGTGATTCCATATAAATTTTAGGATTTTTTTTCTATTTCTTTGAAGAATATCACTGGTATTTTGATAGAGATTACATTTAATCTGCAAATTCCTTTGGGAAGTATTGTCATTTTAACAATATTAATCCTTCCAACTAATAAGCATGAAGTATCTTTCCATTTTCTGTGTCGTCTTCAATTTTTTTCATTAGTGTTTCATAGTTTTCATCTTACAGATCTTTCACTTCTTTAGATAAATTGAGTCCTAGGTATTTTATATTCTTCATAGCTATTATACATGGGTTTGCTTTTTAATTTTTTTTTAGATCGTTCACTGTTGGCATATATAAATAGTACTGACTTTTGCATGTTGATTTTGTATCCTGCAACTTTACTGAATTCGTTTATTAGTTCTAAACATTTTTTTTTTTGGTGGAGTTCTTAGGTTTTTCTAACTATCAGATCATGTTGTCTGCAAACAAGACTAATATAACTTCCTCCTTCCCAATTTGGATGCCTTTTATTTCTTTCTCTTGCCTGATTGCTCTGGCTAGGACTTCCAGTACTATGCTTGAATAAAAGTGGTGAAAATGGGCATCCTTGTTTAGTTCCAAACCTTAAAGGGAAGGTTCTGAAATTTTCCCAATTCAATATGATGTTAACTGTGGGTTTGTCATATATCGCCTTTATTATTTTGAGGTATGTTCCTTCTAAACCCAGTTTTTTATCACAAACAAATGTTGAATTTTGTCAAATGCTTTTTCAGTATCTGTTGATATGATCGCAGTCTTTTTTCTTGGTTCTTTTAATGTGATGTATTACATGTGCCAATTTGCGTATGGTGAACCATTCTTTCATCCCTGGGATCAATCCTACTGGATCATGGTGAATGATCATTTTAACGTGTTGAATTCAATTTACTAGTATTTTGTTGAGAATTTTTGCATTTGTGTTAATCAGGGATATTGACCTGTAGTTTTCTTTTCTTGTTGTGTGCTTGCCTGGTTTTGGTACAAGGGTAATGCTGGCCTCATGGAATGAGTTTGAAAGTATTCTCTCCTCTTCAATATTTTGAAGGTTTGAGTACCATTGTTATTAGTTTTTTAAATGCATGGTATAATTCATCGCTGAAGCTACTGGGTCCTGGGCTTTTCTTTGATGGGAGACCTTTTATTACATCTTCAATCTAGTTATTTTTTTATTGGTTTGTTAAGGTTTTCTATTTCTTCATAGTTTACTCTTGATAGGTTGTATGTGTCTAGGAATTTATCTATTTCTTCCAAGGTTTCTAACTTATTGGTGTATGGTTCTTCATACCAGTCTCTAATAATTCTTTGTATTTCTGTGGTCTCGGTTGTTGTTTCCTCTTTAGTTTGTGATTTTATTTATTTGGGTCTTCTCTCTTTTTTTCTTAGTCTAGCTAAAGACTTGTTATTTTGTTTATCTTTTCAATACACAACTTTTTGTTTAATTGATCTTCTGTATTATTTTTTAAGTCTCAATTTACTTTCTGCTCTGATCTTTATTATTTCTTTCCTTCCACCAGTTTTGGCTTTGGTTTGTTTTTGCTATTCTAGTTCCTTGATGTGTATCAGTAAGTTGTTTATTAGAAATCTTTCTACGTTTTTGAAATAGGCATTTATTGGTATAAAATTCCCTTTTGCTATATCCCATAGATTTTGGTATATTTTCATTTTTATTTGTTTCAATTATTTTTTAAATTTCCTTATTAATTTCTTCATTGATCCATTGGTTGTTCAGAAGCATGTTATTTAGTTTTCATGTGTTCGTGTATTTTCTGAGATTCCTCTTGTTATTGATTTCTAGTTTTATTCCATTATGATCAGAAAAGGTACTTGAAGTGATTTATACTTTTTTGAACTTGTTGAGATTTGTTTTATGGCTTAAGATGTGGCCTATTCTGGAGAATGTTCCATGTGCTGAAAAGAATATGTATTTCTGCAGCAGCTGGCTGATGTGTTCTATAAATGTCAGTTAGGCCTATTTGGTCCAGTGCATAGTTTAACTCCCACATTTCTTTGTTGATTTTCTGTCTGAATGATCTGTTCATTGCTGAAAGTGGAGTGTTGAAGTCCCCTGCTATCCCTTTAGATCTGTTTAATGTTTGCTTTATATACTTGGAAGCTTCAGTATTGGGTGCATAGCTATTTAAACTTGTTATATCCTCTTTCTGAATTGACCTCTTTATCATTATATAGTAACATTGTTTGTCTCTTTTTACAGTCTTTTATTTGTAGCCTATGTTATCTAAGTATGGCTACTACTGATATTTGTTTGTTTCTAGTTGCATCAAATATCTTTTTCCAACCCTTGACTTTCAGTTTGTGTCTTTATAGATGAAGTCAGTTTCTTGTAAGCAGCATATGGTTTAATCTTGTTTCCTCATCTATTTGGCCATTCTGTGCCTTGTAATTGGAAAATTGAGTGCATTTACATTCCATGTTATTATTGATAAGTAGAGACTTACTACTGCCATTTTGTTACTTGTTTTCTAGGTGTTTTGTAACTCCCATTTTCGTTTTTTTTTTTTTTTTAATGTCTTCCTTTGTGGCTAAGTGATTTTCTCTGGTAGTATGTTTAATTTATTGCTTTTTTAATTTTTAGTGAATCTCTTATAAACTTTTGCATTGTGGTTACCATGAAGCTACAAAAATATCTTATAGATATTGGATGTTTTATTATTTTAAAGAGATGAAGACTTATGTCACAAAGAATAGAAACAAACAAAGGAAAAATGAAAACCCTCTACACTAACTCCATCCCCCTCCACATTTTAACTTTATGTTGTTTCAATTTACAGATTTTTATATTGCCTATCTCTTAACAAGTCACTGTGGGTATTACTGTTTTTGATAGAGCTGTCTTTTGGGCCTCATACTCAAGTTATGAATGCATTGCACACCGCAATTACAGTATTATAGTATTCTGGATTTGTCCATGTATTTAATTTTACCAGTGAGGTCTATACCTTCACGTGCTTTCTTTCTGCACAGTAATGTTTTTTTCTTTTGGATTGAAGAACTACCTTTAGCGTTTCTTGTAGGATAGGTCTGATGGTGGCGAATTCTCTCAGCTTTTGTTTGTCTGGTAAAGACTTTATCTCCCCTTTATATTTGAAGGATATCTTTGCTGCATACAGTATTCTTGACTGACCTTTTTTTTTTCTTTTAGCACTTAGAAAATGTTATCCCACTTGCTCCTGACTTGTATGATTTCTGTTGAGAAGTCTGTTGCCAGACAAATTGGAATTCCTTTATAAATTATTTGCTTTTTTTCTCTTGCTACTTTTAGGATCCTCTCTTTGTCCTTGACCTTTGAGAGTTTGATTATTATATGCCTTGGCACAGTCTTATTTGGGTTGATTATGTTTGGTGTTCTTAGACTTTCTTGTACCTAGGTGTTTATCTCTTTCTCTAGTTTTGGGACGTTTTCTGTTATTATTTCTTTGAATAAGTTTTCTATTCCTTGCCCTTGCTCAACTCCTTCTTGAACATCAATAATTCTTAGGTTCAGGTTTTTGAAGTAATTTTCTGTATCTGGTATTGGGTGATCTTCATTCCTTTTTATTCATTGTTTTCTTTTTTCTCCTCTGACTCAGTGTTTTCAAATAACCTGTCTTCAAGCTCACTGATTCTTTCCTCTCCTTAATCCATTCATCTCTTGTGAGGCCCTAATGAATTTTTCAGTTCAGCAAAAGTATTTCTCAGTTCCAAGATTTCTGTTTGTTTGTTTTTTTATTGTTTCAATCTCTTGGTTACATTTCTCTGATACATTTCTGAATTGTTTTTCTGTGTTATCTTGGAGATCACTGAGTTTCCTTAAAACTGCAATTTTGCATTGTTGTTCAGAGAGTTCACATATCACTGTCTTGTTGGGGTCTGTCACTGGATCCTTGCTTTGTCCATTTAAGGAGGTCATGTTTTCTGTTTGCTGTTGTCTCCCATAGATGTGCATCTATAGTTTTTCACTGAAGGGTTAATTATTTATTCCAGTCTTCTCTGTCTGGCTTGTTTGGCTTTTATTAGATTTGTTTGCTTAGAGACTCCTTGTAATTTATCTATTGATTTTCTTTCTTCCCTCCCTGCCACCTCACTATGTTGCTGCTTTCTTTTCAACACTAGATGATTCCTTAAGCCCAGGTTTGCCTCAGCTCTAGTAAACAGTCAGAGTGCCAACCATCCCAAATGAGGGAGGCCCCAGAGGGAATATCCTGGTAGTGTGGGAAGGCTGGCTCACAGTTTGTGCCCAGGGAAGGTGTGGAACAAACCTCCTACAGCATGGTGCTGCTGAACTGCCACACTGATTTGACATCTTCTTTGGCTGAGTTACAGAACAGAGTCTCCAGAGCTGGGGTTGGTAGTCCTACCTTCCCGCTTTGTCTCTGCTGGCCTTAAGGCTGTTTTTCCCTTCAGGTGCTAGCAGTGCTAGCAGTGCTAGCAGCACTTCCTGTGGGTTGAGGCTGGGACAGATCTCCTGCCAGGAAACCTAAGAGAGTGAGGAAGCTGGTTGTCCACCTCAATCTCACTTTTTCCAGCGTAGAAACTGTGAGTCAGGGGGACATTTTCCGTGTCCTTTGTGCTGGGCAGTTTTGGGGAGAGGGATGTCGTGAATATGGAAGTCCAATTCTCTTACTGTCGGCTTGGAGTTTTTTTCACTTTTCTGTGGTTGCACGATCTTTTTCCTCCTCATATTTGAGTTCTTGGGTATTGCCGGTGATACTCTTGGTGCTATGTATTTGTTGTTCATTCTGTATGGGGGCAGGGGCAGGTGGAGAAGCCAGCTTCTATGCCATCATTAAAGAACTGGAATTCCCCCCCATGTGTCTCTTATAAGGATGCTCATCAATGCATTTAGGGCCCACCTGGATAATCCACACTGATCTCCCCATCTCCAGATCCTTAATTTAGTTACATCTGCAAAGACCCTTTTTCCAAATAAAGTTGTATTCACAGGTTCCAGAGATTTGACATAGACCTATATTTTGGGGCCATTTTTCAGCTGACTAGAGCTGATATATTTTTTTTTCCTTAGCATGTATGCCTGAATACCATTCTGAGTATTTTACCTATTTATTTTGTGTATTTCTCTCTCATCTAATAGATTGTAAACTGTATGAGGACTGAGATTTTTGTCGATTTTGTTCATCATTTACCTTGAGTGCCTAGATTAGTGTCTGGCACATAGTAGGTGCTTAGATGAATAAATGAGTAAATGAATGAATGACTCAGTTGGTTGTGACCAGAGAAGGGTATGGACAGAGAAGATGGAGTAATTTAACAGGAGACAAACCATGTCCCAGCCCAGCTGCCCGGGGAGGAAAATCAGCTCTCCACAGCCCTGAGAATGGCACCAGTAGCATCACTCTGAGCCTGTGCCTGGGTCCCTGGGCTGGCTACCCGGCCTAGAGCCCTTCCTCCAAATAAGGCAGGGACATGGGGTCTGACTCAGCAGGCCAAGTCGGGGTGGAGACCCAGATGATCAAATGCACATGAAGGAGGCAAACCCAAGGTCATGACACCCAGGAGACCCAGGAGGGAGGTCCTGACTGTGGATGGCAGGAAGTCTCAGCGCTCACTCTGTACCAACTGAGAGGGCGCCAGAGACTTAGAGGAGAGCAGTGGACTCTGGAAAGGACATGAGCTGGAGGTGGACAGTCAGTGGACAGTGGTGCTTCTGTGCAACAACGTGGGTGTCCAGCAGCAGCCTAGGGGTTGGCAGATGTGGAAGAGACAAGTGGGTTTTAATGGGGTGGACACAGGCTCTGCAAATGGATCCAAACTCAGTCAGAATGAGTACAGAAGAGGAAAAGCAACTTTTCCATAACTCAGATACAGATACAGGCAGATTTTAGACCTTCATCATTTCCCAGTGTTGGGACGTACAGTGGTGGCTGAAGCACCGCTGTGCAACCTTCCTGCCCAGACAGCTGCTCCAAGCCAACTGGGTTCCCAGGGGTCCGAGTGTCCCTTCCCCTGGCGAGTGAGAGCAGACCTGGGCGCCTGGGAGCCAGCAGGGAACTGTCTGGTCCAGAGGAGGAGTGGGCTTCAGGGCCCTGTGCAGCCTGAGGATGCACGACTGACTACAAAACAGTTTCTATATTAAAACCAGACTCACAAGGCCAATTCTAGAGTGGGCTGAAGCTTACAGTATGAGCTGAAGAAGCTTTTCTTGGTTGTCTCTGGTTCAAAAATGTGCAGAGGACTGAATGGATGCCAGAGTTGATAAAGATAGACTTAGTAAGAGATTATTAGAAAGTACATGTTAGAAACAAGAAGACAGGTGTTGAAGGTGGCCCTGGCAGACAGCAGCAAGACATTGCCCTGCTGTGAGAAGCCCACCAGGCAAGAGCTGTGGCTGAAGAGGCGTAGATGAAGAGACTTGGATGAAGAGGCATGGATGAAGGGCCGTGGGTGAAGAGACGTGGATGAAGAGGCATGGACGAAGGGCCGTGGGTGAAGAGGCATGGACGAAGGGCCGTGGGTGAAGAGGCATGGACGAAGGGCCGTGGGTGAAGAGGCATGGACGAAGGGCCGTGGGTGAAGAGGCATGGAGGAAGGGCCGTGGGTGAAGAGGCATGGACGAAGGGCCGTGGGTGAAGAGGCATGGAGGAAGGGCCGTGGGTGAAGAGGCATGGACGAAGGGCCGTGGGTGAAGAGGCATGGACGAAGGGCCGTGGGTGAAGAGGCATGGACGAAGGGCCGTGGGTGAAGAGGCATGGAGGAAGGGCCGTGGGTGAAGAGGCATGGAGGAAGGGCCGTGGGTGAAGAGGCATGGACGAAGGGCCGTGGGTGAAGAGGCATGGACGAAGGGCCGTGGGTGAAGAGGCATGGACGAAGGGCCGTGGGTGAAGAGGCATGGACGAAGGGCCGTGGGTGAAGAGGCATGGAGGAAGGGCCGTGGGTGAAGAGGCATGGAGGAAGGGCCGTGGGTGAAGAGGCATGGAGGAAGGGCCGTGGGTGAAGAGGCATGGAGGAAGGGCCGTGGGTGAAGAGGCATGGAGGAAGGGCCGTGGGTGAAGAGGCATGGACGAAGGGCCGTGGGTGAAGAGGCATGGACGAAGGGCCGTGGGTGAAGAGGCATGGACGAAGGGCCGTGGGTGAAGAGGCATGGACGAAGGGCCGTGGGTGAAGAGGCATGGATGAAGGACTGTGGGTGAAGAGCCGTGGATGAAGGGACATGGGTGAAGAGCCGTGGGTGAAGGGACATGGGTGAAGAGCCGTGGATGAAGGGCCGTGGGTGAAGAGCCGTGGATGAAGGGCCATGGGTGAAGAGCCGTGGATGAAGGGCCATGGGTGAAGAGCCGTGGATGAGCCGTGGGGGAAGAGCTGTTGAAGAAAAGTTGTGAATGAAAAGCCGTGGATGAAGGGCCGTGGATGAAGAGCTGTGGATGAACAGGCATGCATGTGGCCAAGGCACCACCAGGCTTCACTGGGAGCAAGCCAAACCCAAGCCCGATGCCCTCTCCTGCTCAACCCACTGAGAGGCAGGCTCTAAATTCCTGACCCCAAGTCAGCTTGATCCCTTAAATCAGACCCCACAAAGCCCTTTGCTACCCCATCCTGCCCTCCCATTAAATCCCATGTCTCCTCTGGCCTTGGAAGAACCTCTTCACCTGGATCTGATTTCTACCCATTTGATAGGAATTACCCCTTTGCCTACTGTAAGATCAGGTGCGATCAGTTCCGACTCTCTGGGGGCCTCTGTGGCAGTTACAGCCCAAACCCACTCCCTCAGCCTTCAACAGCCTTCACTCATCTGCACATCCTCCTTCAGCTCTGGCGTCTACTCGGTCCCTAACAGGTATCTGGATGCATTCCTCAGTTCCTTCCTATTCCCACTCTAACCCCAAATGCTGATTTGAACACTTACATAGCTCTCAAATGGGCCCGGCCACTGCATCCAAATCCTGCATCCACTGCTCAACCCAGGGTAGTGCTCATCCCTCACGTGCACAATCCCAGCAGCCTCCCTCACAGCCTCCTTGCCTCCCACGGGGTCCCCTCTCCATCTGTCACACACCTGCCAAATAGACGGTCCAAGGCAGGAAACTGAACGTACCTCTACCCCCACCTTAATTGCCAGACGAGTCCATGCTGCCTGCCACACCTGTGAGCCCTCGGGTCCTGATCTGCCTGCCACGCCTGGGAGCTCTCGGGTCCTGACCTGCCCGCCACGCCTGGGAGCTCTCGGGTCCTGATCTGCCCGCCACACCTGTTAGCTCTGGGGGTCCTGATCCGCCTGCCATGCAGGAAGCTCTCGGGGCTCTGATCTGCCTGCCACGCCTGGGAGCTCTGGGGGTCCTGATCTGCCCACCATGCCTGGGAGCTCTCGGGTCCTGATCTGCCCGCCACACCTGGGAGCTCTCGGGGCTCTGATGTTACCCACCATACATGTGAGCTCTTGGGGCTCTGTCCTCTTTTTGTCTCAAGTCTCCCCTTTGGTGAACACCAGGCTCCTATGAGGCTGCGTCTTTGAGCTCTGCACAGCTCCATGCTGCTTCCTGCCTCTGAGGCTTTGCTATCATTGAAATTGCCTGGAACACCCTTCCTTTTCCACCCTTTAAATTGAATAACCTCTATTCCTGTTTTAAGGTGTAGATATCATGCCATCCAGGTGGCCCTCTTCCACTCCTCCCTGCAGCCCCCACCTGGGTTTGCTTTCTCTCTTCTTGCACTGTTGATCCCCTACACGTCCCACCCAGCCCATACCCAGCCTCTTTCTCCTGCATGCCCATCGGGCACCAGATGCTCTGCTGGGCTGCCAGGTCCAACAGTGAATAGGACAGAGGTGGCCCTGCCTGCCTGGGCATCTGTGTGTATTTAGGTGCTGGGCTGCCAGGTCCAACAGTGAATAGGACAGAGGTGGCCCTGCCTGCCTGGGCATCTGTGTGTATTTAGGTGCTGGGCTGCCAGGTCCAACAGTGAATAGGACAGAGGTGGCCCTGCCTGCCTGGGCATCTGCGTATATTTAGGTTCAATCAGAATCGACTCATGCAATAATAAAACAATTTTTATTTTCTCAGCAGCTGACTGGGCATGCAGTAGGGGTTTATTTAGGAAAAAGGCAGAGGGGGCATCCACCCAAGACAATCAGAGAACATTCGTTGGGTATAAAACAGAAGGCTACATGCCCTTACTTTTCCCAGACACATTTTGCTTCAGGGACACCTGGAGCTCATTTTGCCACATGGTTAAATATTTAGTACTTTAACACACCGCAATTTATTGGGGACTTTAAAATCTCAGATGATCTGGCATGTTTTGCTGCTTTCTGAAATGTGCATGGTAATTTTAAAGGCGAGGAAAATTCATTAAGCTTTACTAACTACAGCTTTGCTCATCTACAAAAACAAGAAAGTACTGGTATTACAACACCAACAACAATACCTATGCTATTAACCTCAACCTCAGTTTTTTTCCTGAAGGAGAAAAATAGATTTGGAAGTAATTTTTAAATAAATGCGGTACTACAATAATGCAAACAGTCAAATGGCCTCCTCAGAGAGGCTGGCTGTGTATTTGGAGATGAAGTTCCAGAAGACTAGAAAGCCTCCCCTCTACGGCGCAGCTCGTCAAGCCGAAGGCTTTTTTCAAGGCATTCTTAAATTCCTTATTCCTCAGGCAGTATATCAAGGGGTTCAAGATGGGGGTGATAACTGTGTACAAAACAGAGATGAGCTTGTTGGAGCTCCGGGAATCAATGGCCTGGGGCCGGACATACATGAAAAGCAAGGCTGTATAGAAGACGGTGACCACGGTGAGGTGAGAGGCGCAGGTGAAGAAGGCTCTCCAGCAGCCGGTGGCCGAGGGGATGCGCAGGACAGCCAGGGTGATGTGCGCATATGACAGCATGGTGGCCAGGAGTGGAAACACCAGGATGATGAAGGCCAGAATGAAATCCACCAGCTCTGCAGTGGAGAAGTCCGTGCAGGCCAGCTTGAGGATGGGGGAAATGTCACAGAAGAAGTGGTTCAAGACGTTGGAGCCACAGAACGTGACGCTGGAGATAAAACAGACCTTGATCATGGAGATGGTGAAGCCACTCACAAAGGAGAAGCCCACCAGCTGGAGGCACAGCCCCGGGGTCACAAGGACGTGGTAGCGCAGCGGGTGGCAGATGGCCACGTAGCGGTCGTAGGCCATGGAGGCCAGAAGCACACACTCGGTGCACACCAGGGAGCTGAAGAAGTAGAGCTGCGTCATGCACCCGACGAAAGAGATGCGTTTCTGCTGGAGGAGGAAGCCCTCCAGCATCTTGGGGGTGATGTCAGACACGTACCAGATCTCTAGGAAAGACATGGAGCTCAGAAAGTAGTACATGGGCCTGTGGAGGGAGGTGCTGCTCCAGACGGTGAGGATGATGGCCAGGTTCTCCACCAGGACAAAGAGGTAGGTGAGCAGGAAGAGGAGGAAGAGCAGGTACTGCAGCCCTGGGGCCGTGGGGAAGCCCACCAGGATGAAGGTGCCGACCCTGGTGACATTCTCCCCACTCATGCCTCTGTGCTTGGGAGCTGCAGGCCTACAAAACATCAAAGAGCAAGAGGAAAGGGCTGCAGGGAAGCTGGGGCAGAGGGAGAGTGGAGCTGGACCTGGATAGGGAGTTTTGGTGTAAAGAGAGGCCACGTGGCTCCCCAGAGCACCAGTGGGGAGCAAAAGCAGCTCCCCACCCAGATACATGTTAAGCACTAACCTCTGATGATATAGATTCTAGGTCTCAGCCTGTAACACTGGGTCTGGAATGCCCTCCTGAGCCTGTCACCACCAGTCTCCCTCATCTCTCAAAGCTGTGTCCTATTTTTCACCACCTGGACTTCTCCAAGGGACCCAATAACCATGAAGGGCATCCACAGGGTGTCCGGTGTCCTCCAGGGGATGAGCCCTGACTGCCCCAGGCTTCTGGATGTATTGTTTGAGTCTGACGCATTCTTTCTAAATTGGTAGATATATGACCTGTTACCTGGTTTTAGGGTTGATTTTACAGGAGGAAGTGACACCATGGCAGGGGTGAGGCCCAGGTCCAACTTGGCCAGATCCCAGACTCAGGCACATCCACAGCAGCAGCCGGAGCCTCCCAGGCCAAGAAGGGAAAGTGGTCACATCCTTATCCCTGTCAATCTGAGGGGAATATCAGCAAGGGAGAGATTGCAATGCAATCCCAGAAGAGAGAAAACAGATGGCAGCAGAGAGGAGGAAGTCTAGAACGTTCTCGAGGGGCCTGTGGCTGAGGGAGGAGTCGTCCACCCACACCTGAGTGTGTATTTTTATATAAAACACATCCATTAATCCTCACTACAGTCCTGGGAAAAAGAAGGCTTACATCTCTAAGTTGAGATGGAAAGTCTGAGACCCAAAAAGAAAGGTTCATGGACTTACCCAGGGCCGGGGCAGCACCAGGACACAGACTGGAATCTTCTAACACCAAGGCCGCTGCCCTTCCAATGCGGTTTCCACAACAGAAGCAGTGAACCCATGTGGACATAGGCTAGAACATTTGAATTATAAAGATGTGTAGATTCAGTTGTTGGTTGCCCTGTGACACTACACTAACAGGCAATGAAAACAAAAAGTCACAAAATAAATAGTATTATTCAGAAAAAAGGCAGAGAAGACCCCTTCAGAAGGAAATACAGGGATATAGGGCATAGGTTGGTTGAACGAACCTAAAGCAAATATTTAAATTAATAAGCAAAAGACTTGGAAGCCACCGTATTGTTCATTAATAAGGGATGGGCTAAGTAAGTTTTGTCACATCCCTATTATGAACACTATGTGGTCACTGAAAAGAAGGGGCAGGTCCGTCTGTAGATATGGAATGGTTTCCAAGGTCTGTAGCCACAGTTTTAAAGGTTTGAAACAGCACTGATCGTATGCCTCCGCTCATACAAGTAAAAGTATGTAAATAGGGCAGACGACCCGTGAAGGTACAAGGTGGTGGGGACACTCACTGTCCTGAGGGGCAGAGCAGGTCACTGGAACACAGATGGCAGGGAAATGTTTTTATGGCAACCCTTTTTCTGTGTTTTGAATTTTGTTTCACGTGAGTATATTATTTATTCAAAATAGTGATCCATTACTTATTTTTAAATTACTACATTCTCCTTTAAAAAGAAAAAGTTATGCACTGGATTAAAAATTCAATAAGTCAACATTTTCCCAGGCCATAATTCCAAATCTATACTGAAAAACACACATAGATTAAATGACTGAATGAGAATAAAGTGTATTGTGCAGTGTATCGTGTGCCTTTAAAAATGACAAAAGTTTCAATTATGATATTGCACAGATATCAAAATTAATGAAAACAGAGGATGGATCAGAAACGACAGAATAATATCAACAGCAGTTTGCTTCCCCAAATAGCAGAGAAATTGAAATACAGAAAAGAAAACCGAAAATAAAGATGAAATAGAAATATATTGATGGCATCTGTTAGAGCATGAATAAGTAGGTAAATGATTAAGAATATAAATAAGTAATATGAATTCAACAGATCTTTAAAGAAAACACACAGGAAATGTAGGGAGTTGTTAAAACACCTGGTTCGTGTTGGCATGCAGTATTCGTTCCATAAATGGTAGCAATATTGTGCATAGGAGTTACATTAATGAAATCTAATAAAACAGCTTTCTTTCAAGTACACCGATTAAACACAAAATGAGTTTAAACCACAGTAGTATACGTCGTAGAACTGTGTAAAGTGGAGTCCCTGGCCCTTTGCTCACATCCTTTCTTGCACCTGGAATGCCCCCCAGCCCCGTCCCCACTCTGGCTGCTTCTGCTGTGGCCGTCCTCTGGGCTCCCATCAACCCACACCTACCCCCATCTCCGCACTGTCTCTCCTGGTTGCACTTGCTGTGTTCATGAGGGAGGAGGGATGTGGGCTGGGTACGAGCCGGCTGCAGGGCTGGTGGAAGCTCTCTATTTGGGAGGTGCTTGTGAAGCACCTCTTGCTGCGCACCCACTGGGCCGCATGCTCCTGAGGACAGGAGCTATGCCTCTCTCACTACTGACCAAGGCACCAAGAGCACTTCCTACCATGCAGTAGAAACTCCACAAGCCGTAGGGGAATGAGTGTCGATGGGAAAGGTAAAGGAGTGACAGGGGTCTGCCCAAACTAACACGGTGCAGCAAAAGCTGGCAGACTGGGTGATGGCACGTGTTTCTTTTCACCACCACAACCACCTGCCCCCTCTTCTCTCTCCTCTTAGTCCTTAAATCCCGGATCTTTAAAGAAAAGGAGAAATTACGTATAAAATGTACAACTAGAGGGCTACCCTCATGACACAAAAAGCTAGTGAAGAAAGGCGGCCCAGAGCCAAGAGTCTTTGAGGATGTTACCACCGTCCTGCCCATGGGAGGGAAGAAGGTGTCCAGAAAGCCTCACCAGGGTGCCCAGAGAGCTCTGTGGCCCAGGGGACATGGATGGTGGGAGTCTGGATCTCACAGTTCTCTGGGTCAGCAGGGAGGAGGGCTGAGGGCTAGGTGTGAGTGGGCTGTATGGCTGATGGAAACTATTTGGAAGTCCTTTTATGGCTACAAATCAGCAAAATTTAAGAAGGGCAGAGGCAACTGGCTGGGCCGCTTGGTGGCTGTAAACAGACTAAGGATAGCAGGATTATCACCAGGTACCAGGGAGATCATGGCTAGTTTAGGAACTTCAAGGAAAAAGAACCCTAAAGGCATCCAGCCAGAATAAAATAAGTTATATTTTTTTGTACATAAAATAGAAGATCTGTTGAGTTAGCTTTAGTTTTCATCAAAAACTTGAGTCCAGAAAACAGCAGAGAAACTTCTAGCGAGGGCTGGAGGGTATGAAACTCGAATGTTGTGTCCAGACCTGGAATTATTCATGCCTGAGGGTAGCAGAGAGGCAGCCTGCACAAGCACCTGGTCTGAATGTAGGAGTTTTAAACTCTTCCTCAATAAGAAACTCAAAATGTCACAGGTATTAACCTGAGATATAATAACAATCCCCGATCAAGACTTTCACAGCGTAAAAACATGGGCAGTGAAGAAACACACATTCAGACACAGCGTATCCAGTTCTAGCAAATGTTGTCCGGATAGCTACAAAACAAAATGCAAACGTCTCTCCTTGTTAATCGAAATAATATATAATGAAAAATAGTAATTGTTTGGAAAAAAAGAGAAACTGGGCTTAAATACAGTTAAAGCCAGTAACTAGATTTAAACCAGTTACTCTTCTTTTTCCAAACAATTACTGATTATCTAATTGTTTTTCCAAGAGGAAAACCTTGGGAAAGGATAAGATTGTAATAAGAAAAAAAGTGTGTTTTGCCTCATTTTCAGATGAGATAATCAAAAGGGTATGTTATATTCCTGGAGTTTATTGTTAGAGTAATATGAGTCCTTAAAAATTTTAATAGTAAATCATGGTTTTTAAAAGGATATAGATCCTATAAATCTTGAAAGAACAAAAAATATAGAAATAAAGGAAATCATAAGAAAGCACCCCAAACTAACTACAACAATGACTGGAGTAAAAAAAAAAAATCAGTTGTGACAATAAATGTATGTAGGATAAACTCACCTGGTAAAAGGAAAAAATGCCCAAGTCATAGAAAAAAAATCTATTGTATTAGGTTGGTGCAAAAGTAATTGCGGTTATATGCCAAGATGCACGACAAAAAACTTCAACTCAGGTTGAAATGACAACCGTAGGCTCAGATGTATAATCAAACAAAAAGAAAGCATGACTGCAGAATTAACATTTGATCAAGTAAAATTTCAGACCCCAAATGGTCTGTTTCACTTATAAACCTTTTAGTGAATAATATATCCTCAACACGGAGTCAGCAAAAACCTGACTTTAGTATCAGAAGAAATGGACAGGGGCCGGGCGCAGTGGCTCATGCCTGTAATCCCAGCCCTTTGGGAGGCCGAGGCGGGCAGATCACCTGAGGTCAGGCGTTCAAGACTAGCCTGGCCAACGTGGCGAAACCTGTCTCTACTAAAAATACAAAACTTAGCCTGGCGTCATGGCAGGCACCTGTAATCCCAGCTACTCCAAAGTCTGAGGTATGAGAATCACTTGAACCCGGGAGACGGAGGTTGCAGTGGGCGGAGATGGCATCACTGCACTCTAGCCTGGGTGACAGAGTAAGACTCCGTCTCAAAGAGACAAAAAAAAAAAAAAAAGGAAAAAAAAAAAAGAGACAAATAAAGTAGCAGCAGCAGACTCTAGTACATGCCTCTCACTGCTTGACAGATCTCAAAGGTAAAAACAAATTAGAATGCCAAGTATTGGAATTAGAATAGTAAAATTTTTGAAATGTTGATTTGAGGGATAATAAACTCACAACCCTGAGAAAATATACACTTTTGTTTAGAAAATGTGGAGAAATCATCGGCAATGGCATCAAAAAATGTTCAATCTGTCTCCAAAGCAGAATCACAGATAACACATTTCCCTAAAAACAATGGCATAAAAATCATTTTTTATGAATTAGAAAAAATAATAGAATTGATCGATAGCAGCAAAAACTTGTTCTGAAGTAGGCTTAGAGTTGAGGACAGTAAAACAGATGAAACAGGAAAATATGAGCATGCAACGCAATTTCAGAGACTAAAAAAAGAGTAAACTGCAGGTGGAGACCCACCAAATGACAGGGGAAGGGTTGGCGCTATTTACCAAGCACCTAATATGTGTTTTATTCAGTGGTCCTCTTCCAGCTTCAGTTTACAGATGACAAGGAAGACTGGGGGCTTAGAAGATGATTAAAAGCAATCATAGAAGAGTGACTGTTAAAGGCAAGAAAAAGGTCTATTTTTGAGAAAACTGAGTGAAGACAGAAAGCTCAACAGCATCATGATGTTAAAATTGCTTCAGAGAAAACCGACAGGCCCAGATACTTTGCCTGTGCCCAGCTTCTAGCTATGCCAGGAGCAGATCTTTCCTACATTAGGTAAACCCTTAGAGAGCATGGGAAAGTCCCAATTCATTTTACAAAATAGCAAATTCCTGATACGAAAGCCTGATGAAGATTTCAGGGAAGAAAAACTATGTATCGATTATTTTTTTCTTTTTTACTATACTTAAAAAACTCAAATAAAATGTCAGCAATTAGGACCCAGCAGCACTTTAAAAGAGCTCACGTGGCACTAGCGTGATTATTTCAGCGGTGCAAAGAGACTTCGAGGTTAGCAAATCTGCTGAAAGGATCACATTTGAAGTCTAGCTAATGCTAAAAGGCTTTGATTAAAAACTCTCCCAAAACTTTCATGCATCTGTCATCCCCAAAGAAGTGATTTTTCCTAACATGATAAATAATACCAGCCTCAACCAACAGCCTACAGCATCCCCACAGCTAAATACCAGGATCATTCCTGCTCCACCAAGGTCAGGATTAAGACAGGGCTCTTTGTTGTAACTACTGCTACGTAACAATGTGCCATTGTACTAGCTACCACAGAACAGAATAAAGAAGTAGACAAAATTATCATTATTTCCAGATGGCAGGACTTTTAAGCTGAAAAATCTGCTACACTATTATAATTAAGGGATTTCAAAATGAATATCAAAAATGTAGTCTTCCTGTATACCAACAATGACTAATTAGAATATTCTTAGATTCAAAAAAGTATATTGTAAAAATGTCAGTATCTCCAAATCAATTTTGAAATTTAACTCAATTCTATTTGAAATCTCACCAAATTATATTTTTCTTGAAACAGGATGAAATAATTCTTGAAATCATCTGGAAATATAAACAGATGAGAATAGCTAAAATAATTCAGGAAGAAGAAAAGAGAAGCAGGTTAATGAAGAGGCGTTTCTATTTTGGATAGAAAAACTACAATAAAAATAAAATAATAATTTAATAAAATAAATACTAAAGATAACGAGCACCACCATAAAGTCAATGGAACAGCATAGAGAAAGTATAGAAAGCCCTACATCAGAGCTGAGGATTTCTGTGATACTATTAGCAAGGAAAGCCTGGATTGTGTTAAACATGATGTCAGGATAGTTCATTAAACCCATGCTAAAAACCAACCGGGTCTGTTCTTCATATGTTACATCAGAAAGTGCATTTCAGATGGACAGAGCCTGCGATGCCTGCCGGTCCTCCAGCCTCTCCTAAGCTGCTGTTCTGTGGACACGACAGGGTAGAGCCCAAGCTGGAAGCCCGTGGGCCCGACACGCATAGCCTGCTCGTTGATTTCCTTTCAGCACTGATTTTTAAAGAATAATCCAATTAAAGATTATTTGTGACTTTTCTTTTTTTTTGAGACAGAGTCTCACTCTGTTGCCCAGGCTGGAGTGCAGTGGCATGATCTCGGCTCACCGCAACCTCCGCCTGCTGGGTTCAAGCGATTCTCCCACCTCAGCCTCCCGTGTAGCTGGGATTACAGGTGCCCAGCTCATTTTTGTGTCTGTTTTAGTAGAGACGGGATTTCGCCATGTTGGCCAGGCTGGTCTCGAACTCTTGACTTCCGGTGATCCGCCCACCTCAGCCTGCCAAAGTGCTGGAATTACAGGCATGAGCCACCGCTTCTTAAACATAAATAGGGAGACAGATTTTATGGTGGGGCAGACCGAGAATTCCAGTGGCTTCTGAGCACCTCTCAAGCCAGTTCCTCACACGCCTGTATATTGGGTATATTGGGATGTCATTTATCCTGCACGTTTCAGAAGGACAATTCTCTAAAACTTTCACTTTGACCTTTGTTTTTGAAAATCAGAACATTTCACACAGAGGCACCAATATCTGGTTTCTTTTGAAAAGCTGGAAGATCTGAGGCAACACCGTTCAAGGTCCTGCACTCACAATGCACCCTGTGGACAGTGCAAGATGCACCCTGCTCGCAGCATGGCCCCTCTCTCTGGGAGCACCTGCCCCGTCTGCCCACTGCTTACCTGATTGCAGCTGCAGGGCAGGGCGCGAGGCAGGCAATGATGTGTCTCTGCTCCTACTCAGATACCTCTGGGTCCCCATGTCCCCTGTCTTCTTGGGGTGCACATTCCCACGAATGCCTCTGATGAGGTCTCTTCCTCCCATACATAAAGACTCACAGGCAGTTATACTCCCTCCTCCCACTGCCATGCGGCTTCTGTCGCTGTGCACCTCGGGGACTAGCTGTCCCCAGAAGCCAGCGACGTTCTGCTCATTTCTGGGCCCACATTTTGGCTCTTGTTCTGCTCCCCTTTCCTTCAGTGTCTGGCGCTGTGGCCCCAGCCTTCCGTCCCCACCGTCCACACTCAGAACAATGTACCCGCCCCTGCGGTTCCTGTAGTCACTTCCAGCTGACGACTCCCAGGCTGCCCCGATCCCTCTGCAGAACTAACTCCTGTGTCCAGCCAATGACTCAAGACCTCCCCTGGCCATGGAGCCCCTGCCCCTGTGCTCTTCCTCTCAGGGAGTGGTGCGGCTGCCCACGCCCCCCGGATGCCCCACTGAGCTCCCGTGTGGACCCTTCCCCTCCCCTCCCTCCACACCCGAGCACGCCTGAGTCCTTCTGCCCCACATCTTAAATGCCTCCAGAATCAGGTCTGCTGTCTCCACGTTCATGGGCTGCCATCCACCCTGTCCTTGTTCAGGTTCCGTCCCTCCCAGGCTGGATTATTGTCACCGCTCTCTCACTGGTCTTCCTCCAGTCTCTCCTGACTCTGTCTGATCCATCATCCCAGTAGCAGGGAATGACATTCAGGGAATGACACGCAGACCTCTCTCCTGGCCACGTCCATTGCATGTTCTTAGCATAAGCCCCTTGCTCCTGAGTCAGCCTCTCTATGGCCTCACTGCCTCTCTTGCTCCTGCCCCTCCTGGAATCCCTGGCTGCTGCAGGAGGCACCTCTTCAGTGCCATGAGAGCACCGTGCTGATTCAGTCCCCACTGCTGCCCTGCCAGTTGCCCTTCAGGACTTGCCTCAGACGTAGCTTCTTCCTGATGGGCTCACTTGAGCTCCCGATGCTACTGTTAGCTGCTCCCAGAGATGAGGAATTTCAGGGTGCCTCCAGGCTTCTGCTTTCATTAGGGTTTCCCTGCAGAGGGGGAAAGTGCACTTGAGGAGAGAGAGGAAGATGAGGGGCTTAGTTTGGGGCATGCTGGGCTTGCAGCGCCTATGGGACACCCTGTAGAGAGCTCCAGGAGTACCCCTGACATCCAGAACGCCCACCAGAGACTGAGGTCAGATGTCAAGATGTGTAGGGGGTCGGTCCAAGGTTTATTAAGTGTCTAATATGTGCCAGTCATTGTTTCAGGCAATTGAGATAAATCAGGAGAAAAAAACAGTCCCAAACTCTTGCCTTCATGAAATGTAAATTCTAGTGAAGGCAGGAAATAAGTCAGAAAAATAAATAATACCCATGATATGTAAGGAAATTATTTAGAGTGTGGAAGGTGGTGAGTGGATGGGAACAGAAGGTCAGGGTGGGCTGGGGGGTGGTGGTGGGGATGTGCCAGAGAGGAGGCGACACCAGGGCAGAGTCTCAAAGAAGATGTGAGTTAGCCTGTGGCTGTCTGTCGGACACACGTAGGTGGAGAGAAAATGAGGTGCAAAGGCTGCAGGCTGGGGAGTGCAAGAAGGGGGTCAGGGGGTTGGGGCAAGGCTGGCTGCAGCAGAGTGATAGGGAGTGGCAGGAGACAGTGACAACCAAGAGCAGAAGGAGCCCACTCAGAGCCTGAGGTGGTGAGGACCATGGTGAGGACGTTGGCTTTCACTCTGACGGCAGTGGCATGGCACCACCCACACTGTAAATGGCTGACTCTGACCACTGCATTGAGATCGGGCTGGAGGAGTCAGGTGAGGAGGGGGAGCCCGTGCAGAGACCCTGAGGTCATCAGGGAAAAGGCTGCAGGAGCGCAGGCCAGGGCAGGAGGCGTGGGAAGGGCAAACCTGTCCGGTGTGTGCTGAAGGCAGCCTCAACGAGGCTTTCTGGCTGGGTCCCTGAGAATCAAAAGTGACACCAGGAAGTCAATCTGTGCTGCCTGCAGGGATGTGAATGAGATTGACCAAGGAAAATATGAAGACTAAGAGGGCAAGAATAAAAGTTGAGAAGCCTCCCCCTCTAGAAGCAGGAAGAGGAGGAAGAGGGGCTGGTGAAGGTGGTGGGAGACGTGGGGAGACACTCGGGGACGTGTGGCCCAAGCCAGGACACGGTGGCTCCTCCAAGAGGAGGGAGCATGATTGGCAGGTAGGAGGCCATTGGTAACGGCAGAGGGAAAACATATCAGGGAGGGTTTGGGGGCAGAAGCTCAATGTTAATGGGGCAGGCAGAATTGGAAAGGAAGTGGCACAGAGCTAGCAGGAGCAGATGCCTCTCAGGAGGAAGGAAAACAGTGATACAATTTGGTGTACTTTCACAGTTTACCATTTCCCAAAACATTTCATCCTTTTACTTCTGGTGTCTTGAAGTGTAAGTAGGTATTTTACTTGAAAGCTTTTCTGAACCCAGTTCTGTGGAGTTAATATCACAATGGAAAGTATAAACACCAAACAAGAGTCCTCCAGAATGTGTTTCTGGGGAAGATCTGTCCCCGGGGAGGATGCCTGGAACGCATGCTTCTGAGCTGCAGTGGAGATGAGCGTGCGGCTGGAGGGGACACGGCAGCAAGGTCTAGGGGGTGGAGGGTCTTAGAAACCTACGTCTTCCTGCCCATCCCTTGTCACGCCTGTCCCCAAAATCACCAAGACGGCGAAGTCTGGCCCAGGCCCAATGTGAGGGGATGAGGGGCACCCCCTAGCTGCTAGTTGTTGATGGAATTTGGGGTGGGTCTGGGACTGGATACAGGTTTGAGTTTGGGACCTCATGTGATGGTTCAGGGCCGTCACTCCCTGTGGGAGTCAGACAGGGGGACTGGTCAGGCCCCTGGCTGGATCAGGGTCAGGGGAACCGTCCTGCTTCCGAACGGACGCCTCACTGGCACCCTTGATCCACTTGGCTGGAGCATCATGTTTGCGGGAAGCGAAGCTCAGGGCTTTTTGAGTCTGTTTTTCTTTCTCGCAGCCCTCAAACCTCCCAATTGCGAGGAAAACCTCCTGTCATTTTCAGCCTCATCAAAGATGGGATAAGAGGAAATTCGAATGAGGGAGGCAAAAGAGGAGAGAGGAAGACAGAGAGTGAGCAGGAAGAGCAGAGAGGAGGAGGTGGAGCAGGCAAGGGGCAGTCCTCCACCTGAGTTCTGGTCCCTCCGCATCTCGAGGGCACAGGCACAGGTGGGTGTTCTGGCAGCAGCTCCAGCCCGCCACCTCCCGCGCCTGCCCCCCAGAACAGCCCTGCCTGCTCAGGCCCAGCAGCCGGTCACTGGCATGAGACCCAGTGAACATGGCCTTTCGGAAATGTGCCTGCCAGCATGCTTTCAGCAGGCTGCAGCAGGAGGGAGGGAGAGGCGGTGTGTGGTGGACAGGCAGGGAGGGCGCGAAGCAGAGCAGGTGCCACCCACATGCCATGCCTGGCACAGATGCGGGGTGAGCAGACCTGCAGTGGCTTCTTCCATCTTTCTACATTGTGGGTCAGGCAGGCAAGCCAGAGGGTGGGGCACATGGGAATGGGAATTGTGCCTGTGCCCCTGGGTGAAGATTTCAGACTGCAGAGGGAGAGGAAGCTGAGGTGGGAGGCAGGGCCCTACGAGGGGGAGTCCCACGTTGTGCAGTCACATCCCGGGCCAGTCATGGGGCAGGGATCTCAACCCCGACCACTGCCCTTGAGGAATCAGATCCTGGGGCTGCCCCCCAGACCCAGTCACTTCACTGGCAGAAGGAACCTACCCTGGAGAGCTGCGGGAGTCACGGTGGTTGTCCTCAGCCTGGTGCAGCCCAGCACTTCCCTCTGTCCTGCCCACTGGCACCTGTGGCCCATCGGCCTCTGAGGCAGCCCGGCCAGTCTTGAGAGCTGGTTTGTAGGCGGCACCAGGGAAGAAGGGGCTGTGTGTTCCTTCCCCGTTGTGCACAGATGTGGGGACTCCAGGGTCCAATTATCCTGCCACGGAGAAGTCACTGCCCCACACTGCCAATTAGCCTGGAATCTTATGTGTGGGATGGTGCCTGGCTGAGGAGCGGCCCCAACCCTGGATGGTAAGAAACTCACCCCATTTACTGCTGACCATCTCTGGTCCCCTGTCCAGACATTCAGGCCACTTGACCAACCTTCCTCCCCTGTCCATTCAGAGTCCACCCATACAGCCCTGTTCCCACTACAAGTTCTGCTACCCTCTCTCTTTGGGGTCAGAGAGGGGTGTGACTTCTGCTTGGGGACAGAGGCATTTTCTAGACTCAATGGCCATGACCTGGTCCAGGGAACATGGACAGGGAGGGACCATACTCTATTCCAGAATCCAGGAATGTTGTCACTGTCAAGGGGACAAGGAAATTTGAGTTTCTGACATAAGATAATTTCTTTTCTCAAATATACAGCCAACATAAACATCATTGTATCAGTCTTAGCCCAAACAGGTCTGTCTTGCAAATATTTCCAAAAGATAGTTTTCTGATGGCAGAAGAAATGGGAGGATCCAGAGGCCTGTCCCTGCCTAGGAAGTCTGGGAGCTACACTGTTTGGAGAAAAGCCCAATGCAAGAGAGGAGAAGGCAGTGGGGGAGGGTTGGCATTCCTGTAAAGAAATACTCCAACTTGCCAAGGTCTTTCTGACTCTCAGGAAGGCTAGTAGACAGAGCAAAGGAGGGCTCAATTAAGAAATAGAAGCCTCAGCAACATAGTGAGACCCCATCTCTACAAAAAAAGAAAATAGACAGGTGTGGCAGCACGCACCTGTAGTCCCAGCTACTCGGGAAGCAGAGGTGGGAGGATCACTTGAGCAGGGGAGTAGAGGCTGCAGTGAGCTGTGATTGTGCCACTGCACTCCAGCCTCAGCAACAGAGCAAGACCTTGTCAAAAAAAAAAAAAAAAAGAAAGAAAGAAAGAAAGCAAAAGAAAAGAAAAAAGAATAAAAGAAATGGGCAGACGACTGGAACAGACACTTTATCAAAGAGGATTTATAAGATGTGTATCACCATTAGCCGCAAGGGAAATGCAAATCAAAGCCATCATGAGACACCACTGCACACCCATCAGAGTAGCTGAAATAAGACACAGGGACAGCACTACGTGCTGTCTGGGAGGCAGGGAAGCTGGGGCCTCGCACGCTGCTGGTGTGGATGCAGAATGTTACTGCTGCTCTGGAAAATGGTCTCACAGCTTCTGTTAAACGTATATTCACACAAAAGCTATATTCACACGAATGTTTATAGCAGCTCCATTCATCATCTCCCAAAGCTGGCAATGGCCTTGCTGCCCTTCAGCAGGTCAATGGATAAGCACATTGGAGTGCATCTGTATGCTGGGGTCCTGTTTGGCAATCAGAACAAATGAATATCGATCCACACAACATGGACAATCTCACATTTTCTATCTTTATTGTCCATTTGGGCATCTGCCTGTGTTTCCAGTGTGCATTCCTCTCGTTGCTAATAACACTAACACCTGCTCACTGCTGCTTGGCCAGTTGGTTCCTTCCCTGATGTACCTGCTCAAGCCTTTCACCTGGTTTTAGTTGCGTCTTTACTGGAAAAAAGGGGTCTTGATCTGGACCCCATGAGAGGGTTCTTGGGTCTCACGCAGGAAGGAATTCAAGGCCAGTCACAGAGTGCAGTGAGAAGAGTTCATTGAAAGCTGCTCTGTTACAGAGCAGGGCATCCTCAGAAAGCAAGATGGGGGCTGGGCACAGTGGCTCACACCTGTAATCCCAACATTCTGGGAGGCAGAGGTGAGTGGATCTCCTGAGGTCAGAAGTTCGAGACCAGCCTGACGAACATGGTAAAACCCCGTCTTTACTAAAAATACAAAAATTAGCCGCGTGTGGTGGTGTGCACCTGTAGTACCAGCTACTCAGGAAGCTAAGGCAGGAGAATTGCTTGAACCCAGGAGGTGAAGGTTGCAGTGAGCCGAGATCACGCCACTGCACTCCAGCCTGGTCGACAGAGCAAGACTCTGTCTGGAAAAAAAAAAAGAAGCAAGATGGGGAGCACCTCAGCTTTGTTTTAAGTTTTTTCTTATGTAAGTGTTTCGTCCACACAATGACTAAGCTAAGTTGTGTCTGTGTGCGGGTGAGCTGACGGCATGACAAAATGCATTATTCTATTGATTTAAAGAAAACTGTCCTTAACATTTTTGTGTGTGAGTCCATCAAAGCATAGCTAGAATTATCTAGAAAGCCTACATTGTTATGGGCATCAGCACATCTGGACTTTCTGTTGTTGCAGGAGTGTGTTTTTGCAGACAGCACCAAGCTGCCTCCTTAGCTGTAAACATCTTAGGACCATGGGTCATGACTGGCAAGGAGTGTTCCTTGCTAGTTTTAAGATGGAGTTGATTTAAAATGGTGTCACTCTGGCTCTCCTAGGCTCTTTCTTGAGGAAACATAACTCCATGGAGCAAACTGGTGTAGCATCTTCTGTTCCAGTCCTTTCATAGTATTTTGAGCATTTGCATTTACCACTGGGTATGCAATGCCCAGTCCAGAGCAAGTGTCTCTTCCTGCATGGCCAATTTATAATGTCCTGGAGTGACCAGTAGTGCTGTGACAGTCTACTGCCCAGCTATGTGTGGGGCCATCCCCCTTCCCACGCCCACCCAGGGAGTCTGCTTCATATCGTCTGCAGTCTCCGTCCCTCTTATTTGAAGACAGGACAGTTGTTGCTGGCATCTTGTGCCTCAGAGGGTGTGTGTGTGGGGGGGCATATCCAGGTGCACTCCCTCCTTGCACAGCTCCAGCCCCCACGTCCACTCATTCCATGGGCCCTGGTGGCCACCTCAAGTGAGTGCACCAGGCTTTCCATTTGCTGGTTCCAATCACTTTCTGATCCTGGAAGGGGGTTTTGACAGACATTGATATGTCCTTTAATGCATCCCCTGAAATTCCCATAGTGATTTCTATGGGGCCTTACCCAATTCTTCAATAGTGCAGTTTCCATGGCCCACCTGCCTGCCCACATAGCCAGGTCATTGCCACTGCCCATGAGTCCGTAAACACCCAAACACAAGGGCTCTTACTGGTGTTCAATTCTTCCAATACCACAAGGAAAACAGGACGCACTTCCACTGACTGAACTGATTTATTCTTACCTTCTTCAATCAGTTTTTCCATCAGTTGGTCATAGGGTGGCAGCCTTCCAAACAGGATGCTACCCATCCTCCTTGGAACCGCTCTCCCTAAACCAAGCAGCTTATCCTTGGTCAATCCAGGGCTGCTCATAGGGCACCTCCCATGTGGCAATGGGATCTAGCAGTCCCTCAGGTGGTCCTAAAGTCAGCCACAGAGGAAAAGAGGCTTCTGTTTTGTGAATACAATGAATACTTTCCAGGCATCCCCTTGTAGCATGCTCCTGTGTAAACCATTTCCATTTTATTCTGGAACTCTTCTGGGAATTGCTCTCCTGATGAGAGTATTTCTCTGACATCACCCAAGACATTATGGGCATTTCAGGTTTCAAGATTGTTTCCTGTCATTCAATCACAGAGGCAGTGTCAATGAATGCCCAATAGCAAACTAGTTATTATCTCTCAAATAGTCTATGTCATATTGATGCATCTGAAATATTCTGATTCAAAATCCCTGAGTTTGCCACTGGGTGGCACTCATAGGCTTTAGCTATGAGCTCCTGCATGCAGTGTGAGTGGCAGATAATTCCGGAATTATGTCTGAGTGTGTCTCATTAGGGCTCAAGAACATCGATAGAGCTACTGCTTTTTGTTCAGGTCCCTGTTCAAATGTGGCCTCCTTCAGGTAGTGTCATGGATTGGAGCTACCAATATTCCCAGCTGTGGAATATGCATCCTTGAAAATCCAAATGTCCCAATCATGCACTGTGTTTCTTCCTTAGTTCCAGGGGTAGGCAATGACAGCAATTAGATTTTAGTTGCCTGTGGAGTGTCAAGAGTGGTTTCTGCCCATGTTATTCCTAAGAATTTCACCCTTTGGACATGTCCTTCTATTGTTGTTGGATTTATCAACGAGCCTCTGTTAGTCACGTGCATCAGCATCCTCTTTAGGTCAGTTCTAGCTTGCTTTTCAGTTTCTGATATTATTGCAATATCAATTTTTTTATGTTTTATTACACTCAAGACCTGCATCAATTTGAAATCTCTTCTAACTGAATCATAACAGTAAGCTGGTAAATTCAAACAACCCTGTAGCCGTACAATAAATGTAAATTGAGATCCTTTCTACATGAAAGGCTCTTTTCTGAGATTGAGATTGAGAAAAAAGCACCTCCAAGACCAGTCACTGAGCATAGTCTCCTTTTGCTTGCTGTATTTTTTTGCATTATTGAAACCACATTAAGAACTGCTGAAGCTATTGGCTTCACCACTTTACTTAAGGCTTGATTATCTACCGATAGTGTCCATGATCCATCTACCTTTCCACAGGCCCCACAAAGCTATAGAACAAACAATCTCTTTATAACCATTCCAGCTTCTGTTGTCAATTAAAGTGGTAAGCCCTTTCTGTCTACCAGGTGTTCTATATTGTTTCAAATTAATAACCTCTATGAGTTCTGGAAATTCTATGGATTCTCATTTAGTCTGTCCAATTTACTCAATCTAACTGTAGCCCCCATTTGGACTTTACCAACAGGTTTGAAGCCACAGTGCATTGGACTCCTGTGTCAAGGGGTCCCAGAAAAATTAGTCTCACCTTTCAGCCATTTTTCCCCACACATGTACATATGACTTTGGGTCTCCAACCAGTTGTTGGGCCAGAAGACCCTACTGCTTTGTCAATTCTCAGCCTGAGTACTGCAAAATATTGATAAGAGAAACACCAAAAACTAAAATAAATTGCCGAAAGAAAATGACAAAGGCCTAAAATAAAATATGCCATACTAAACTAAGATATACCATGTTCATGGATTAAAAATTTCAATAATGTTAAGATATTAATTCTTCCCAAATGGATCCATAGATTAAAGCACTCCCAATAAAAATACTAGCAGGCTTCACAAATTGAAAATCTGACCCTAGATTTGTATAGAAAGGAAAGGACCTTGAAGAGTTCAAACCATTTTGAAAAAAAAAAAAGAAAAACAACATTGGAGGGTATCTACTGCCTGATTTCAACACCTACTATAAAGTTACAGTAATAAAGTCAGGGTGAGATTGGCATGATGACAGATATGTAGTCCAGTGGTATAGAATATGCTATGATTCAGAAATTGATGACATATAAATGGTAAATTGATTTTTGGTAAAAGTACTAAGGTAGTTTGATGGGGAAAGATAGGCTTTTTAACAAATTATCTTGAGACAATGGAAATAAGAATAAATTAACCTGAATATTTTTGTGTGTGGGGTGTGTGTGTGCGTGCATGTGTGTGTGGTGGGAGAACTTATAATATTTGACCAAGTATCAAATTGCTATAGATTTTTCTTATTGGAATGTTCCTTTTGATACAACCTTATGAGCTATAGTGTATTAAAATACACTATTTTAAGTGTAGAGTTTTATGAATTTTATCAAATGTATAAAATTGTGTACTACTACCACAATCAAGATAGAACATTCAGTCATCCCAAAAAAGTTCATTTATGTCCATTTGCAGCAAATGATCTCTACCCACTGCTCAAGGAACTATTGATCTGCTTTTGGTCACTATAGATTTATGTTTGCCTTTTCTAAAACTTTGTGTAAGTGGAATCATACAGCATGGCTTCTTTTGCTCAACATGTTTTTGAGATTCATCCATATTGTTGGGTGCATAATTTGTTCCCTTTTTATTGTTGAATAGTATCCCCAGCATATGAATATACCACATATTTTAATCTACTTATCTGTTGATTGGTATTTGAGTTGTTTCTATATTTTGGCTATTATGAATAAAGCTGTTATGAGCATTTGTGTATGTATCTGTGTGTACAGGGATTTCTGTTGGATAAATAAATAAGGCATGCAATTTCTGGGTTATGCAGAAATTGTATTTTGAGCTTACATACAACTTTTCATGGGCTGTACCATTTTACATTCTTACCAACAATATATGAGGGTTTTAGTTGCTCTGCATCCTAACCTAGATTTAGTAATGCCATTCTTTAGCTCTTCAAGTGAATGTGCCAGGTATTTTGTTGTGATTTTAATTTCCTTTTCTCTAATTACTAACAATGTAGAGCATGTTTTCATGGGTTTATTGGCCATCCATATTTGTCAGGAATTGTGAAGAATTTGAGATTTTACCTAATTATGAGCTACCAATTAAGTCTGCCACACTTTCATGGATGCCGACAGAAGGTAGAGACAACAGAGTTTACTACTCATGATATGGGAGAATGTATAAACTTCATGCTTGCATCATTTCCCCTTGCCTATTCCCAGGTACCACAAGGATAATGTTAAGTGGTTCAGGTGGATACTGCATCAGGTGAGTTTCCATCACTGCCAAGAAATTTTGAGCTCATAAAGGGCTGTAAGACAACCTGCCTAGGTTGCACAGCATACAAACCCACCTCTATCATTGTAACATTTCTCTTTATTTCTTGAATGGCTTCTCGCTTTAAGGTAGAATCATCTGATATTGCTATAGGTGTACAAGATTTCTTTTGGTTAACTTTATGACATAGAATTTCCCCTTACTTCTGCTTCCATTTTTCCTGTGTCGTTATATTTAAGGTATGTCTTAGCCAACCTGATAATCTCAGTCTTTTAAACAGAATACTTAAATAACTTAATGTAAATGCTGACATAATTTTGTTGACATCTTTTGCCTATTTTTTAAAAGTTGGCCTCTCTTTTATACCCCTACTTTTACTTTTATCTACTTTCACTTGAATTGTTTTTTGTATTTCAATTTTTCCTTTATTAAATTTTTATATATTCTTTATTATTTTCTGGCTATCCTACAAAAGACAACATGCATTATTCTCTTATTACAATCTATTAAGATTAATTATATTTATTACCACTAAGATAATGTTAGAACTTTAAAATAGTTTAATTTCATTTCATCTTTCTCAACGTTTACAAAATTCTACATAAATCTTAAAGTATGTGTCCTTGCTCTTATTGTTCAAACAGCTAATAATTGTTTACCTACTTATTAATACTTCAATTACTCTTTACTAATTTTTATATTTTGATGGTTCCATCTGCGATCACTAGGGGGAATTCACATTTAAATAATATGGACATCATACATTTCTCTATTTAGGACTTCTTTAATTTATCTTACCAATGTTTTGCAGTTCTTAGGGTAGGCATCTTCCATACCTTTTAAAATTTTTATTTTTCCTATTTGTTTGTTGCTAATTACAGAAAAACAGTTCATTTTTGTATATCATGGCTCATGGTCTTACCAAATTTACTTACTTGATTTAATAGTTGAATTATAGATTCTCGAGTATTTTATATGTAGAAAATTGTGTTGTGAATAAACAACATTTAAATTCTTTTTTTTGGTCCAATCTCTACGCATTTTTTTCCCTTGCCCTATGCATTTGCTGAAGGCTTCAGCACAATGTTAACAACAGGTAGTAAAAGCAGATATCCTTGCCTTATTGCTGATCTTAGCGGATAAACATTCAGTTTTTCAACATCATGCGTGATGTCAGCTTTAAGTTTTTGTCAATGCTCTTTTTCTGGATTGAGACAGTTTTATTCAATTCTTCTGTTCCTATTTTCTGAAATATTTACTTTGAATGTGTGTTGAATTTTTGTCAAAGGCCTTTTTTCTTCTGAATTTATTGAGATGCTAGGGGTATGGTGTTTCTCTTTTGTTCTGTTGATATGGTAAATTATGGGTATTCTAATGGTGAATTCATGGAAGAAACCCTACTTGGTCATGATGAGATGCCCTGTTTTGTATTGCTGGATTTGTTTGCTAATATTTTCAGAGACTCTTGTGCCTATGTCTATGTTAATGAAGGCTTGGTTTGAAGTCTCCTTCTCTTGTAGCGTCTTCTTCATGTTTTGATAGCAGGGTTTTACTAGCTTCAACCATGAGCTGGAAAACAGCACCGCGTTTATTGTCTGAAACAATTTCTGTAAGATTGGTGTTATTTGTCATTAAATTTTTTGTTAACAATTTCAATGAAACCACATGGTCCTGGCATTTTCTTGGTAAGAAGGTTTTGTTTACAAATTCCATGTATTTAATAGATGCATGGCTGTTTCAGGTTTTCTATTCTGCTTGTTTCCGTTTTGATTAGGTACATTTTTAAAATATTTGGACTTTTCATTGAAGTTTTTGAATTTCGGTTGGGCCTGGTGGCACGCACCTGTAGTCCCAGCTACTCAGGAGGCTGAGGCAGGAGGATTGCTTGAGCCCAGGAGTTCAAAGTGGCAGTGAGTAATGATTGCGCCACTGCAGCCTAGGTGAGAGAGTGAGACACTGTCTCTATCTTAAAAATAATATGTTGTTGAATTTATTGGCATACTATTATTACAATTCCAGTCATCTTCAATATTGGCAGCCTTTGACACAGACAAAAAAGGCCATTTTAATTTTTCTCACTTTTTATAACTACCTAAATCAAAAAAACCCATTAATGATTTTTGCAACATCTAGAAATCCTGCTGCAAATAAAAGTAATGCCATTGTCAATTATGAGCTCAGAAGCTAGAAAGTAAACATTACATCAGAAAGGCAAATCATAGTATGAGGTCTTCAGCTCTAATTGGAATGACTATTAACTACTTGCAACAGAGTCACCTCTGAGGTGGAGAGAAATATTTGGTGTCTTGGAGAAGAGTCGCTCATGAGAAAAATATCATATATTCTACCTTGGAAAGGAAAGGAGTCCAACTGCAACTAAGACATTGAAGAATAGGAATTTGCTGGAAGGTTTGTGGAACGGCAGGCAGAGCAGGTGACCAACTGGTCTCAAGGGTACCTGGGCGCAAGGCTCAAGGGATGTTCGAATTTCATACAGTCTGTTAATCAGTTGGCCTTTTTTGTCCCGGATGATCTTTCTTTGTACAGCAAGAAAGTTGCCAACAGTTTCCATGCTTCGTTTATCCTACTTCACCTCCTCGGGGGGTTGCTCGTCTGGTTATGAGCTTCAAAAAATCTCAAGGAAGTCCTCTAGGCCCCACTTGCTGTTAGGTACCTTCTTCTGGCAAAACACAAGTGACAAAGATTCCAAACGTGTCAGAAGATGGCAGCATCCATTCAAACCACACAGTGTTGCGGGAGGGCATTTTTCAGAAAGGTAAGGCATTCCATGCAGGCAAAAATATGGATAAGCACCACAAAATGTCTGAGCTGATTTGCTTTCCACTAACTTTCCTTTCTGCTAGCTTTCTGAAATAACCTTTTGCTAAACTTAAATGTTCCTTGGATCTCTGTTAGGTTCCTGCTCTCAGAAGAAGAGAGAATTCTATTGGAACAGCTTTCCTTCTAAGCAATGCAATAGCAATATTAACCACAAGGATTACTTTAGTTTGTCTATTTAGTCTTTGAGTTTTAGAGCTAATTATAGGATGAAAATTATTTTGACTGGTCAACCTGTGTTGGGCTGAGAATTTCACAGTCAAGCATTTTTGGAAAATTCTTCCGCTTTGCTTGGCCTACATCCCCCATTCTTCCTGGGAAAGGGAAAATGCTAATTTAATACTTTTCAGCCTTTGCCATGGATATTTGAGGAGAAAGATGCTTGTTCCTATCTATTAGAGCTCAGGAAACCACTAAGGAAATGAGACAGATCTCTTTGAATTCAGCACAGAGTAGTTGAGTCAACAGCACTCAACTTCATTGTTTCAAAACAATTTGCCTCTTTTAAGCAAAGTTACGTATTTTAAAATTTAAAAATAAAGTTAACTCTTTTGTGTAGAGTATTTACTCAATTTACACTTAATACAATAAATGACATGTCCTAAGATTCCCATTTTAATGTCTTTCTATTTCCTTTGTTCATTGTTTCTGTTTCTCTTTTACTCTCCTCTTTTGGATAAATTATGCACCTCTAAAATGTTCTGCTTTATATTCCATGTTGATATTTTAGCTACATTTCTTTTGTTAGTGTGGTAGACAGAATAATATTCCCCTAATGATGTCCACATTTTAATCTCCAGAATCTGCTAATGTTACCCTACATGGCAAAAAGACTTTGCAGATGTGATTAAGACAAGGATCCTTAGATAGGAAAACTACCCTGGGTTATCTTCGTGGGTTCAATGTGATCGCAGAGTCCTTAAAATATGGAAGAGGAAGGCAAGAGTCACAGAAGGAGATATAATGGTGGAAACCCAAGCCAGTGTGATGCAGCCAAGAGCCAAGATATGTGGGCAGCTTCTGGACACAGGAAAATTCAGACTCTTCTGAATTGACTCCAGAAGAAATGCAGCTCTTTTCACACCTTGATTTTAGTTCCATAAGACCCACTTTAGACTATGACCTCTAGAATTGTAAGATAATAGAGTTTGTTACAGCAACAATAGGAAGTTAATACAGTTAGTTTCAGGGGTTATTCTAGAAGTTGAAATATGTACCTTTAACATATTACAGTCTATCTTCAATTAATACTATGCTATAAGATGAACTATATGGAAATGTTACATTTGTATAATTTCATGTACTCCCCTCCTGAACTTTTTGTTTGTTTGTTTTTTGCTTTCTAAAAAAAATTATTTTGCCTTTGCTCATATGTTCATTCTTACCCTTTCAAGTCCTGTTTATTCCTTCATTGAAGATTCAGGGCTCCAATTAATATCATCTTCTTTACGCTGGGAGATTTTCCTTTAGAATTTCTCTTAGTGCAGGCCTGAAGGTTCCAAATGATCTCAGCTTCTCTGTGCCTGATAATGTCTTCATTTAGCATTCATTTTGAAGAATATTTTTGCTGGGCATAGAATTCTATGCTGACAGTGTTTTCCTTTCAATACCTTAAAAATGTTGTTCCATTGTTAGCCTCCATTGTGTACAAGGAAAAGTCAGATGCCATTTTTCATGTTATACCAGTGTTATGTTAGGTTATTCCAGTGTTATATTAGGTTATTCCAGTGTTATGTAATTTTTCTTTTGGCAGTTTGAATATGTTATTCCACTACCTTCTGGCTTCATCATTTCTGATGATGTTAAGCATTAATCTGATTGAGTATTAGATATATGAGGAGCCATTTTTTGCCTTGCTGCTTTCTCTTATTGTCTTGGGCTTTTGAAAGTTTGACTATGATATGTTTAGGAGTGGATCCCTTTGGATTTATTGTAATTGAAATTCATTAAGCTTCTTCTATTTATAGATTAATGTTTTTCATCAAGTTTGGGATGTTTTCCACCATTATTTATTCAAATCCTTTTTATGCTTAATTTGCTCCTCTCCTTCTGGGACTCCTAGTAAGTATGGGTTGGTACACTTGATGGTATCCTGTAAGTCTCTGATGCTTTGATTATTTTTAAGCATTCTACAGTCTTTCTGTTTCTTACTCTGAATAATCTCTATTGACCTATCTACAAGTCTGCTGATTCTTTTTTCTATAGTTGAGCACCTCTAGTAAATTCTTTTATTTCAGTTATAGTACTTTTTGTCCCAAAAATTTCTATTTGGGGATATACGTATATATATATATATCTTTATATATATATATATGTATATTATATATAATAATATGATGGGTAATTTCTATCTCTGTATTGGTATTTTCCATTTGATAAGACATCATTGTACATACTTTCCTTGAATTATTTAAACATGATTTTCCTCAGTTCTTTGAACATGTTTGCAGTGGCTGATTTCATGTGTTTGTCTAATAAGTTTTAGACAAACCACCATCTAAGTACCATTAAGAACAGTTTTAAGTGACAGCTTTATTTTTCTGTGTGAGACATACTATCCTGTTTCTTTGTGTCTCATCATTTTTCATTGATAAATTGACATTTTAAATAATATAATGTGACAACTCTGGTATAAGCCCACCCTTGGTTTGTTGTAGGTGGTTTTGTTGCTGTTTGTTTGTTTGATGACCTTCCTCAGATTATTCTGTAGAGTCTGTTTTCTCTACAGTTTATGGCCACTGAAGCCTCTGGGTATTTTTTAAATTTTGGTTTTTATTTTTAAGCTTGGCTTTCTAAGAGTCACCCTTGACTCACCTTGACTTAATTGTCAGTCAATGTTCATTTAGATTTTCTTAAATGCCATCAGCCAGTAAGTCTTCCACCCTTTCCTAAGGGTATCTGTGTGTGTTAGAGTCACTCCTTCAAATCTGTCTTAACCTTTACTTTCTGCTTGTACAGGGCCTCAAGGTCAGCCAGAGGTGACTGACTGGGCTCCTCTAGTCTTTCCTGGGCAGGCATGCAGACATATGCTTGTATGCAGACTTCTGGATCCCCAGGAATACATAGGAGCTTTTCAAAGCCTCTGGATATCTTACACCCCATGTCTTTCTTTTACATTTTTAGTTGAGTTCTTATTTGCCCTAGAAATAATGATATTGCAGCATTAGGCAATTGCAAAGGTAAACAATTGCTGCTGACTCTTCAACAATGCCCTAGGGGTATAACTGAGCTCTCTGGGTCAGATCCAATAGCCATGACATAAATACGGATTTCTTGGGGAACTGCAGGTCACAGTGACAATGCTCTAGGGTTGTCTTCTTGAGAAGTTTCAAAACCAGCCTTTCCCTTTTGGTGGCTGCAAGGCAGCTGGTTTTCCAGGCTACCACACCATGTTGGTGGGAAAGATGAGATGAGAGATATCAAGTTAAAATGCCATAGCCCTTGCTATTCTAACCAAGTTTCAGTCATTTTTCTTTTGTAAACACTTTTCAGAGCGTCATGAACTTTGGCTAATTTCTGGAATTTTGAAAAAGTTGACTTTGATAATTTTGCCAGTATTCTTGTTACTTTAATGGAGGAATTTTTTTTTTTTTTTTTTTTTTTTTTGAGACAAGTCTGTCTCTGTCCCACAGGCTGGAGTGCAGTGGCGCAATCTTGGCTCACTGAAACCTCTACCTCCTGGATTCAAGCAATTCTCCTGCCTCAGCCTCCCGAGTAGCTGGGATTGCAGGCATTTGTCACCATGCCCAGCTAATTTTTTTTGTATATTTTGTAGAGATGGGGGTTTCACCAAGTTGGCCAGGCCAGACTCCTGACCTCAAGTGATCTGCCCCCCTCGGCCTCCCAAAGTGCTGGGATTACAGGCATGAACCACTGCACCTGGCCTGGAGGATCAGATTTATAGAAACCCTCATGC
Organism: Homo sapiens; assembly: GCF_000001405.40. Lineage (NCBI taxonomy): Eukaryota > Metazoa > Chordata > Mammalia > Primates > Hominidae > Homo > Homo sapiens. The sequence goes on from NC_000002.12 coordinate 240,070,715, forward strand.
CACCATTTTGGAAGTCCGGCCTCTGAATTCATTATTCACTGCTGTGTTTCTTGAACATTTATTTTTCTTAAATTGATGTTTTATCCCAAGTCAAGCATCATTTGGTCAAATTTCTAGTAATTTTAAAAAATGGATTCACGAAAGGTAAACTTTCCAACAGCTTCTATATTCCAAGATAAACACGGAATATGATTTAAAACTTCAAAAAAAGAATTATCAGTGGCCAAAAAATGTAAGAAAATATGATTGACATCACTTAAAATTAAGTGAATACGGTTTGACAAATAACATTGAAGTATTATTTTTTCTTCGGGCCTGTCAGAGTAGCTGAAATTCAAAAATACTAATTAAATTTAATCATCACAGGTTGTGGGGAAATAGGCCAACTCAGCACTTTGAAGTGTTAATTAGCATTTCATGTTTGGAGGATAATTTATCAGCCCTTGTAAAAGGAACCTACCTTCTGACACTCTTCATCTATTATTATGAATCTCGCCTCCAAAAATCATTGTTCTGGTGCAGACAGACTTTTGTTGCAGTCCCTTAGGAAACAATGGAAATATAAGAAACAAATTATAAATATATAAGAAACAACTTATAAATCTTTCAGTAGGGGCCGGGCATGGAGGCTCAGGCCTAGAATCCCAGCACTTTGGGGGGCCAAGGCAGGCAGATCACCTGAGGTCAGGAGTTCGAGACCAGCCTGGCCAACATGGTGAAACCCCATCTCTACTAAAAATACAAAAATTAGCCGGGCATAGTGATGTGCACCTGTAATCCCAGCTACTCGGGAGGCCGAGGCAGGAGAATCACTTGAACCCGGGAGGCAGAGGTTGCAGTGAACTGAGATCGGGCCACTGCACTCCAGCCTGGGTGACAGAGTGAGACCCTGCCAAAAAAAAAAAAAAAAATCTTTCAATAGGACATTGGTTAAATAAAGCATGTAAACTGTAGTCCACCCATATAGAGAAAAACTGTGACTCTGTCAGAAAAAGAGAGGGAGAAAATAACAGACAGACACAGAGATAGGCACCCAGAAATATATAATCTGGAGGAATATGCAACAAAGCGTTTAGAACATATAAATAAAACATGGAAAATGGGTTTGGGTATTTATGGGGAATTGTCATAATAGCTGTAGCTGTCTGTTAGTTCATATTTTTTAAAACAATAAGTTTATCGATTCAGCTATCTTATTTCTTGGAAACACAGTCACATGGAAAGAAGTCTATAAATTTATAAGAATAAGAAATGAGACACTGAAGCCCCCTCTTACTTTCCAATCTCCCTTTTCCTTCCCCATTATCCTTGGCAGAAGTAAGTGATGTAAATAGACTTACATCACCCAGTTATTTGCCTTTGCATTTATATACATTGATTTTCACATGGATATGTATTGAATATTTTTAACATGAATGAAGTTATCCTACATATGCTAAAACTTGTGTTATTGTTTTCGCTTTTCTTTTCTTTTCTTTGAGTTAGGTTCTCACTCTGTTGTCCAGGCCGAAGGGCAGTGGCATGATCACAGCTCACTGCAGCCTCAACCTCCTGGGCTCAAGCGATCCTCCCACCTCATTCTCCCAAGTAGCTGGGTCTACAGGTGTGCACCACCATGCCCGGCTAATTTTCGTATGTTTTGTAGAGGTGGGGTTTTGCCGTGTTGCTCAGGCTGGTCTCGAACTCCTAAGCTCAAGCAATCTGCCCACCTCGGCTTCCCAAAGTGCTGAGATTACAGGCATGAGCCACTGTGCTGGGCCTTGTTTCCACTTTTAAATGTCTTAATGATGCAGGTTATGACTGGAAATAAGTTAGATATTATAAGAGAAAGAAAAAGATGTTTTTAAGAATTTCAGATGTTTGGCTTGAGTGATGAATGGAAGATCCAGAAATGAAATAAAGAAGAGATTGGGAAGGAAAGATTAAGAGAGGATTTTTTTGGATAGGTCCATTATGAGAGATCTCTGAGATAACCAAGTGAAGATGACATTCTTATCAAAAACCAGGTGCCAGCGATCCTTTTAATGTTTGACAAACTTATGAACAAAACATAACTATTTCGGGTTTTATTTTCCCCAATCATTGAAATTTAATGTCTCTTCATTGAGGTTGAGCATATTTAACCTCATAGTTTACTTTGTTCATGGAAAATTGATGTTTATCATTGAGACTTACAATCTTTTCATGTTGATCGTTCATTTGTATTTCCTCTCCTATATTTGTGCGTTTCTAACCTTTGTCCATCTCCAGTTAGTTTTGTTTTGTTTTGTTTTTTTGAGATGGAGTCCAGTCTGTCCATCTCAATGGACAGACGGGGTTTCACGGTGTTGGCCAGGATGGTCTCGATCTCCTGACCTCATAATCCACCTGCCTCGGCCTCCCAAAGTGCTGGAATTACAGGTGTGAGCCACCACGCCTGGCCTTCCAGTTAGTTTTTTAAAAATCTTTTTCTTATTGATGTGTAAGAATTCTCAATATATCCCAATAATTATTTTTCACTCGCCTAGCATGTTTTGGATATTGTTTCCAGGTTTTTCTATTTATCTACCAACTTCATCTGTAGTGTCCTTCATTATAGAGAAGCTTAAATTTTTTTTATTTCCTCTAAGATTTGTAGCTTTATAAAAAAAACTTCTCTACTCCAAGACCACAAAAATATTCTTCTATTTATTTGTATTACTTTTATATTTTGATTTCAATCCATCTGGAGTTTATTCTTTGTATTATTTGAGGTAGGATTCTCACTTTTCCCCCAAGTAAAAAGCCTATTGCCCCAAACTCCACTGGTCTGAAATCCCATGTTTACAAACATCTGTTTTGGACTCTAGAGGTTGTTCTACTGATCTGTTTGTCTATTTCTCCACTAACAATTTAGTTTCAATTAACATATCTGACTTATTTAGGATGTTTTTGGCTGAAAGCAACCAATATTTGACTAAAAGTGGTTTAAAATTAATAGTGCTATTACCATGCATAACAAGCCCAGGACTGGTTGGTCTGAAGGTTGTTTCAAGTGCTCAGAGGTGCAGGTTTTTTCTTCCTCCTCCTCGCCCCTCCTCAGAGTGTTGACTTTCATGCTCAGGGTGGTTGACTCATGGCATGAAGATGGCTACCGTAGCTCCAGACATCATACCTTGCTCCCACAAAGCCACAGACAGAAAGGAAGGGCACATGGAGAAAAGTCCTGTTACTTATGGTTCAAGTAGCTGTGAGTGATGGAAAACCCAAACAACAGTGGCTTAAATAAAAGAAAGGGTCATTTTTTTTGAGACGGAGTCTCAATCTGTTGCCCAGGCTGGAGTGCAGTGGTGCAATCTGGGTCACTGCAACCTCCGCCTCCTGGGTTCAAGCGATTCTCTTGCCTCAGCCTCCCGAGTAGCTGGGACGTGACACCACGCCCAGCTAGTTTTTGTATTTTTAGTAGAGATGGGGTTTCATCATGTTGGCCAGAATCATCTCAATCTCTTGACCTCATGATCTGCCCGCCTCGGCTTCCCAAGTGCTGGAATTACAGGTGTGAGCCACCACGCCCGGCCAGGGTCGTTTATTTTTATGTGAAGTTCCTGGCAGGTGGTGCAGCACTGGTGCATGATGGTAACTCACATTCCTTCTGCCTTTTTGCTCCACCAATGTTGAACTTGAAGTCCTGGCTCCACATGGTGACATCTGCCTAATAAATAGCAGGCTAAAGGAAGAGAAAAATGAGAGGGCAGCAGACATATCGTGCTGTGTCTTTGGAAGGTTCTGGGACGCTGTTGTGTGACACTTTGGCTATACTACTTTAACTGCAACTTGGTTACATGACCACAGTGTTTTGCAGGAGGATGAAAGCTCCTGTCTTTATTCTGGGTGAATATGCAACAGCTATCAACAAGGATTCTATTACAACATCACACAAGGAAATCAGTGTTAAAGGACAGCCATTAATCTCTTCTACAGAGTCTATCTTGCCCTACTGTCGCTTTTGATCAGGAGGAAAGTATTTCCCAGATGATTTCCAAATGATGAATCACAACTGCATCAAATATGGATACTGCAGCTGCAAGGGGGACCGAGCGCTGGCATCTGCATGTCTGGTCTCTGTCATGGAAGGGTGGCGATGCTAATCGCCTGATAACAGACCAAATGGTTGACTTTCTAGGAAGCCAACAGCACCAGAAATCACTACTTTTGTAATAAATGTCAACATCTGGTTGAAAAAAAATCCCACCTCATTGTTCTTTTTCAAACTTTTGTCATTTTTGCACCTTTTCTCTTTATGATTGACATTGGAATTTATGTGGCTTGTAAAATGCATGCAGCTTGTAAAATTTTAGTTTGTCTAGGCTTCATTTTATGATGGGATTGGACTAAGTGAACTTCTGAATATTTCCAGGTTCTCTGATTCTAGTCCCATGAGATATTGAGCTATGTGGACCCCAGTGTTTTGATGGCTTAGACAAAGGAGGAGCTTTGCATGGGGATGGGTTGCTCATCTGGGCCTATGGATGGTGAGGCCTGCCTTTGCAGATGCGGGTGGTTTGGCAACTTGAATCCCTTAGAAGATGCAGCTGGCCAAGCTATCTCACTAGAGGCTGGGGCCAAAAGCCCAGGATCCTTATGATCTGCTGTCTGACTGCATGTGCTTACTGAGCCGGCTGCCAGCCAGGCCCAGCTCATTAGGATCTTCATGTTGTCTAGGCTGAGGTCTCCAGGGTTTACTTCCCTCTCCTTTCTGTCTCAGAATCCAGATTCCCTAAGGGCCTTTCTTTGGCCAAACTCTACCCACGTTTGATTAGCTCATTAGAAACTCCTTAATGAGGCAAGAGTTTCAAGCTTGTTAGTTTGCCTGTTAGTCTGCACAGAGTTAGTCTGAAGGTAGAACCCCGGGGGAGTATGTTACTTTCAGGTTGCAAAAAACAAGCACTGGGATTCTTAGTAAACAGTTCAAAGTGATGGCTGACTCACTTCTTATAGGACTAGAATAGAGACAGATAGCAAAGGACAGCTTTAATTCATTTGAAAGGTAATAAAAAATTCATAATAAATATCAAAATACTTGGCTGACATAAGTGTCATTGATTATGTCATTATACAAATTAAAGCCGTATTGTATCAAGATGGCTGAATACGCATATTTTCTTTTCTCTCTCCCACACCAGATCCCAGTAGATAATACAAAAGATAGTTTCTGAATGTAATAAATCCATAATCATTTGGAAAATCAAGAAAAAATGTCATCAGCAAGAAGGCATTTTGAAGAATTCTTCAGAAAGGAAAAAAAATCTGTAGAGTAAGCGATACAGTACAAAGCCCCAAATATATACAGAAGATTGCTAAGGGGTGGGCATGGCGGGGCTGTATGAACAGATGCAGGACACAGGAAGAGACTCTGGGCCATCCACCAGGTGATGCTCTTGGGAGCTACTTTTGGACCAATCTGGATCAGTCAGCTCTTCCCCAGTTTTCTCATAGGGTATAAGAAGGTGCCTATCCACAGGTTTAAAGAGTGGTGCTTTGCAGGAACTGGAGACAGAGAAAGGTATGTCCCCAGATGTGTGCACAGACATCACAAGACAAGATTCTGGCCCATCCCCTTTATCAAATAAACAATGAGACAGTTGTACATGGTGTATTCCAGAAAAGTAAATGTTTTCAAGAAAGATGAAGACAGGTAAAAGAGATCATGGTGAAAAACAAGAAAGTAAAATATATTTTAAGCCTCATGACTTTTGATACAGAATGTAATACAATGTTTATATTTTTAAATCTAAGCTGCTGAAGGATGTTAATATTAGGGTGGTGGTCTAAGGGGAAGATCATGTTAATGTTCTGGGTTTCTTGAGGAATGGAGATTCTGATTCACTCCAGACATCAATACAAAGTATATATTTAACATATATATTAAAAATGTAAGAGTAACTACTGGAAAAATAGAAATAAATGTGTAATATACAAATATTGAGAATAAAAAGTGGAAGAAAAGACTCAATGATTTGTACAAAAATTAGTAAGAAAAGAAGTAAGATGGCCAACACAAAATACAAGAAAATATATGAGTTATAAGTTTAAAAATATCAAAAGCCCAACAAAGATAAATGTAGTAAATTAGCCTATTCAGAGGAAATGGCTCCCAGAATGGTAAAACAAACAAACAACTACTTGTTTTTTGATGAGATATATTTAAAACAAAATGACACAGAAAGTTCAAAAAGAAAAGAATGGAAAATGATAAAACGAGAATTCTGTTCCTAGCAATGGAAGGGAAAAACTACACAAATCCTCTTGATGAAATATGAAATATTTAAAAATATTTTTACATTGTTTAAAATAATTAGTGACTAGGATAGTAATGATTAGGGGACTGAGATAGAAATGTAGATTAAACCAAGATAGGTGAGAATAAAATGTATTGGGGCTTTTTCCTTTGTGAAAATTGGCAACGGCTAAAGTTGCTACTGAGATGCTGAAAAGTAACTAGCATTCATGGGTTTAGTGGACAAAAATTGGCACCTAATAGAGGGGTATTTGAAGAGCAATATCCTAGAAGTAGCAGTAAACTAAAAGCAGACTAGATTTCACAAGGTTTCACACTATCTCCCAAATTCAAATCTCATCAATTTCTGATTGAATTAGTGTGGTCAGAGATTGCTTGTCTGGATGGTGATATCATCCAGAGCCTGAAATTATCCACACATTTTAAGATATACAATATTTGGTATGTAATCAAAAGTAACCAGTCTCACAGAAAAATAACAAAAAACAAGGAGAAACAGTAACCATTAGGAGCAGATTCACAGAATCCATCAGACATGTACTTCAAAATAAGTATGATTAGTATGTTTCAGGAATTAAAAAATAAAATAATTGTAATTAAGAACTCAATGAATCATTTTAACAACAGATTAGATGTAGCTGCAGAGAGAATTAGTTAACTGGAATATAGATCAAAAGAAAATATCCACACTTAAGCATGAAGAGACAAAAGAATTTAAAAATGCTGAAAAAGTAGAAAAGATATAGGGAATAATATGGTAATAAGGCTGAACATATGTAAGAGTGCAGTCCTTGAGTGCAGGAGTGAGAGAATGAGCTGGAAGCAATGTTTGAAAAAATAATAGGTGAGAGTTTTCCAAAATTGATGAAACCTCAAGTAAGAGATTTATTACCAAAAAATGATAGTTGGATATGTCAGTTAAGATTATGAAAACCAAATTTTTATGGAAAATCTAAAAAGTGCAACAGAAAAAAATTCATATCTTCTTATGAAAGACAACTATCTCTTTCAATGACATTCCATCTCAAGAAATTAGTAAAAGGGCAAATGTAACCCAAAGAATGTAGAAAGGAAGAAATAATTATGAGTATAATAAAATAAGAAATAAACACACAATATAGAGGATCAACCAAGTTAAAATTTATTCTTTTTAAAGGTTAATGAGAGTGATAAACACATGGCCAGGTGGATTAAGCAAAAAGAAAACAGCATCAGTGACCAACGTCAGGAATGAAACAGGGCATCACACAGAGACTACATATATTAAAACAGTGGTGAGAGGATGTTATGAGCAACATCAGATCAACCAAAAATTTAGATGCAAAGGACAAATATTTCTACAGCAATGCAACCTTAACAAAGCCAACATAAGATGAAATTAAAAAGCTCAGTGATTATACAGAAAGCAAAGACCCTGAATTCACAATTATAAATTTTGCATGTGTATTAATTCCAGACCCAGAAAACTCTGCCAATGAGTTTCCTGAACTTTTAAGAAAGAAACATGACCACGGCATTCCCAAGATTAGAAATAGAAAGAACGCTAATGAATTCATTTTATAAGGCCAGCATTATCTTGATTTCTGAATCTGACAAAGACATTATAGAATTGCAGGCCCTCGTCTCTCATGAATACAGATGGAAAATTTTTCAAATAAACAAACAAAAAAAATCTCTTATGCTTTGGGAGGCTGAGATGAAAGGATCACGTGAGCCTAGAGGTTTGAGACTAGCCTAGGCAATATTGGGAGACCCTGTCTCTCTCTCTCAAAAAAAAAAAAAAAAAAAGCTGGGCATGGTGGCACACATCTGTGTCTCAGCTATTTGGCAGGCTGAGGATCACTTGAGCCTGGGAGGTTGAGGCTGCAATGAACTGTGACTGCACCACTGCATTCCAGCCTGGGTGACAGAGCAAGACCCAGTCTCAAAAAAGAAACAAAGAAAGGAAAAAAACAAAAGTCTTAAAAGTCTACCCTGCGTGTGTGTGTGTGTGTGTGTGTGTGTGTACTTACATGCACACATATACATATAGACAAATATCATATATTACAACCAACTTGTGTTTACATCAGAAATGCAAGGTTGTTAAATACTTAAAAATCAATTTTTGTACCTTAAATTATCAGCAGAATGAAAAAAGAAAATACATATGATCATCTCAATAGCTGCAGTAAAAGTATCTGGGGAAATTCAACATTCATTTTGAAAAAAACTCTTGGCAAACCAGGAATAGGAGTTTTCCAAAACTTCTACTTTGAAATATTGAAAGTATTTTCCTTAAAATTGAAAACAAGTCAAGGATGCAACACCTTCTATTGCCATGTAAATGCAACATTGTGTTGGAGTTCCCAGCAAGTGCACTAAGTTAAAAACTAACTAAAATGTAAATTAAAGGCCCAGGGATAGCAAAAATAGGACTCAGAAAATAATCAAAATGACCATTATTTGCAGACAATATGATCATGTTCATAGATTAGAAAAAAGTAATATATTAAAATATAATATTTTATTTTATTTGTATTTCTGTTTTTTATTATACTCTAAGTTCTGGAATAGATGTGCAGAACATGCAGGTTTGTTACATAGGTATACACGTGCCATGGTGGTTTGCTGCATCCATCAACCCATCATCTACATTAGGTATTTCTCCTAATTCTATCCCTCCCAGAGTCCCCCACCCCCCAAGAGGCCCACACACACAGTGGGTGATGTTCCCCTCCTTATGTCCATGTGTTCTCATTGTTCAACTCCCACTTATGAGTGGGAACATGTGGTGTTTGGTTTACTGTTCCTGTGTTAGTTTGCTGAGTGATGGTTTCCAGCTTCATTCATGTCCCTGCAAAGGACACGAACTCATCCTTTTTTATGGCTGCATAGTATACCATGGTGTATATGTGCCACATTTTCTTTAACCAGTCTATCATTGATGGGCATTTGGGTAGGTTCCAAGTCTTTGCTATTGTGAACAGTGCTGCAATAAACATACGTGTACATGTGTCTTTATAGTAGAATGATTTATAATATTTTGGGTATATACCCAGTAATGGGATTGCTAGCTCATTATGGTGGGTGTGACGTTTGTGGTCCTCATCTCCTGTGGCTACACCCCAGCTACTATCCTGAGGATGTACTCCGCAGTTAGGGGATGCAAAATCTTCTCTACCTGTGGTTCTCACATTACTACAGTGCCTCTCTTTCCCGGGACTGTGTTTGTCATGTATGCCCAGCTGGGGCCTGTGGAGTCCATGGAGCAGGGCAAGGCAATCTCCATCTTCTACACCCTGCTCATCCCAACACTCAACCCCTCATGTACAGTCTGCGAAAAACGATGTGAAAATAGCCCTGAAGAGGTTGGGCCAGAAACACACAGCCATGTGAAGGAGAGTAGCGGAGAGGGACAGGGCACCCTGAGGACCCAGCAGAGGGACAGCGTTTTGTTGTGAATGTGGGTCGGGAAGGTGATTTCTTTCTCCCTTCATTAAATCAACATTTATTTAAAGCACACTGTGTTCTAGGCATTTTCCAAAGGCTTGGGAAAGATGCATATGGCAATGTCTTTGTCCTCTGATAATTAATAGCCTAATAGAGCGAAAATAATTAATTGTATTGTATTGTTTATAACATATGAAGACATAAATATGTGACAATAATAGCAAAAAGTCTGGAAGAGAATCTAATATAATCTGACAGTAGTCTTTGATACATTAAAGATATTTACATTGTAAACTCCAGAGCAATCACCAAAAGCTAAAACAAAGTGGTATTGATAACCCAGTAGGGTATATGAAATAAGTTTTAAAGAAATTATCAATCCAAAAAAAATAACAGGAGGCCGGGCATGGTGGCTCACGCCTGTAATCCCAGCACTTTGGGAGGTCGAGGCGGGCAGATCACGAGGTCAGGAGATCGAGACCATCCTGGCTAACACAGTGAAACCCCGTCCCTACTAAAAATACAAAAAAAAAAAAATTAGCTAGGCATGGTTGCAGGCACCTGTAGTCCCAGCTATTCAGGAGGCTGAGGCAGGAGAATGGTGTGAACCTGGGAGGCGGAGCTTGCAGTGAGCCGAGATAGTGCCACTGCACTCCAGCCTGGGCGACAGAGTGAGACTCCGTCTCAAAAAAATAAAAATAAAAATAAAATAATAAAATGAAATAAATAACAGGAAAGGGGGAAAATCAGATGGATAAATAGTAACAAATGGTAAGACGGTTGATTTAAATTAAAACATATTGACAACTACACTAAGTACATATATAGAAACACTAAGAATTAAAAGGCAGAGATTATTAGAATGGATAAATAAAGTAATATCAAATGGTATGCCATTCAAAAAATCTGCTTTAAATGCAAAGACACATAGTGGCTAAAAGTAAAAGGACAGACAAGTGTACCATGCAAGTGACAATAAAAACAACACATGAAGTGGGTACATTAGTATTAGAATGTCAAACGGAGAATATTACCCAGGATAGAGAGGGAATGTTATAACCACTTAGGCCAATTTTTCCAGAGGACATCACAAATTAAATATGTATACATCTAATAACAGAATGTCCTAATACATGAATACATATAGAACTGAAAGGAAAAATAAGCAAATCTTCCATTACAGTTGGAGACATCAACAATCTCTATCTCAGAATTCAAGAAGACAAATACACAGTAAATCAGCAAGGATATAGAAAACTTGAATGACATTATAAACCAACCCAACATTTATAAAACATTCTACCCACAATACTAGAATACAAAATTTTTTAAAGTACATATGAAACAGTCACCAAGACAGGGTATATTCTGGGTCAAAAAATGTTTAAATACAACTTAAAAGATTGAAATCATACAAAACATGATCTCAGATACAATAAAATTACATGAGAAGTCACACAAAAGTAGTTTTAGAAGTCACAAATATTTGGAAATTAACACACTTGTCAAAAGACATTAAAGAAGAAATTCAGGAAATTTCATATTAAAGAAAATGAAAATCTAAGAATTCAAATATGTAGAATTCTGCTAAGAAGTGCTATGAGAGAGTAAATTGTTATGCCCTCCCCAAATCCATATGCAGAAGTCCTAATCCCCAGTGTGATGGTACGTGGAGATGGGGCCTTTGGGAGACAATGATGGTTGGATTAGGTCATGGGGGTTGATCCTTCATGTTGGGATTAGTGGCTTTACAAGAAGAGGAAGAGAGACCCTCACCCCCAATTCCCAGAGTACATGCATTAAGGAAAGGCCTTTTGAGCACAGAACCAGATGGCAGCTGACTGAAGCCGGGAAGAAAGCCCTTACCAGAAACCAAACATGCTGGACCTTGACCTTGAACTTCTCAGCTTCCAGAACTATAAGAAATACATTTCTGTTTTTGGAGCCACTCAGTCTATGATAATGTATTTATAGGCAGCCTCTCCAGGCTAATACCACTTCTTAGAGGAAAATTTATAGCATTAAATGCTTATATGAGAGAAGAGTAGAAACACCTCAGATGAATGACTTAAGCTTTCACTTTAAGAAACAAACAATAATTTTAAAAGAGCAAAAGAAATACAAAATAAGCAGGATTAAGAAAATAACAAATATAAAAGAGAACACATAAAACAGAAAACAAAATTTTAATTGTTGAAACCAGAAACTGTTTCTTTGAAGAAGATCAATAAGTCAATAAGCCTCTAAGGATATTGATTACAAAAAAATTTAAAAACATAAAATATCCATGTTAGGAATAAAAAAGGAAACATAATTAAGAATCCTACAGTCATTAATGGATAACAAGGGAATACTTCAAACAGTTCTATACTTATAAGTTTGAAAACTTAGATGAAATAGACAATTTCTTTGAAAAGACTCAAACTACCAAACCTAACTCAAGAATAATATAAGTATTAATAACCTGAATAGTCTTATATCTATTAAATAAATTGAGTTCATAGTTTAAGACCTTCCCATATTAAAACTTTAGGCCCAGATAGATTCTCTTGTAAATTCTGCCAAACATCTAAGGAAGAAATAATGCCAGTTCCACATACATGCTCCCAGAAAATTGGAAAGGAGAGAACATTTTGCTAATCATTTTTTTATGTCAGCATTACCCCACTTGTAAAACTAGAAAACCACATTATATAAAAGGAAAACTGCAGAGTAATATTCCTCAACAACACAGATTAAAATATCCTTAACATAATTTTAGCAAATCAAACCCAGCAATGTATCAAAATGATAACATACCATAATCAGGTAGAAATTATCCCAGGAATGCAAAATGGGTCTAACATTCAGTGCAATCAACCACATTTTAAAAGATTTAAAAAGTAAAGCCTATGATCATCTCAAAAAGTGCAGAAAAAGGAATTAACAAAATCCAAAATTCGTTTACAATTAAAAACTCTCGGGCAACTATAAATAGAAGAAAACTTCCTCAATCTAAGAGACGTTTATTGAAATATCTAGCTAACATCATACTTAATGGTGAAAGACTGAATGTTTCCTCCTCAACATGAGAAGCAAGAGTAGGGTGTCTTATCTAATTACTTCTAGCAAACATTGTTCTAGATGTCCTGCCCAGTGCAATGACATAAGAAAAATAGAGGCATACAAATTGGAAAGTAAACATACAAATTGGATAGTAAAATACAAATTGAATAGGCATACAAATTGAAAAATACAAATTGGACAGGCATACAAATTGGAAAGTAAAACAGTTCTTATTTGCAAATCACATGATTGTCTCCTAGAAAATTCTAAGGAATTTACAGAAAACTTGACTGTAACTAATAATGTATAGTAACATCACAGGATACAGTCAATATACCAAATTTATTGTTTTTTTATAGCAGTGATGAACAATTGGAAATACCATATGCAGTGGCATCATAAAATAGGGATACATTTAATAAAATAACACAAATCCTGTGCATTGAAAACTTCAAAACATTGCTGAGAAAATTTAAAGACTACCGAAATAGAATTGAGATGTATCTTGTATTCAATAAGCAAAAGACTCAATAGTATTAAAATGTCAAATTTCCTCCCAAATTACCAATAGATTAATTGCACTTATAGTCAAAATAACACCTGACATTTTAATAGAAGTTAACAAGTGAATTTGTAATTTTTGTGGAAATGCAGAGAACATGGAGTGGCCAAAATAGTTTTGAAGAGAAATTAAAAATTGGAGGACTTAAACCACTTGATTTAAGTCCTTACTGTAAAAACTAACATAATCACAACAATGTTGTTTGGGTACCTGGAACAGAATCAAGGTTACAGAATAGACCTACACAGGTATGGTCAATTGATTATTTATTTATTTATTTATTTTTTTGAGATGGAGTTTTGCTCTTGTTGCCCAGGCTGTAGTCCAATGGAGTGATCTCAGCTTACCTCAACCTCTGTCTTCCAGGTTCAAGCGATTCTCCTGCCTCAGCCTCCCAAGTAGCTGGGATTACAGGCATGTGCCACCACATCCGGCTAATTTTGTATTTTTAGTAGAGATGGGGTTTCTCCACGTTGGTCAGACTGGTCTCAAACTCCCAACCTCAGGTGATAGGCCCACCTCAGCCTCCCAAAGTGCTGGGATTATGGGCGTGAGCCACTGTGCCCGGCCTGGTCAATTGATTTTTGACAAAACTGGCAGAGTAAATCAATGAGGGAAAGGATAGTTTTTTCAAAAATTTGTGCTGAAACACTTGGATATCAACACACAAAACAATAAGAACATCAACCTTAACAATAATTAACTCAAATGGATAAAATCCCTAAGTATAAGAGCTAAACTTTAAAACATCTAGAAAAAGTAAAAGAGAAAATCTTTGAGATGTTAGGTTAGGCAAAGATGTCTTGATAGGACCACAGAGTAGAAGCTACAGAGAGGGAGAATTTGATTATTTGGACTTTTAAAATTAAAAATATTTGCTTTACAAAATATATTTTAAAATCAAAGTCCAGCAATGAAGAGAAAATACTTGCAGAAGACATATTTAATAAAGGACTTATATCTAGTATATATAAAGAACTCTTCAACTCAATAGCAAGAAGACAAACAACCTAGTTAAAAATGGGCAAAAGCTTTGAACAGATATTTCACAATAGAAAACATAAGAATGGCAAATAAGCATATGAAAAGATTCTCAGCATCATTAGTCATTATGGAAATGCAAGTTACAATGATACACCACTCCACGCACAGTAAAATGGCTAAAATTAAAATGATAGGTAACACCATGTGTTGGTGAGGATTCTTTTTTTTTTTTTTAGATGGAGTCTCGCTCTGTCGCCCAGGCTGGAGTGCAGTGTCACAATCTCGGCTCACTGCAAGCTCTGCCTCCTGGGTTCACGCCATTCTCCTGCCTCAGCCTCCAGATACATTACAGGTGTAAATGCAAAGTGTTGTAGCCACTTTGGAAAATAATATTTATAATGGAAATGTAAATCTAATAAAATACATATGAGTCCTATGATTCAAAAATTCTATATCTTTACTGAAGGCTTTGAACTTCGACCTAAATGAAAAGACAGGCATTCCATGTTCATGGGTAGGAAGAGTTAACATGACAATGAAATCAATTATCTCAAAACCTATAGATTTAGTACAAATCTAATCAACATTTTAGTAGGCTTTTGAATGGAAATTGTCAAATTGGTTACAAAATCAAGGAGACAAGAATACCCCAAAAAAAAACCATGAAGGAGAAAAGTAAGAAGGGAAATAAAAATTGGTCAATGAAAACGAAAGCCACAATGAAAAAGTATTTTATACTTCTTTAATTAGCCAAAAATAAAGAATTAAATTTGAGCAAGTATTAAAGATTATGTTGATCAATGGGATTTTGTATGCATTGTTGGTAAAAATATAAATTGATATAACACTTTAAGAGCAATTTAGCATTACCTTTAAAGTTATATTTTTGCCTACCCTACAATGCAGAAATTCCTCTAGATTTAAAAGAGTGCTCATTACATCACAGCTTGTACTAGCAAAAATTAAAACAAAAAGAAGAAAAAGCCTGAAGTAACCCAAGTATCCATCAACAAAGAAGTGAATACATTGTGTTCTCCAACAATATTTCCTAAGCAATAAACTATTTCTCAGCTCTGAGCATCAGTAGACTTCCATTTTAGGCAAAAAAAGAACGAATCTTAGTGACATATGCAATGTGAAAATAGCAAGCACCAGAAGATTACAGAAAGCATAATGCATTGTTACAAAGTTAGAAAGCTAGAATATAAGCAATACTAAGTGTGTGAGTGTATGTGTGTGTGTATGAGATGGGGCTAGGTGCAGCAAGGGGTGGGGTGGGGGTGGGGTGGAGAAAACAAAAGAAAAACAAGCAAGGGAATTATAAGCCTGAAATTCAGAATACAGGATACCAATGGAGAAGGATAATTTTCTGATTTATAAGTTAAATGGTACGTTCACAAGCATTCATTATAATATTGTTTTAAAACCACAAAACAGAAAGCTATGCAAATACTGAAAGTGTGTCCTGAGCCAAATAGTTTAATTAATCCATGCCTTTGTGCCAGAAGTACAAATTTAAAAAAAGAAAAAAGAAGGAAGGACGTTAAGCCGGAAGATAGGCAAAAAGGGGTCAAAAGTTTGTGTAAAGAGCAAGAGACACTCAAAAATGATCCAGAAGATTAGGGGGGAAATGCCAAAAAGAGTTCTAGAAATTAAAAATACTATTATTAAAATTAGAAACTCAATAGATAAGTTATATGGCAGAGTAGACAGCATTGAATGTAGAATTAGTAAAATGGATGATCTATCTAGAGGAATTACAGAGCATTCAGGGCAGAAGAACAAAGAAATGGATAACATAAATATGTATTATGGAACTGAAATATGCAGTGAGAATGCCAAGCATACACTTAACAGAAGTTACAAAAGAGAGAAAATGAGTGAAAATCAATATTTAAAGAGAATTAATGGTCAATAATTTATCATAGACACTAAGCCTCAGCATCAGAAATCCCAGAAAATTTCAAGAAAGAAATATTTTTTAAAAGCACATATTGGCATACACCATAGAACACACACTGCAGAACAGAGACTAGAGAGAAAAACAACCAAAGAGAAAATACAGGCAACCTTCCTAAGTAATATCACTTGAAATGACACTACTTTCTCAAGCATCAATGGGAGCCAGTAAATAGAGGGAAATTGTATTCACAGTGCTACTTGAAAACAGTTTTCAACCAACAATTGTATATCTGAAATATCTTTCAGTAAAACATGTTAATATGAACACTTTTTTCCAAAATAGAAAAAATAGGCCAGGCATGGTGGCTCACACGTGTAATTCCAGCACTTTGGGAGGCTGAGGTGGGCAGATTACCTGAAAGAATTAAAGAAAGAGGAAAGAAACACAAAAGGCAGCTCACCAGTCAAGACAGATTTATTTTAGAGAAAACACACATGAGAGGTGCCTTCTGCCGAGTTAGGTTAGAGGAATACTTTCTTACAGCCTAAGAGTTTTTAAGGATTCAGGGTGGGAACATTTATCAGAGGCTTGGACTGTTTCTGTGTCTCTTTGTTGTGCTTATCTGGGAGGGAGAGTTGTGTGTCTGTTCCCATACATCTTTCTGCAGTGAGTCTGCTTTTAGCTTCCCTATCTTAGTGTGCCTGAAGAGAAAGAAATACGCTTATTAAGGCCCACTGTTTTACTGGGGCCCATTGTATGAGGATGAAGTTTGGCAGTTACCCAAGAGACTTTCCCCTCACCTCCCCCTGTGCCCTAGCTGTCTTATCTGTGTTTTACTGTCTGCTCTTTCTGGCTGCTTGTAGTTAGAAGAGAAGTGATTTGCTTGAAGTACATGAGGCTAGAAGGGAGCTGGAACTTAAAGTGGCGGTGTTTGTCCAAGATGACGGAGCTCCTGCTCTGTCTTTACCTGAGGTCAGGAGTTCGAGACAAGCCTGGCCAACATTGTGAAAGCCCATCTCTATTAAAAATACCAAAAAAAAAAAAATTAGCTGGGCATGGTGGCACGTGCCTGTAATCCCAGCTACTGAGGAGGCTGAGGCAGGAGAATCACTTGCACCCAGAAGGTGGAGGTTGCAGTGAGCCGAGATCATGCCACTGCACTCCAGCCTGGGCAACGGATGGAGACTCTGTCTCAAAAAAAAAAAAAATAGAAAAAAGAAAGAAAGAAAAGAAAAAATAAAGTTTGCTATTAACAGACATCCTCTAAAAGTACTCATATAAGATCCAATTCAAGAAGGAGGAAAATTAGCTTAAATGTTTTAGTCTAAGTAGATAAAGTACCATGATTAAAACAATAAATCAAAACCAACTTTGATGAACAAAATGTATATATTCTTATCCCATTAAATAATCTGTGGACAAGGATGTTTACTGTAGCATTGTTTATAGCGGCAAATAAACTGAAAATAAAATTAGTGACCCACAATTAAGAGAATTATTTAATAAATTATAGCATAGGAACACCATATTAAAATTCATTAGCTACTGGTAAGAATGAATTGCCTCTCTTCTAGTCAACTTGGAAGGATTTTCATAAATTATAATTGAATGGAAACGAAAAAAAAATCTGAAGTGCAGAAGTGTTTCTAATATGATACCATTTTGGTAAAAGCACTGAATCTGCACCTCAAAAGACCCAAAACCTCCAAACATATACATATTGAGATTAGATATATACACAAATAATGTTTTCTAAATAATCATGTAATTAGGTACAGACATATTATACATAATAATGTAAGCTGGATTGTTAATATGGGTGATCTGAGATCACAAGTCAGGGACTGTTACTGGAGAAGGAAATGATCCAATTAAAAAGATAAAAATTTTAAAAAGACTGCACAAAACATCACTACAATTAAAAACAACTGTAAGAATTTAGTATGTCTTTAAAAATGTATTCATGTACATGAAGCTTCATATCTGTGTACATATAAAGAAATTAAAAGATGTCTACATTCAGAAACTAGAATACTTTTAAAAAGAAATAATCTAAGTGTGGAGAGTCTAGTAAGAAATGTACGTACATTTGGAAACGTAGTGTATACAAACAGATCTGTAAAATAGCCAACAATGGCTTAGACCACAGGGACGCTTAAAACATATCAGAAGCCAATACAAGTCTCCAGTGCTAGGGTCTGGCCAGCCTCCGTGGCTTTCCTCTTATCATCACAAATGCCTGCAGCCTTGAACATCAGTTCCTGGTGCTGAGCAGTCTAAGGTGAGAAGAACAGAGACGGTGAGAGAACAGCCGAGCAGACGTTCCAGGAAGACAGAGCACAGATACAAAGTCCCTAAGGAGAGCAGGACAGGCTTGTCTGAGGGATGTTCCAGAATCCGGTGTGCCTGTGCCAGGGAGAAAGAATGCTGCAGAGAAGAGGCCAGGCAGGTTAGGGTGCAGTGTAGCTCCAAGGCATCCTACACTCTGCACTCCCCACCCCCACTCCCCAGACGGTTTGTCACCTGGAGTGAGACATTAAGCCTTATGAGGGTTTTGAGTAGAAAAGGGAGATTGTCTGACTTCAGGTTAGCAGGTTTTATCTGTTTGTTACTGACCCCGGCTGGAAGCCATTGCAGGAATCCAACAGAAAGATAATAGCGATTGAACTGGGGCAGTAGCCAAAGGACATGAAGTCTTGAGGCTGCTGGAGCTGATAGGTTTTGTTGACAGAACAGAAGAGGGGCGAAGGCAAATCAAGGGCCAAAGGCGGCCCCAGAGATACTGGCCTGAGTCTCTGGAGGGATGGGGTTATCACTGATATGATGGCAAGAGCAGGTTTGGGGAGGGCTGTTAGTGGTGGTGAGGAGAATCACGGGCTCAATTTGGCCATGCCAGTCTTGTACATGCAAGAGGAGACACTGAGTAGCCAGCTGGATCTATAGGATTCTGGAGTTTGGGGGAGAAGTCCACTCTGAAGGTATACATTTGGGAAGTGTTGGTGTAGAATGAGATTATAAGGCCATGAGGTTACTTGATGTCACCAAGACAGCAAAGAGGAAACAACAGATGACCAAGTTCTGGGCACTGCCACAAACAGAAGGCAGGAAAAGGAGGATCCAGTAAGGAATTTGAGACAGAGAAGCCAGTGAAGTAAGTTCAATAGCTCATTCAGCCAGGCAGTTGTGATTTGCAAGCACACTAAAAGTTATCTGGATCCTTAGAGGAATTTACAAGTAAGGACAGCATGCCCTCCTAGAAGCAAAAGAGTTATCATAGACCAGTAGGCCATGTCAAAAGGATTCAGACCAATTTGAAGAGGTGCCCACTGTCTAAAAATTGAACTGTTCTAACGCTGGCTAAAAATTGAACTGTTTTAACATACGCAAGAGTAATAACTGCAGGCCAGGCACGGTGGCTCACGCCTGTAATCCCAGCACTTTGGGAGGCCAAGGCAGGAGGATCATGAGGTAAAGAGAACAAGACCGTCCTGGACAACATGGTGAAAATGCATCTCTACTAAAAATACAAAAATTAGCTGGGCATGGTGGCACGTGCCTGTAGCCCCAGCTACTCGAGAGGCTAAGGCAGGAGAATCACTTGAACCCGGGAGGCGGAGGTTGCAGTGAGCTGAGATCGTGCCACTGCACTCCAGCCTGGTGACAGAGCGAGACTCTGTCTAAAAATAATAATAATAATAACTGCAATAGACTGAAATACATCAAGTATGTTGAATCTGAGTTCATAACAATACAAAAAACTTAGTCACCATTGGAGGATGCTAATGCAACAATTCAATGTCTTAGAAATTGTACCCAGAGAGCAAGACTCAAGCATCCTGCTTTTCCTATCACTGAGGAACCAGATCACCAATGAGGGTAGTTTATGTTCACAGAGGCATTGAGTTGAGAAATAGGTACTCCAGTGAAGAGGGAATGATAGAAATAGCATCTCACCACGATCTCACACCAGTCAGAATGGCTATTATTAAAAGTCAAAAAATAATAGATGCTGGCAAGGGTGTGGATAAAAGGGAACATTTATATACTGTTGCTGGGAATGTAGATTAGTTCAGCCACTGTAGAAAGCAGTTTGGAGATTTCTTGAAGAACTTAACAACTATCATTCGACCCATCAATCCCATTACTGGGTATATATCCAAAAGAAAATAAGTCATTCTCCCAAAAAGACATATACACTCATGTTTATCGCAGTGCTATTCACTATAGCAAAGACATGGAATTAACCTAGGTGCCCATCAGTGCTAGATAGGATGAAGAAAATGTGGTAAATATACACCGTGAAATATTATGCAGCCATAAAAATGAATGAAATCATGTCTGTTGCAGCAACATGGATGCAGCTAAAGGCCATTATTCTAAGAGAATTAATGCACAAAGAGAAAACCAGCTACTGCATCTTCTCACTTATAAGTGGGAGCTAAACAATGAGTACTCATGGACACAAAGATGGCAACAATAGACCCTGGGGGCTACTAGAAGGGGAAGCAAGGGAGGAGAAAAAGGCCTGAAAAAATACTGAGTACGATGCTAAGTACCTGGGTGATGGGATCCCTCATACCCCAAACATCAGCATCATGCAGTATACCCAGGTAACAAAACTGCACATGTACCCCATGAATCTAAAATAAAAGTTAAAAATATTTTTTAAAAAAGAATTAGGCTGTCATCATTTACAGGCCATGGTGACTTAATGAAAATAGATAGTGATCGTAATGACCAATAACACCACAAAAAGAGAACCGAAGAGCCCCCTGCCACGCATAAAGTAATCAGCGAATAATAATAGTAACAACAACACAGCCAGGCATGATGACTCATGCCTGTAATCCCAGCACTTTGGGAGGCCAAGGTGGGTGGATCACTTGAGGTCAGGAGTTTGAGACCAGCCTAACTAACATGGCAAAACCCCGTCTCTACTAAAAATACAAAAATTAGCCAGGCGTTATGGTGCACACCTGTAATCCTAGCTACTCCGGAGGCTGAGGCAGGAGAATTGCTTGAACCCGGGAGATGGAGGTTGCAGTGAGCCAAGATTGTGCCACTGCACTCCAGCCTGGGTGACAGAAAAGGACACTGTCTCAAAAAATAAAATAAAATAAAATAAAATAAAAACAAATAAATAAACAACAGCACTAACTCGAATCCCGTTAAGACTCCAGATCCAACTACCAACTTACAGGAAATACGCCCGGCAGAGGAACATGGTGAATGACAACTGGCAAACTTAAACTGTCGGAAAATCTATATAACAAAGGTCCAGTTTTTCTTTTTTTCGTTTTTCATTTTTATTTTTATTTTAAGTTCCAGAGTACATGTGCAGGATGTGCAGCTTTGTTATACAGGTGTACATGTGCCACGGTGGTTTGCTGCACCTATCAACCCATTGCCTAGGTATTAAGCCCAGCATGCATTAGCTATTTTTCCTAATGCTCTCCCTCCCCCACCCCACCACCCAGCAGGCCCCAGTGTGTGTTATTCCCCTCCCTGTATCCACGTGTTCTCATTGTTCAGCTCCCACTTATAAGTGAGAACTTGTGCTGTTTGGTTTTCTGTTCTTGTGTTAGTTTGCTGAGAATAATGGCTTCGAGCTCCATCCATGTCCCTGCAAAGGACATGATCTTGTTCCTTTTTATGGCTGCATAGTTTTTCATGCCTGTTCGCTCTGATGATAGTTTCTTTTGCTATGCAGAAGCTCTTATTTCTGAATTCTCTATTCTGTTCCACATTTTCTTTATCCAGTCTATCATTGATGGACATTTGGGTTGTTTGTTTTTTTCTTGTAAATTTGTTTAAGTTCCTTGTAGATTCTGGATATTAGACCTTTGTCAAATGGATAGATTGCAAAAATGTTCTCCCACTCTGTAAGTTTCCTGTTCACTCAGTTGATAGTTTCTTTTGCTGTGCAGAAGTTCTTTAGTTTAATTAGATCCCATTTGTCACTTTTTTCTTTTGTTGCAATTGCTTTTGGCAATTTCATTATGAAATCTCTGCCTGTGCCTATGTCCTGAAAGGCGTTGCCTAGATTTTCTTCTAGGGTTTTTATAGTTTTGGATTTTACATGTAAGTCTTTAATCCATCTTGAGTAATTTTTGTATAAGGTGTAAGGAAGGGGTCCAGTTTCAGTTTTCTGTATATGGCTAGCCAGCTCTCCCAGCATCATTTATTAAATAGGGGATCCTTTTCCTGTTGCTCATTTTTGTCGGGTTTGTCGAAGATCCTATGGTTGTAGACGTGTGGTCTTATTGCTGAATTCTCTTTTCTGTTCCATTGGCCTATGTGTCTCTTTTTGTACCAATACCATGCTGTTTTGGTTACTATAGCCTTGTGGTATAGTTTGAGGTCTGTTGATGTCTCCAGCTTTGTTCTTTTTGCTTAGGATTGTCTTGCTATACAAGTTCATTTTTGGTTCCATATGAATTTTAAATTCTGTGAAGAATGTCAATGGTAGTTTAATGGGAATAGCATTGAATCTATAAATTACTTTGGGCAGTATGGCGATTTTCACAATATTTATTCCTCTTATCTATAAGCATGGAATATGTTCCATTTGTTTGTGACCTCTCTGATTTCCTTGAACAATGGTTTGTAGTTCTCCTTGAAGAGGTCCTTCCCTTCCCCTGTTAGCTCTATTCCTAGGTATTTTATTCTCTTTGTAGCAATTGTGGATGGGAATTCATTCATGATTTGGCTCTCTGCTTGCCTGTTGTTGGTGTATAGGAATGCTTGTGACTTTTGCACATTCATTTTATATCCTTAGACTTTGCCGAAGTTGCTTATCAATGAAACTCCAGTTTCTTAAGGAAATACATTAAAGCAAGACACAGACGTACACGGATGAAGGGGGGAGGGGGGAGGTAAAGGGGGAGAGAGGATGGAAAATGGAAGAAAGAATGAGGGAGGAAGGGAGAGAGAGAGAGAGAGAGAAGTCAGCCCATATTAAAAGGACCTTATACAAGTCACAGAGTGTGAACCATTTTTGACTGAGTAAAACAAGCTCTATTTTTAAAATCTATTACATTTAATTAATGAGAAAATGAACATTTGAGCACTGATGAATATTTGATATTAAGAAATTATATTTCTTTAGGTATTGTAGATATTTTTAGGAGAAATGGTCTTTTTAAAGAAATGCTTGCTAAATATTTATAGATAAAACTCTATTTGTCTAATATTTACTTCAAAATACTACAGAGACTGTGGGCGTAGGGTAGGGAGGATGCAAGATTGGCCAGGAGTTGGTTGCCATGAAAGCTGGGTGGTGGTTGCTTGAGGTGCATTATACTGCACTCTCTACTTTTGCATATGTTTAAATTTTCTATCTTCATCATCACCATCATGCTGTTAGGGTGCATGTCAGAGTTGGCTTCTGCATCAATTTTTTCCCAAAACTCAATTCTCAGTGTGGCTCTTTCTTCAATGCTGTAAAATTCCCTTCTACTATCTTTCTGAAAATATTTTTTTCCATTGTTGGTTTCTCTGTTTCAAAATTTGTTAACTTCACATTGAATTTTACGTATCTGTCCTCCAATTCTACTTACTTTGCTCTAAGAAGTCTCTCTTTCTTTATTCTGTACACTCACCAGGATGGACTCAGGACTTTTCTCTATGCCAGGAATCCCTTTCCACAACATGCTGTTTCCATTGCAAAACTTTTTAAATACCTATTTTGGCTCTGAAATCCTCTTAGTTCTATGAATTTTCTTTCTATTTCTCCCTATTGTTACAGAACTCCTATCTTATAAAAAGTGATGGTCTAATTTCCTGCAATGCTAAGCGTACTTAACAAACACATTTATCTGTATTTTACACAATATTTATCCTGTGTGGTGCAAATGACCTGCTGATACCTTTTAAAATTCCTTTATGTTGTGCTCACAGATGTCACCGGCAGCTCATCCAGGCCTTGTCTGTGAGCTGGTACATCATGGGCCAACATACTCTCTGATATGAACAGAAAACCAGCAGCCTGCAGGCTGAGTCTGGGTCAAAGACGTATTTTCTTTGGCCACACAGTATTTAAAATAAAATCTTCACCCCAACATGGCGGATTAGGGGCGTCGCTAGCACATCTCTCCCGCTTGGAAGGACAAAAGTGTGTAGAGATTCACCTTGTGAAATGTTTTTCAACAAGAGATGCCATGGCTGAACGGGAAAACCGCAGGATTCTAGGGACCTTTGAAGGAAGCGGGAGGCTGCAGCCCACCCTGTGAGTCAGGCAGGGGCTGCGAGTCCGAGTGTGAGGGGGGAGTTTGCCTCTGGGATACGCAACACCCCTGGGGACCCCGAAAGTCCAGGAGGACAAGAAGGAAGGCCCTAACCCCACCCGGAGCAGGAACTGACTTGGGGAGGGTGGTGGGATATAAAAGCAGGAGCTGCGTTGGGAAGACCTCTCCTGCACTCCCAGAGCCCAGGCAGACCAAGATCAGTCGTTCCCTACTGTTCCTCACAGGGGACCCTGCGGACAGCCAAGAACTTCAGGCGTGGTCTCAGGTTCAAAGAAGCTCCCAATGGGGGCGTTTCACGACATAACCCCAGGTGGGAGAGAGTAAAAAGCAGGTTTCAAGGTTCGGGAGCCTTTGGTGCAGGGGTCCCGGGTGCAGGAGCTTTTGGTGCAGGGGCCGTGGGTGCAGGCGTCCCGGGTGCAGGGGCCCCTGGTGCAGGAGCTGCGGGTGCAGGAGTCTCGGGTTCAGGGGCCCCGGGTGCAGGAACCCCGGTGCAGGAGCCTTGGGTGCAGGTGCCGCGGATGCAGGAGCCCCAGGTGCAAAAGCCTTGGGTTCAGGGGCCCCAGGTGCAGGAGTTGCGGATGCGGGAGTCTGGGGTGCAGGGGCCACGGGTGCAGGCGCCCTGGGTGCAGGAACCTTGGGTGCAGGGGCCTCAGGTGCAGGAGCTGCGGGTGCTGGAGTCTCGAGTGCAGGGACCCCGGGTGCGGGAGCCTTGGATGCAGGGGCCAGGGTGCAGGGACGGCCGGTGCAGGAGCCTCGGGCGCAGGGCCCGCGGGTGCAGGGGCTGGACGCCCACCTTTGCAGCAGACAGGGAGGGGCGTGGCTTGAAGGCGGCGGTTGCTATCTCCATGGGGAAAGCTTATGACTCCAGGCAGTGGAAGGTCGGATTACAGGCTGACTGGAACTCAGTTCGCTGCTGCCAGCGAACACTGTGGGAGTGGATCCGACTCTCCAAGTGCGTGGGAACTGTGGGGCTAGCCACCGCCTGCCACTCCCCACGCCCTGCACAAACTTTTCTGTGCTGCAGAGACAGCAGCGCTCCCCCTGGAATGTCAACCCCGTGGCCTGAGGACCGCTCCCGTGCCCCGAAACGCACAGGGGCTACTGCTTACCCTGCACAGGGAGCATCAGCGCAAACCCGCCCCGTCCAGCCCCCTCCTGGCTTTGCCCCGCCACCTGCCCTGGTAGCTTCACACAAGGGACAGAATCTCTTGGGAGCTACATGACCCCGCCCATTGCCTAAGAAACCAGAGTATCTCCCTGGGCAACCTAAGGCGAGCACAAATCCCACTGCTGCTCTTTTGCAAGCACCACCTCATGGCTGAAGGGCAATCAACACAGTCCAGGACAGCATCTCCTGGTAGAATAACACTTCACCCAGGAAGGAGAAAACCGCTGTGCAATCTCAGCTATCACCTCTACCTGCACTACTCTAGCTAACCAGGAGGTCCTGAGTCTGTCTACACGACCAGTTCATTACTACTATAACCCATGTTCAAGAAGGCCAAGACACTGAGGCCATCCGTAACCAAGGAATTTCAGAGTCTGCCTCACTCCTGAAAGTACCAAGAACTGAATCAGGCTATAATTAATTATAAGCATTAAAGTCTCATCCTCAAGGGGGAAAAAAGAAATTTAAAAACAAAGAAATACAGTCAAACCAAACATAAATTCAAGAATAATTAGAAGAAATAGTCTACCCAAATGAGATGAAGCCAGAAAAATAACTCTGGTAATATAACAAAACAGGGTGACATAATACATCCCAAAGATCACACTAGCTCTCCAGCAACGGACTGAAACCAAGATGAAATTTTTGAAATACCAGATAAGGAATTCAGAAGGTTGATTATTAAGCTACTCAAAATATCAGAGAAAGGTGAAAAACATCATAAAGAAATTTAAAAAGCAGTTCAGGATATGAATAAACATTTTCTAGAGAGATAGATATCATCAAGAAAACTCAATCAGAACTTCTGGAAATGAAAGACACACTGAGGGAATTACAAAATGCAGTGGAAAGTTTTAAAAATAGACTACAACAAATAGAAGAAAGAATTTCAGAGCTCGAAGACAAGGCTTTTGGATTAACCCAATCAGACAGAGAAGAAAAACCAAAAGAAATTAACAAAGTCTCCAAGAAATATGGGTTTATGTAAAGTGGCCAAACCCAAGAATAATTGGTGTTCCTGAGGAAGAAGACAAAATAATAAGTCTGGAAAACTTATTTGAGGGACTAATTGAAGAAAAGTTCCCTGGCTTGGCAAGAGATCTGGATATCCAAATTCAAGAAGCTCAAATAACTCCTGGGAAATTTATTGCAAAAAAAATCTTCACCAAGGCATATAGTCATCAGGCTACCTAAAGTTAACATGAAGGAAAGAATTCTAAGAGCCGTATGACAAAGCCACAGATAACCTACAAAGGAAAACCTATCAGACTAACATCAGACTTCTCAGCAGAAACCTTACAAGCCAGAAGGGATTGGGGTCTTCAACCTCCTTAAACAGAACAACTGTCAGCCAAGAATTTTGTATCCCACAAAATTAAGTTTCACAAATGAAGGAGAAATGAAGTCATTTTCAGACAAACAAATCCTGATGGAATTTGTCACTACCAAACCAGCACCGCAAGAAATGCTAAAAGGAGTTCTAACTCTTGAAACAAAAGCCTAAAATACACCAAAATAGAACCTCTTGAAAGCTTAAAACTCACAGTTCCTATAAAACAATAACACACACACATACACACACACACACACAAACCATGTAGATAACAATTAACATGATGAAGAGAACAGTACCTCACATCTCAATATTAACGTTGAATGTAAATGGTCTGGGAGGCTGAGGCAGGAGAAATCATTTGAACCTGGGAGGAGGAGGTTGCAGTGAGCCAAGATTGCATCACTGCACTCCAGTCTGGGCAACAGAGTGAAAAAAAAAAAAAAGATACAGAATGGCAGAATGCATAACAAATCACAATCCAAATATCTGCTGTCTTTAAAAGACTCACTTAACAACAGAATGACTCAAACAAACTCAAAGTAAAAGGGTGAAAAAAAGGTATTCCACACAAATGGAAATCAAAAGTGAGCAGGAGTAGCTATTCTTATATCAGACAAAACAGACTTCAAAGTAACAATAACACAACAAAAAGACAAAGATGGTCACTATGTAATGATAAAAGGATCAATTCAACAAGAAGATGTTACAAATCTAAATTTATATGCATCTAACCCCGGAGCTCCTAGATTCATAAAACAATTACTACTAGACCTAAGAAATGAGATAGACAGCAAAACAATAACAGTGGGAGACTTCAATACACCACTACAACATTACACAGATCTTCAGGACAGAAAGTCAATAGAGAAACAATGGACCTAAATGACATGCTAGAACAAATAGATTTCACAATATTTACAGAACATTCTACCCAAGATCTGCAGAATACACATTTCTCTCATTAACACATGGAACATTCTTCAAGATAGACCATATGATAGGCCATAAAACAAATCTCAATTTTTTTTTTTTTGAGAAAGAACTTCACTCTGTCAGCCAGGCTGGAGTGCAGTAGCGAGATCTTGGCTCACTGCAACCTCCACCTCCCAGACTCAAGCAATCCTCCCACCTCAGCCTCCTGAGTAGCTGGGACCACAGACATGAGCCACCACATCTGGCTAATTTTTTTTTTGGTAGACATGGGGTTTCACTATGTTGCCCATGCTGGTCTTGACCTCTTGAGCATAAGCAATCCACCTGCCTTGGCCTCCCAAAGTGTTGGGATTATAGGCATGGGCCACCATGCCCAGCCAAGTCTCAATATATTTTAAAAAATCAAAATCATATCAAATATCTTCTGAGAACACAGTGCAATAAAACTAGAAATCAGCTCCAAAAGAAACCCTCAAAACTATACAAATACATGGAAATTAAGTAATCTGCTCTTGAATGAGTTGACAATGGAATAAAGATGAAAATTTTAAAATTCTTTGAATTAAATGATAATACTGAGACAAGTTATCAAAACTTCTGGGATACAACAAAAGCATTGCTAAAAGAAAAGTTTATAGCACTAAATGCCTACATCAAAAAGTCTGAAAGAGCAGAAATTGACAACCTAATGTCACATCTCAAGGAACCGGAGAAAAAAGAACAAACGAAACCTACAGCTAGAAGAAGAAAAGAAATAACAAAGATCAGAGCAGAACTAAATGAAATTCAAACCAAAAAAAATACAAAAGATCAACGAAACAAAAATCTGGTTCTTTGAAACAATAAACAAAATTGATAGACCATTAACTAGATTAATCAAGAAAAGAAGAGAGAAGACCCAAATAAGCTCAATTAGAAATGAAACTAGAGACATTACAACCAACACAACAGAAATTCAAAAGATCATTTGAGCATTTGAGACTACTATGAAGATCCTTATGCACATAAATGAGAAAACCCAGAGGGGATCAACAAATTCCTGAAAACATACAACCCTGCTAGATTAAATAAGGAAGAAATAGAAACCTTAAACAGACTGAAAACAAGCAGCGAGAATAAATCAGTAATTTAAGACTTTGCCAACAAAAAAAAGCCCAGGACCAGATGGATTCACGGCTTTCTACCAGACATTCAAAGAAAAAGTACCAATCCTACCGAAATTATTTGAAAAGATTGAGAAAGAAGGAATCCTCCCTAAATCATTCTATGAAGCTAGTATCATGCTGATGCCCAAACAAGGAAAGGACATAACAACAACAACAAAAAAGAAAACTATAGACCCTGATGTACATAAATATAAAAATCCTCAACAAAATATTATCTAACTGAATCCAAAGGCACATCAAAAAGATAACTCATCATGATCGAGTAGGTTTCATCCCCAGGATGCGGGGACGCTTTAACATATGCAAGTCAATAAATGTGACACATCACATAAACAGAATTAAAAACAAAAACTATATGATCATCTCAATAAATATGGAAAAAGCATTTGGCAAAATCCAGCACCCCTTTATGATAAAAAGTCTCAACAAACTAGGTGTAGAAGGGACCTACCTCAAAATAATGAAAACCATATGTGACAAACCCACAATCGACATCATACTGAATGGGGAAAAGTTGAAAGCATCCCCCTGCCTGAGAACAGGGAGACAAGGATGCCCACTTTCACCACTTCTATTCAACATAGTTCTGGAAGTACTAGCCACAGCAATCAGACAAGAGATAAAAACAAAGGGAATTTACATTGGAAAAGCAGAAGTCAAACTATCACTGTTTGTAGATGATATGATTGTATATCTAGAAAATCCTGATGACTCCACCAAAAGACTTGTAGATTTGATGAACAAATTCAGTGAAGTCTCAGGTTACAAAATCAATGTACACAAATCAGTAGCATTGCTATACACTAACCGTGACCAAGCTGAGAATCAAATCAAGAACATAATCCCTTTTACAACAGCTGCAAAAAATAAAATAAAATAACATAAAATAAAATACATAGGAATATCCTAACCAAGGAGGTGAAAGACCTCGACAAGGAGAACTACAAAACACTGCTGAAAGAAATCATAGATCACACAAACAAAAGGAAACGCATCCCATGCTCCTGGATTGGAAGAATGAGTATTGTGAAAATGACCAAACTGCCCAAAGCAATCCACAGATTCAATGCAATTCTCATCAAAATATCATCATCATTCTTCACAGAATTAGAAAAAAAATCCAAAAATTCATATGGAACCATAAGAGAGCCCAAATAGCCAAAGCAATCCTAAGCAAAAAGAACAAATCTGGAGGCATCACATTACCAGACTTCAAATTACACTACAAGACTATAGTTACTAAAACAGCATGGTACTGGTATAAAAGTAGGTAAGTAGGTACATATACCAATTTAACAGAATAGAGAAGCCAGAAATAAAGCCAAATACATACAGACAACTGATCCTCAACAAAGCACCCAAAACATAAATTGGGGAATGGACACCCTATTTAATAAATGGAGCTGGGAAAACTGTCATGCCACACTTAGAAGAATGAAACTGGATCCCTATCTATCTCTCACCATACACAAAAATCAACTCAATATGGAACAAAGACTTAAATATAAGGCCTGAAACCATAAAAATTCTAGAAGACAATGTTGGAAAAACTCTTCCAGACATTGTCCTAGGCAAAGAATTCATGACTAAGACCCCAAAAGCAAATGTGATAAAAACAAAAATAAATAAATGGGACCTGATTAAACTAAAAAGCTTCTGCACAGCAAATAATAATAATAATCATCATCATCAGAGGAAACGGACAACCCACAGAATGGGAGAAAATATTTGCAAACTACACATCCAATAAAGAACTATCCAGAATCTATAACGAACTCAAACAAATCAGCAAGAAAGAACAAATAATTCCATTAAAAAGTGGGCAAAGGATACGGATAGACATTTCTCAAAAGAAGATATACAAATGGCCAAGAAACATATAGACAAATACTCAACATTACTAATCATCAGGGAAATGCAAATTAAAACCACTATGAGATACCACCTTACTCCTGCAAGGATGGCCTCTATTAAAAAGTCAAAAGACAATAGATGTTGGCACAGATGTAGGAGAAAGGGAATGCTTATACATTGCTGGTGGGAATGTGAATTAGTACAACCTCTATGGAAAACAGTATTGAGATTCCTTAAAGAGCTAAAAGTAGATCTGCCATTTGATCCAGCAATTCCATTACTGGGTATCTACCCAAAGAAAAAGAAGCCATTATATGAAAAAGACATTTGTGCACACATGTTTATAACAGCACAATTCTCAATTGCAAAGATGTGAAACCAACCTAAGTGTCCATTGACTTATGATAAAGAAAATGTAGCATATGTACACCATGGAATACTACTCAGCCACTAAAAGGAACAAAATAATGTCTTTTGCAGCAACTGGGGTGGAGCTGGAGGCCAGAAGTAACACAGGAGTGGAAAACCAAGAACCATATTTTCTCACTTATCAATTGGAGCTAAGCTATGAGTATGCAAAGGCATACAGAGTGACATAATGGACTTTAGAGACTAAGAAAGGGGAGGGTGGGAGAGGGGCCAGGGAAAAAACTACACATTAGGTATACCATACACTACTGAGGTGATGGGCACACTAAAATCTCAGAATTCACCAATATATAATTCATCCATGCAACCAAAAACAACTTGTACCCCAAATGCTATTGAAATAAAAATAAAATCTTCAATTGGTTTCCAGTATCTAAAAAATATAAAATCTAGACTTCTGTTTCGTTTGGAAATTCAGAAGACCTGGTAACACAGAGCCTGTGTTGATACTCAGCAATAGTTGGCTGGAGGCAAGCTGTAGTTACAGCCTTTATTTGACGTTTACCCCAGTCTCCACCTCTCTCTTGTCTTTCCAACTCTAAACTCATGTCAATTAGCACTTACCATTAAAGTTGTATTGAAGTGTTTCATGTGGTTAAGTGAAATGCCGTATTTCTCTTACCCTTGGTTCAAGAAAAATGAGAGCCTCCATTTTTATTTGTGGAAGTGAAAAATATCCTTGCGTATTTACTCTGAGGAGTATAAAGGGTCCATAAAGCTCTTTTATGTAAAGAGCTCATAAAATTCAATAAGAAGAAACTCAGCAATCCAGTGGGAAAGTGAAACATTATTGCAAAAAAAGTAGACAATGGAACAGCAAAGATGGAGCACTACGTGGAAAGTGCTCTTGCCCAGCAGGGAACTGGACCCAGTGAGGAGTCCAGGATTTACTCCTACATAAGATTGGGTAGAACTTTTAAAGCCCCAAACCAAAACAAATGGAAACAACTCTGCCTCAGGGTGAGAAAGCAACTCTGCCAAGTCGTTGACCCCAGTGACGTGGCTGGTGTGCCTGGGCCTGGGGCTAGGGTCTGCAGGGAAGGAGGCATTACCTGGGCGTAGCCTCCAGTCCCCATCTGATTCCAGTCATGGTCCCCAAGCAGGACTGCATCACCATCAGACAGAATGTGTGAATGTACAGGAGCAAATTACAGAAGTAGAAACACAAATGGCCCACAAGTATAGAAAAGACAACCAGCCACACTAACGAATACAGTTACGTTCATTAAAATGAGGTGCCATGCATATTAGGGTTCTCCAGAGAAACAGAATATATGGGTATATCTTATGGTGTACATATGTGCATATGTCCATGTATTTATGTACACACATACATAGATGTATTGTCAGACATTGACTCACAGAGTTTTGGAGCTGACGAGTTTGCAGGTTGGCAGTCAGCAAGCTGGAGATTCAGGAAGAGCTGAAGTTTCCATTTGAGTTTGAAGGCAGTAAAAAAACCAGATGTCCCCGCTCAAAGGTAGCTGGGCAGGAGAAATTCCCTCTTACATGGAGAAGGGTCAACTTTTTTGTTCTATTTAGGCCTTCAGTTAATTGAATGAGGCTCACCCACATTATGGAGATCAATCTACTTAGTCCATGGATTTAGTTGTTTGTTGTTGTTGTCGTTGTTATTGTTGTTGTTTTTGAGACAAGTCTGGCTCTGCCCCCCAGGCTGGGGTGCAGTGGTGCGATCTCGGCTCACTGCAAGCTCCGCCTCCCGGGTTCACGCCATTCTCCTGCCTCAGCCTCCCGAGCAGCTGGGACTACAGGCGCCCGCCAGCGCGCCCAGCTAATTTTTTTGTATTTTTTTAGTAGAGACGGGGTTTCACCATGTTAGCCAGGATGGTCTCGATCTCCTGACCTCGTGGTCCGCCCGCCTCAGCCTCCCAAAGTGCTGGGATTACAGGCGTGAGCCACCGCGCCCGGCCGGATTTAATTGTTAAACACATCTGATGCCCCTTCACAGAAGCATTCAGAATAATGCTTGACCAAGTATCTGGGCACTCAGCAGCCCAGTCATGTTCATACACAAAATTAACCATTACACTATGTGAGATGCATACATTTTTTTTCCTGAGTTGGGGTCTTGCTGTTGCCCAGGCTGGAGTGCCGTGTCACAATCATAGAGCATTGCAGCCTTGAACTCCAAGGCTCAAGCAATCCTCCTGCCTCAGCGTCCCAAGTATCTGGGACTACAAGGCATATGCCACCACACCTGGCTAAGTTTTTAAATTTTTTGTAGAGATGGTCTCAAACTTCTGGGCTCAATTGATCCTCCCACCCCAGCCTCCCAATACGTACAAATTTCTTAAACTGATGATAGTAAGTACTAGTGAGGGGAGACAAATCCATGTTTTGAAGTGCCAGTGGCAGAAGTTGCACTAATTATTTGGAGTACAATAGAGAATTGGCATGACAGTCAATTACTGGCCTATGGGAATGTTACCATGAGGACATCATGAACACGCTTTGCAATATCATTTATGACAGGGGAAAAAATAACCCCAAGGTCCATAAATATGATATATAAACAAATTACAGTAAACCATTCAGAGGCAGAAAAAAACTAAGATGTGCATGGCATTGAGTTAAGTGAAAAAAGAATCAAACTGAAGATCTAATGAGTATCGTGATCTAGTTTTTTTAAATGACAAAAGTAAAACTCATGCATGCGCGCGCACACACACACACACACACACACACACACACACACACACCCCTGCAGAGTCAAACTAATTGTTAAGAGGGCTAACTTTTTGTAGGGAAAGGTGGGAAGGTCCCTTTTCACTTACTCACTTCTTTATAGCTTGGGTTTTTTCAAGCAGGTGCTTATTTTGAATTTTTTAGAAATAGAGAATTTGGCCGGGCGCAGTGGCTCACGCCTGTAATCCCAGCACTTTGGGAGGCCGAGGCAGGTGGATCACCTAAGGTCAGGAGTTCTAGACCAGCCTGGCCAACATGGTGAAACCCTGTCTCTACTAAAAATACAAAAATTAGCCAGGTGTGGTGATGCATGCCTGTAATCCCAGCTACTCGGGAGGCTGAGGCGGGTGCATGGCTGGAACCCAGGCGGCAGAGGTTGCAGTGAGCTGAGATAGCACCATTGCACTCCAGCCTGGGTGACAAGAGCGAAACTCTGTCTCAAAAAAAAAAATAGAGAATTTTAAGCATGTTTGCTGGCAATAAAAAATGCAGAGAGGAATTTAGAGATGACC
Source organism: Homo sapiens (assembly GCF_000001405.40). Classification (NCBI taxonomy): domain Eukaryota; kingdom Metazoa; phylum Chordata; class Mammalia; order Primates; family Hominidae; genus Homo; species Homo sapiens. The sequence continues at coordinate 240,105,247 of NC_000002.12, forward strand.
TTATTTAATTACTGGATATATGACAATGAAAGAGTGACTTGCCCAAGGTCACGGGCTCCTGGATGGAGAACTTGGGGTGGAGCCAAGGGATCCAGTTCCCCAAATCAAGAATTGTCCCATTAGGTCACTTTTCCTCAGCCAGAATGTTGGGGCTGGGTCAGGAGGGGTTGGTTCAAGAAAGGAGCTCTGCACCCAGGAGTTCACATCCGTGCCTGGAAGACAGTTTGCTGAGGCCACTGGGTCTGCTCCTAGATCCTCTGCTTGTCTCCTGTTTGCTCCTCTGGGCCCCCTGAGGGACTTCTGGGCTTTGGTCCTGCCCTGTGGGTAAGGAGGATCAGACAGGGTGGTGACAGAGGACCCAGGAGAACTTGGAGTCCTGGTGCCCTATAGAGGCAGAGTTTCACCTAATTGGCCACGGGAGGCCCCGAGTCCCAGCCCTGCCAGAGAATCTTCCCCAGCACAGTGACCCCAAGTGCAGGTGCCTTACACAGAGCCCAGCAGATGGGAAAGGGGTGAGGATGGGGAGGTGTATGAGCCCATCCCTCCCTCCTTTCACCAGAAACCTGGACCTCCTGTAGCCAGGATGTGGAGCACCAGGGTGATGCTCACTGAGACCCCAGGTGCCACCTCTGCCCCTCCCACTGTCACTTCCCTGCACAGGAAGTCACAGCTGAAGTGTGAGGGGGCAGTAGTCCTTGGGGGCACCTCATTGTCATCCTCAGTGATAATAGAAACTCTGAGTCTTTGGTGCCCACCTCATTACTTCAGTGCAGGCCAGGGCACGGAGCACCTGGGAGCTCCCAGGCTCTGGTGAGTCATGTTCTGTCACGATGATTGCAGGAGACAGTGTGGTCCCCAGGGCGTGAGGCACAGTGGGCCCTGCCTGGCCGCTCTTGGGGGATGGAACCCTGAGCATGGCCCCGGCTGCTCTGTTGATGCAGCTCCCGTGCAGGCGTGGAGCACTCCCTGTGTGAGGACGTTCCTCCTGTTGATGCAGCTCCCGTGCAGGCGTGGAGCACTCCCTGTGCCTCAGCAGAGCACTGCCTGGGCTCCAGGGTCACTTCAAACTGAATGTGAAGAGGAATAAGCAGGGAGACCCATATGAATGTGAGTTTAACGCAGTGGGCCTGAGATTCTGCATTCTAGATAGTGACAGGTGACGTGGGTGCTGCAGCCCCAACCGCACTTGAGTAGCAAGCATTTACGGTGAAGGGACACAGGGCCAAGTCATCACAAACCGCGGGTCACAGAGAACACTGGTGCCTCTGCATTACCCAGAATGACATTGCTCAGGCTCGAGTTAATGGCCAGTTTTTTTTTTTTTTTTTTTTTTGGTGTCCCTGCTGTAACCCTTGAGCCTCATAGGCAAGCAGGAGGCACTGTATATGTTTGTTCTTCTAACACGAAACGGCGTCTGGCTTTGCAGATACGCCTGCAATAGCTCCTCAGGTGCCACAGGCTTCCAGGCCGCCTCAGGGGTGCTGACCCAAGGCCCTGGAGGGGCTTCCTTGTCCTGGGAAATAGCTGCAGAGATGCTAAGCTGAGGCCCTCATGGGGGAGAGGTGTAAACTCTGCTGACTTGCAGGTGGCTGTAGGAAGATAGGTCCCTCTGGTCACTGTAGTTGCTCCTGTGTGGGTGAGTGACAGTGTAGGTGGCCTGGGGTGGGCGAGAGGGGGAGGGAGGCCCCGGGCAGTGGCTACAGCCAGGGAGTCACCTGAGCCACTGTTCAAGGTGTGCAGGGCAGGCCCCGCTCAGCTCGGTGTCCAGTCCCACCTATTGTCACCCCCATGCTCCCTGGGACCCCGCCCGGGCATCACCGCTCTGCCTGCCGTCTCTGCTGTCCCAGGAGAGGAAAATGACACTATTATCGTTTCACCTGACTCACTTTTTGTTAGAGTATCTGGGCTGTCATAGAGCACCACCCAGGAGGACGTGGGCTAAGAGGGACTTGGGGGAGAGTCCTGCCTGCATTGACAGCATTGCCCGCCCGCCTGTGCTTGCACACCGCCATTCTCAGTGACCTCACTCCCTCCCAAGGCAGCCCCGCCATGAAGCCCCAGACCTGACCTCTAGAGAACGTGCAGTCTGCTGTGAAATCACCATCTATCTCCACCCAGGTCTCGCTCCTCTGCCTGGGATGCACAAGCAGCTCCGTGCCCACATTCCTGCTCCTCCCTTGCTAGGGGGAGCCACCCAACCTCTCCCCATTCCTCTGGACTTCATGGAACCCCACTGGTTACCAATGTCACTCTGGGGTGCAGTGCCCAGCCCTGCGTGGTCTGGCCATGACAGCACCCAGTCCGGGAAGGTGCAGAAGTGAGGGTGCCCAGTGCTTCTTATTGCTCAAACAAGCCAAGCCCGGAGAAGCCAAGGACAGAGAAAAAGGGCTGCAGTGAGAACAAAGGCGGACCACGGCCATCTCTGGAATGTGTCTCAGCTGCCGCCCTGCTGGTCCTCAGACTATGGGCTGGCTTCATGAATATCTGCACATGGGCAGAAAGCTCCTGATATCCTCAAGGATGCAGGAAGCTCAGCTGATTAAATGCCAGTGCGGTCCAGGCTCAGAGTTGACTCTACTGAGGTGGGGCTCAGGGTCCTGCAGTGGAGAGAGAGAGCCCCCATCAGCCTGGGGAGTGTAGGGCTCTCTTCTGAGTCCAGGAGATGGAGTGGCCACTCTGCCCTGGGCCTGGTGGGCAGGAGGCTCTCAATGAGCATTTCTTGAATCAGTGAGTTAGGAAAATAAGGCATAGAACGGGCAGGACTGGATACGTGAATGAGCTGAAATGGTAGGTGTGGGCTATCCCTTGGGGGCGGGAGGGCATGCACCTGGGTGGAGGGTCAGGGAGGCTGCAGCACTGCTCTTACACCAGAGTCACTCAGCTCTGGAAGCCTCTTTGCATCCCCATGGCAGCAGCTCCGCATGTCCTGCACAGGGAGTGCTCCACGCCTGCACAGGAGCTGCATCAACAGGAGGGAACGTCCCTGCACAGGGAGTGCTCCACACCTGCATGGGAGCTGCATCAACAGGAGGGAACGTCCCTGCACAGGGAGTGCTCCACGCCTGCATGGGAGCTGCATCAACAGGAGGGAACGTCCCTGCACAGGGAGTGCTCCACGCCTGCATGGGAGCTGCATCAACAGGAGGGAATGTCCTCACGCAAGGAGTGCTCGACACCTGTGTGGGGGCTGCATCAAAAGGAGGAAACATTCCCCACATAGGGAGTGCTCCACGCCTGCACAGGAGCTGCATCAACAGGAGGGAACATCCCTGCACAGGGAGTGCTCCACACCTGCATGGGAGCTGCATCAACAGGAGGGAACGTCCCTGCACAGGGAGTGCTCCACACCTGCATGGGAGCTGCATCAACAGGAGGGAACGTCCCTGCACAGGGAGTGCTCCACACCTGCATGGGAGCTGCATCAACAGGAGGGAACGTCCCTGCACAGGGAGTGCTCCACGCCTGCATGGGAGCTGCATCAACAGGAGGGAACGTCCCTGCACAGGGAGTGCTCCACGCCTGCATGGGAGCTGCATCAACAGGAGGGAATGTCCTCATGCAAGGAGTGCTCGACACCTGTGTGGGGGCTGCATCAAAAGGAGGAAACATTCCCCACATAGGGAGTGCTCCACGCCTGCATGGGAGCTGCATCAACAGAAGGGAATATCCCCCTTACGGGCCAGCGTGAGCTCATCCAGAAGCTGAACAGGGCAGCTGGTGGCCTCTTGCACACTGGCCAGCAATGCACCGGCTGGTCCCTGTGCTCCATGGGACATGTGATCCTGAGACTGTGACCTACTTCCTCTCATGGCCTCTTACTTTCTCTTTGCCCCACCATGTCCCTGCTCAGGGGTTATGTCAACCCACAGAAATGGAAATCTCTCAGTGGTTCCTTTGTGGGAGAGCATGCTGAAGGGACTTGAGGGTGGCCTGGAGAACCAGGCCCTGCTCTTTGCTGTGTTCCCAGGTCTATACATGGTGACCATCCCGGGAAACCTCACCATGACCATGGTCATCATCCTGGACACGCACCTGCACTTCCCAGTGAACTTCTTCCTCAGGAGCCTCCCCCTTCCTGGACCTTGGCCATGCCTCCATCACCCCAATGCCCTGGTTAACTTCTCTTCCTCGTCCAAGGTCGTCACCTTTGCAGGCTGTGCTGCCCGGTTCTTTTTCTCCTTGCTGTCTACCACTGAGACTTTCCTGCTGGCCGTGATGGCCTATGACTGCTTCGTGGCCATCTGTAGTCTGGTGTGGTGCCCAGTGACCACGTGCCTCTCGATCTGCATCATCCTGGGACCAGGCACCTACTGCAGGGTCTGCCTCAGCTCCATCGTGCAGACCGGCCTCATGTTCCAGCTCCCTTCTGCAGGGACCAACCACATTGACCACTCTGTGACATGCCCCAGCTGCTCCGGCTGGCCTGTGCATGCCTGGCCCTCAATGAGCTGACCAAGTTCAGCCTTTGTGGGCTCATGATGGGAACGCCACTCTTGTGGTCCTCGTCTCCTTTGGCTGTGTCACAGTGACCATCCTGAGGACACCCTCCGCAGCCAGTGACATAAGGTCTTCACCTGTAGCTCCCACGTGATGACCGTGTCCCTGTTTGATGGGACTGTGTTTGTCACATATGCCCAGCCAGGGACTATGGAGTCCATGGAGCAGGGCAAGGTGGTGTCTGTCTTCTACAGCCTGGTCATCCCGATGCTTGGCCCCTTCATCTACAGCCTACGAAACAAGGACATGAAGGAGGCCCTGCGGAGGCTGGGCCAGAGACAAGCACTCATGGGAAGGATGGTGGCCTGAGAAAGACAGGGTGCCCTGGGGGCTGGAGGGAGGGCAGGAGGGAGACCCTGGGTGGTGAGGAGCCCCCACCCTTCCCCAGGTGCACATGGAATTGGATGCACTGGGCAATGTATTCACATCCCTCTAATCCCCCTGCAAAGCATGCTATGAGCAGGCAGTGACTAAGTGTGTGATGCAGAGATGGACAGGCATGTTCTGCGTCCAGGGCTCTAAAGGGTCAGACAGGGTGCAATGGTCCCAGTCATGTGAAGACCCAGCACAGCAAAATGAAGGGTCCAAAGCAGGGCGAGCCTTCTACCTCCCACCCGGCATGGCTTCTGGGCCATTCCATGTGTTTTCGTGGGAGAGAGGTTAGGTATTTGTGCATCCTGATCAAACTTGTCAAAGAAAAAAATGTCGACGTGCAATTTATCCCCAACCCTCCAAACCCCTGCTCCCCCACTCCAGGCAGGGCCTGCCATGCCCGGTGGCCTCTTGAGAGCACGAACTGAAAGGGCCTCCTGCCTCCGCTTTTGCCTCTTTTCAGCTCATCTTCCACAGCATCCTCAAATAGGTCTGTTTAAAATAGTAACTTACCTCTCGCTTTCCCTCCATGCTGCCCCCCACCCCCAAGGTTCTCCCAACAAGCCCCCGGGTGCCATCTGGAAACCACCTGGCTGAATACACACCTCCCCCTCCTCCCCACTCTCCTTCTCCTTCCCCTCCTCCTTCTCCTCTCTTCCTCCTCCCATCCTCCTCTCCTCTCCTCCTCTCCTCTCCTCCTCCCCTCCTCCTCTCTTCCTCCTCCCATCCTCCTCTCCTCTCCTCCTCCCCTCCTCCTCTCTTCTCCTCCTCACCTTCCTCAGGCTCCAGGCCAGGCTGTGGCTCTGCTGCATGCCGCTGTGCCCCACTGACCACCTCTAGATGTACTTCTTGGCTCACCTGGCAAGGAAGACGAAGAGGTTTGCAACTAAGGTGGTAATGGCGTGTAGAAATGAGGAAGGCTGAGGACCTCAAGGAAAAGAGAGGAAGGGGAGAGAGACTTGGCGAGGCTGGGGATTACGAGGTTGACTCTGAACCCGATGGTGATCATATCCATCCGCACACACCACACTGCCGTGGCCCCAGCATCCTCAGAAGTCTCGGGATGGCCAAAGATGGGAGTCCTGTGCGTGGACGGATCAGGACCAGACCCTGCGAGAACAAGCAGGCTTGACCTCCACACACCGCTGGATCAAACACACCTCTGAACTTTATAAAAGGCCACAAAAATAAACGGATCCTGCTGCCGAGGGACAGATATGAAAACACAAAGAATCCCATAAAACTGATTCGCACCACAAGGAACTCAATGTCTTTGGCAGGGAGCCAGAGGAACGCTTGGAAGACCAGCCTTTGACACCATGCGGAGCTCATGCGTGCAGAAGCTCATGATCCCAGATGGCTGATGGAGACCACCTGTTCCTACAGATGAACAGGGCAGACACGGCTCAGATGTGCGTCTCCAGGACAAGTGTGGCATCTGAACTCTGCAGGCTGTTCAGTGGAAGCATCACAGAGGCAGCCCTTTCACGGGCATTCCATTCATCAGGAGTGTCTATCTGATACCAGGGAGATAACCTATTTTTCTTTTTTCATTGGCTTGATGTGTGTATCTGTTCAGATCGAGGTTTATAAGCATATATTTTTAATAAATGTGCTCTATTTTTTAGCATGAACCAAATACTTGGAGAGACGCTCCCAGATCCATAGAGCTTTCCTTGGTTTCATCTGCTTTGCCCCCAGCTCCGACTGGCCGATGTTTTCTTGTAGAGCCATTCTAGTCCTCTTGTCTCATTAATCTTTTAACTCTGTGCTCATTCTCTCTCTCTCTCTCTCTCTCTTTCTCTGGTCTGGAAGACATTTTTCCATAGTTTCAGCCACAGTTTAGGTTGGTGCACATTGTATGTGTGTGTGTGTGTGTGCGTGTGTGTGTGTCTTTGAGACAGAGTCTTGCTCTGTCACCCAGGCCGGAGCGCAGTGGTGTGATCTCAGCTCACTGCAACCTCTGTCTCCTGGATTTAAACGATTCTCCTTCCTTAGCCTCCTGAGTAGCTGGTACTACAGGTGCCCACCACCACGCCCAGCTATTTTTTTTGTATTTTTAGTAGAGACAAGGTTTCACCGTGTTAGCCAGGATGGCCCCAATCTCCTGACCTTGTGATCTGCCCGCCTCGGCCTCCCATAGTGCTGGGATTACAGGTGTGAGCCACCACACCCAGCCGTTGCATGTTTTAAGATTATCCATTGAGTGGCATTTTGTTGTTTCATTGGAAACCTGAAACAATCAAAGGCACACACACCTTAGCTGCCCCGTATCTTTACTGAGAATTATGCATGCACAGAGCCGACTGATAGATCAGCTTTAAATTAAAAGGATTACTATCAAGGAAGAAGAATGTGGCTCTATTTGCATATCAACTATTGGATGGAATATTCAGCTTCTTACTGGTCCCGTTATTTCAGTCTTGTGGCCATTTATCAGATTTTTATTTTAATGGTCACCTACTATGAGGGCTGCCAAGAACAAGGGGTAAAGCTCATATTAGGTGCATAATTTCTTCCTTAGCCAGACACCTGGGATCCTCTTCAAAAGTGGGTTTTGAGGGTAAGTGACACATGAACTCCCCACTGTGAGAGCTCATGGTGGTTTGGGCTGTGACAAGTAACTTTTCAGGGGCACTAGGAAGGGATTTAGTGTCCTAAAAGACTGTTGTGCTTCTTAAAGCCCCTGGTTTACACCCACACAGAGGAAGCTGCTTCCTCTCTGGCAGGGATGATTAAATAAATACACATTAGACGTGTTCTTCCAGCTCCCTGAAATGGGCCTCTGCCTGGTTACAATGCCATGGCCTTAAAGAGAGGGTCAGTATACCTTCTGACAGTACCAGCCTTGCCCCTGGGCAGAAGAAGTAGCAGTCTTCCTGGTTGGACTCAAATGATGCTGAGGAGGCCTATGCCTCCAGATCTTCCCCTTCTCTGTGCTATGTTGTCTGAAATTCCACCATTAGAGAGTCATTTCTTGGGCTCTGTTAAAGGGACCAGACTCTTATAAAGCAAATTCCCCTAGGCAGCTGGCTCTGACTTTGATTTATTAGATAGATGTCTTCTCTTCCCTGGTGTATTTAGGGCATACTGTATGCCAGGCACTGTGCCCACTGCTTTAGATACCTGAAGTCATTGAATTCTCATAGTAAGCCTTGAGAGAGGGGGTCTCTTCCCCACATAGTAGAAGGAGATAAAAGGGCTGAGAGAGAGCAGGAAACTTCCCTGAGATCACATGGCTACTGGCAGAGTCAGGATTCAAACCCGATCTGATTCCTTAGCCCTTGGGTGCCCGGAGGCTGCTGGGCAAGGGAGGAGGTGGAGAGGAGAGAAAGTCACAGGAAAGACCCCTGGGGTGCAGGATGCAAAGCTCATCACTCTGCTGAGGCCGGCTCTGCACACATTCCTTCTCCCTCCCTCATAAGGACAACCCCGGGAGCTCCTCGGACACTGGCAGTGCATCCTACAAATGAGGACAGGGACAGAGGAGGCTGTTAGAAACACAACAGAATGCCAGTGGGGAGCTACCCAATGGCTCTGGGTGAATCCAGAAAGATGGCATGAAAATTCTGAACAGTGAATGAACAATACATGTGCCATGCAAAAAATAATAATAATTTAAACACATAGCCAAAGCATCCTCCCAAAGTGGCTTAGGTGTCAGCAGGAATAGGCTTGGCTCTGAGTGGCTCAGATCTGACACACAGTGCTGCTTTCACAGAGCCAGGCCAGAGGTCTGAAGCAAATGTGGGCTCTCCCCCAGCCTCCCGCCCTGTCACACCACGAACATGAACAACACTGTCCTGCTTCAGAGCTCCAGACACGGCATCCACCCTTCTACCTGCAGATGGAGATGTGAAGAAGTGTCAACATTCACTTTATATATAAGTTTACATATATATATATATATATATTTATATATAAATTTTTACATATCTAAGGAAAATATTCAAATCATATTCACAATTCAGGTAATTCAACATCATCCAGGTCAAGAGACAGAAACCTGCCCACATCTGCAATTCTGCCATGCCTCCTTCCAGTCACTGACCTCCAAGACTAACTCCTATTCCAACTCTAACACACAGATTAGTCCTACTTTCTCTTCCTAGAACATTCTACGAATAGAAACATAGTTTGTCTTTTTGTGTGACTCACTTTTTTGCTCAATTATATCTTTTTGAGATTAATCCATGTGAACGCCTCTTCCAGTTGTTCTTTGCTTTTCCCTGCCGCAGTAAGACTGCAGTATATGATTCCAGGACAAGGCTTCACCTCACAGTATTTATAATGTAATTCACTTATCCATCCTACTGTGGGACATTTGGGTTGTTTTTCATCACTGGCTTTTAAAATAATTTTGCATAGTTTTACATGTCTCCAGCTGTGAATGAATTTCTCCCGAATATTCTTAGAAGTGGAATTGTTCATGTTTTTTGGATAATGCCAAATGGTTTTCCTAAAATGTTATAGCCATGTTTGTTCCTACGCACAGTGAATGAGAGTTGCCGTTGCTGCACATCATCAGGGATAGTCCGTGTTGTTCATTGTATAAATTTTAGCAATTCTGGTGGATCTGTGCCCATAGATCATTGCGATTTTCATGTTCATTTCTACAGTGGCTATAGAGCTTAATCAGCTTTTCATATAGTTAGCAGTCATTTGGATATTCTTTTTTAGGACGTATATGTGTTTTGCCCTTTATTTCTACCGTGTTGCTTTGCTTTTCCATATTGATCATAAAATTATTCACATATTCTGAATATGAGCCTGTTTTTGGTTATATGGCTTGCAAATATTTCTCCCACTTTGAAGCTTCTGTATTTACACTCATGTCGATTTTAAGTTTGATTAACATAATTTCTTAAACTTGCTCAATAAGATAAGCTTATGAGTCATTTCCTTCATAGGTACTTCATTTTTTGTCATGTTTAAAGAATATTTGCCTGCGTTAGATCCAAAAATATATTCTTCTTTATCTTATAGTTTGGTGAGGTCTTTTCACTAAGTCTTTCATATTAGTATTTATAAGTCACATAAAATTATTATTTTTTGTTTCTGTGATAGAGGGGATTAACAGCTTCATGTTTTCCATATGGTTATCCTGCTGACCACATTTTAAACATTTTTATTCCAGTGTTATACAGTGTCATCTTGTCATAAACCAAGTGTCTCTATATGTAGATTGATTTCTAGAGTCTATATTCTGTCCTATTGAGCTATTTGTCCATTCTTCTACTCTTTCATAATATTGGATTTTTTAAAGGTAAAATGTTGTAATATAAACTCTTCAACATTTATGAATAAATATAACAAATGATGTGTGAAATTTAAATGTTATTGAAAGCTATGAAAGAACTGAATAGATGGAGAGCTATACCATGTTCAAGGATAGGAGATTTCAACATTATTCAACATTATAAAGACCTTGATTATGCTATTATACATGGCCAATACAATTGATACTATCTTAATCCTAACATAATTTTTTTTTTAAGTTGGAGTTTCACTCTTGTTGCCCAGGCTGGAGTGCAATGGCACAATCTCGGCTCATTGCAACCTCCGCCTCCCAGGTTCAAGCGATTCTCCTGCCTCAGCCTCCTGAGTAGCTGGGATTACAGGTGCCCATCACCACACCCAGCTAATTTTTAATATTTTTAGTAGAGACGGGGTTTCACCATGTTGGCCAGGTTGGTCGCAAACTCCTGACCTCAGGTGATCCACCCACCTTGGCCTCTCAAACTGCTAGGATTACAGGTGTGAGCCACCGTGCCTGGCCCCTAACATAATTTTTATATAGAACTGGACAAATTATTTCTAAAATTTCTATGGAGGAACCAACTTTAAAAAGAAGCCCTAGAAAATTAAGAAGAAATATCCCTGCCTACCTGGAACACTTGAACGATAAAGGGTACACCAGTTTGGATGATGAATGAACCTTAGACAGCGATTCTGAGTGGATTTGGGTGTGTTAGTCCATTATTCTTTGACAGTCCTCCTCCCTTGGTGGGTGGGATCTTTGGCAATCCCTGCTCTTTTCAAACACCATTGATTATTCCTGCCCACACGTATTTGCTGAGCCCTCTTTTTCATGCCCTTTAAATGTAGATGCCCCTAAGGGGATGTTCTTGTCCTAAATGTGTCTGTAATCTATTTTCCCTCCCTCAATGACATCCAAGGCCACTGTCTTCATATGAGATCCTCTGATCTCATCTATTCCCATTCATCGTGCACATATACTAAGCATGCAGCTCAATGTCTTCACATATAAAGATCCTCATAAAACTACCACACTCTTCAAGGTAGAAAACATTTTCAGAACCAAAAAGGACTTCCTTATATTCCTTCCCAATTAATATTTTGCTTCCAGGGTTAACAACTATTCTGATCTCTTGTGGCATAAACTAGTTTAGTCTGTCTTTAAAAATCGTAAAAATGGAATCATATAATGTGTACTCTTGTCAGTCTTATTTGGCTCAACATAGTGCCTTTGAAAGTGATCCATTCTGTTGCAGGTAGCAGTCATTTATTCCTTCCCACTGCTGTGTATTATTCCACTGCAAAAATATACCACAGGTTGTGTATTCCTTGTGTCGTAGATGGACATTTGAGCTGTTCTGATTTTTGAAAGGACTGTTATAAGCAATATTTTGCATGTATTTTGATGGTCATATGCAACTATTTCTATTGAAAATATGTAAAGAAATCTGTACAATAGGTGGGTCACTGAGACATATGCTTCGCTTTAGTAGATAATTTCAAATAGGAAGACTGAATAATTTTTTACATAGAAAATCTCTTAAAAAATCTAAAAAAAAACTCCTAGAAAAATAAGTAATTTAACAGAATCTCAGGATTGAAAATCAGCATGCAAAATCAATAATATTTATATATACTAGCAATAAACAATTGCAATTTGAATATTTTAGAAGTACCAATTACAATAGAATCAAAGAAGTGGAATGCCTCAGAATAAACAAAGGATGTTTAGCTTATGGAAAATTATAAAACAACAATAAAAAAATTAAAGAAGGCCTACATAAATGGAGAGATAAACTGTGTTCATGAATTGGAATATTCTACAATATTAAGATATCAATTATTTCAAATTTGATCTACAGATTCAGTGCAATCCCAATCAAAGTCCTAGCAGACATTTTTTGTGGGTATTGATGAGCTGATTATAACATTTACATGGAAAGAAGAAGGAACTAGGATAGTGCTATTAGTTATCTATTGCTACTTAAAAAATTACCTCCAAAACTTTGGGGTTGAACAGAGTGTCAAGAACATAGGAGAAACTTAGCAGCTTTGTTCTGACTCAAGGTCTTTCTTGATTGGAGTGTCAGCACAGACTGCAGTCATATCAAGGTTCAGCTGTGGGAGAAGCCACTTCTAAACTCACACATTGGCCGTGGTCGGGCCTCAGAAAATCTACTTCCAAGGTCACTTATGCAGCATATAAGGACTGACCCATGACATTGAAGTTAACTTGTTCCAGAATAAGCAGTGACAGAGAGAGAGAGAGGGAGAGAGAACCTCAAGACAGAAGCTACAGTCCTTTTAATAGTCCAAAAACAGAAGTAACCATACATAATTTCTGCTGTATTTTATTCATTTGATTTATTTCTCTCCCCCATAAAGAATGTATTCACTCCATACCAAGATTCTCCAAAATTTTATCTCATTATTACACCAACTCAAAGTCTAAGAGCTTATTATATATATTAGGTCCAGGTGTGGATGAGGCTCCTCAGGTGTAGTTTCTTAATTACAGCTTCTTGAGTACAGTTTTTCTCAATCTGTAGAACGGTGAAACCAAAGATACAAGTTATCTGATCCCAACATCCAACATTACAATGGTTGGACAGGCCCAGGATAACATCTATAGGCATTCCTGTTCAGAAAGTGTAGATGGTGGGGAGAATGGGAGGCACAGAGGGGCCACTGGACCACAGTAATTTCAAAATTCAGCTAGAAAAAGTTGAACATTCCTTATGTCTCAAGGCCTCAAGACATAATTTTGAAAGAGTACTCAAATCAGAAGCCTCAGTCTTTACATAACCAACCTAATCCTGGGAGAGACATACCATCTCCTTTGCCATATTCTACTTATTACAGGAAAATAACTAACTCCAGCTCACCTTTGAGGAAAGTGGGCTAAACAACAGTGGGAATACCAGGAGGCAGGGATCTTTGGGGGCTGTATTGGAAGCTGTCCACATATCACACAAGTCACAAACTGGAAGAAAATATATGTAAATTTGTAAATTATATATTTGACAAAGGACTAACATCATATATATAATACATATATATATAATTTGAAATAAGAAAACAACCAAATAAACAAATGGACAAATAATTTTAACATACATTTACTTAATCAAAGAAGGAATATAGACAGCAAATAAGCATGTAACAAACTATTAACATTATTAGTAATTAGGAAATACAAATTAAAACCCCAATAAGATACCATAACATGCTAACTAAAGTGGTTAAGATATAAAAGTCTGATCACAGAGAGCAACTGGAACTCTCATAGACTGCTGATGAGAATGTAAAGTGGTACAGCTTCTTTGGGAAACAGCCCATTTAAAAAGTTATAAATCTACCATGTGACCCAGCCAATCCATTCCTGGATATTTACCCAAGAGAAATGAAAGCGTATGTCCATATGAAGACTTGTACATGAATGGTCATAGCGTTCGTCATTGTAATAGCCCCAAACTGGCAGCAACCAAAGCCCTGGAAACCTGCATTCGTTTGCCAGGGCTGCCATAATAACAAAGTAGGTGCAGGGACTGGGTGGCTTACACAACACACTTTTATTTTCTCGCAGTTCTGGAGGCTAGACGTCTAAGATCAAGGGGTCAGTGGAGTTGGTTTCTTCTGACGCTTCTCTCCTCGGCTTGCAGATGGCTACCCCCCAGTTTGTGTGTTGTTTGTGTCCTAATCACCTCTTCATATAAAAACATCAGCCCATCCATATAACCTCATTTTACCTTTTTTTTTTTTTTTTTTTTTTGAGATGGAGTTTCCCTCTTGTTGCCTAAGCTGGAGCACAATGGCAAAATCTCGGCTCACTGCAACCTCCGCCTCCCAGGTTCAGAGATTCTCCTGCCTCAGTCTCCTGAGTAGCTGGGATTACAGGTGTGTGCCACCATGCCCAGCTAATTTTTTGTATTTTTAGTAGAGACAGGGTTTCACCATGTTGGCCAGGCTGGTCTTGAACTCCTGACCTCAGGTGATCCACCCTCCTTGGCCTCCCGTAGTCCTGGGATTATAGGCGTGAGCCACTGCGCCCAAGCTCATTTTACCTTAATTCCTTCTTTAAGGTTCTAGCTCCAAATACAGTCCTCTCTGAGGTACTGGGGATTAAGACTTCGAAATAATAAATTTGGAGGGAAGACAATTCAGTCCATAACACTGTACTCTTGCCACTCTGAAACTGATGTCCTTCTTATATTCAAAATGTATGAACCCCATCCAAATAGTCTCAAAAGCTTAACCAATTCTAACATCAACTCTTAAGTCCAAAAGTTTACGTAAATATAATCTATGCCAGGTATAGGTAAGAATCAAAGTATGATTTACTATGAAGCAAAATTCCTCTCCTGCTATAAAACCAGACACATTATCTGCTTCCAAAATACCGTGGTTGGATAAGCATAGGACAAACATCCCCATTCCAAAAGGGACAAAGCAGAAAGGAGAAAGAAGTGACAGGTCTCAACCAAGTCTGAAGCCTAGCCAAAGAAAAAAAAAATCATTAGACTTTTAAGACTCAAGAATAATTCTCTTTGACTCCATTCCCTGACCTCTGGGCCCACTGCGTCTGGCATATTTTGCTGAGAGCATGTTTCTGGGACTCATCCATGTTGATATTTGCATCAGTAGTTAACTTTTTTATTGCTGTGTACTATTCCATTGGATGGATATACTATACTTTTTTTTATACATTCTATTTGCTGATGGACATTTGAACATCAGTTTTTTTTCAGTTTCTGTATATTATGGATAAAGTTGCTATGAACATTGTGTACAAGATTTTTTGTGACATATGTTTTTATTTCTCTTAAATAAATGTCACGAAGTGAAATTGTTAGGTCATACTGAAAGTGTATGTTTGACTTTATAAGAACCTAGTCAATGCTTTTCCAAAGTGGCTGTACAATATACACTTCCACCAGTAGTGTGTCAGTTACAACAGCTTCATGTACTCCTCAGCATTTAGGATTGTCGGACTTTTAAAATTTTAGCTAGCCTAGTGGGTGTATAATAGTAGGTGTCACATTGCAGTGTTACTTTTGTATTTCTGTGATGAGTTTTGATGTGGCGTGTCTTGTTATGTGTTGATAGGTCATCGGTACATCTTCTTTGGTACAGTGTCTATTCAATGTTTGACCAATTTGAAGGGGAGATGTTTGTCTTCTTACAGAGTTTTGAGAGTTCTTTATATGGTCACATATATGTATTAAAATATATTCTCCTAATCTGTGGTTTGCCTTTCCATTTTATTAAGTGCTTTTTGAAGAGAAGTTTTTAATTTTGATGGAATCTAGTTTGTTTTTCTCCCTTTCTTTTCGATGTTCACATTGTTGGTTCCTGAAGTCTTTGCTTTCTGCAAGGCTATGAAGATTTGCTCCTACGATTTTTTTTCTAGAAGTTATGTAGCTTTACATCTTGATCCATTTCAAATTAACATGTATGTACAGTGTAAGGTCAGCACTGGATCATTTTATATTTCCACATGGATATCTAGTTCTTCCAATACCATTTGTTGAAGATTCTCCCTATTGAATTTCCTTAGCCCCTTTGTCACAATTCATCTGACCAAGCATGTGTGGGTTTATTTCTGGACTCTACATTCTGTTTCGGTGTCCAGTGTGGAACTACGATGAATAAAGCTGCTGGGCATTACTGGACACATCTCTGTGTCTGTGTGTGTGTGTGTGTGTGTGTGTGTGTGTGTGTGTGCACGCACGCACATATGCATCCATTTTTCTTAGGCAGGTACCTAAAAGTGGAAGCTGGGGAGAGGTGTTCCATAGGATAGATACAGGTTTCACTGGGGAGGGGTGTTCCATAGGTTAGATACAGGTTTCACTTAGGAAACTGCCAAACTTTTCCCCAGTGTGGTCAGATCCTTTTACACCCCCACCCACAGCCACCGTTCCAGGAGAGGCTCCACATCCCTGATGACTTTCAGTGCTGTATTCTTCATCTTAGACTTTCGCTGCAGACAGAAATGTGAAGTGATGCCTCACCGTGGTTTTGATTTGCATTTCTCTGATGAGTGAGGGTGTTGCCATCCTTTGAAGGTGCTTACTGATCATTTGCATACATTCATTTCTGAATGAGTTATCAATCAAATGCATTTTGCCCACTTTTTCATTAGCCTGTGCATGCTTTTATTGTTGATTTATGGGAATTCCTGTTACAGGCAACGTGTTCTGGACAAAGTGAGTCCCCTGTCAGACTCCTGTACTGTGCAGATCCCACCACAGTCTGTTCCTTCACTCCAGTATTTTTTGCTGAGCAGATATTTTTAATTTTTTGAGGTAGGTGTTGTCATAATCCTCATTTATGCAAATGGAAAACCCAGGCAAAAAAGTGTGATAACTTGCTCCAGGTCACACCTCGAGAGGGTAGACCTGGGAGCTGAGCCTGCGCTTCCTGCACGGGGCCCACACTGCACTGCTGCTCTCAGCCTCAACCCGTCCTTCCTCACACGGCCAGACCAGGCTGCACGAGTCACTGTGCCAGAGGGAGCTTCGGTTTGTTTATCAGCAAAGCCAGCGCGCCACGTCCATCTTGGGAACTTTCGGAAGATGAAATGATAGAATATGAATGCTGGGCTCAATGCTGGCTTTCAATGAATGGATCTTTTGAGATTGTTATGATCACTGGCAAGATGCTAAATAAATAAAAAACATAACTAACTGTTCTAAATGTTATTTTCATGGCAGGGTTGGTGGTTTTCCTGCCTCAGCAAGAGGGCTAGCAGGTGCTTTCAACATTTCCTTAGCTATACTGGATGCAGTTGGGGACATGGAGGTGAGCCTGCCAAGTGACAGGATAAATGGAATCTCAGCAAAATAAATTTTAAAGTTAAAATGGCCAAAGGGGGGGAGAAAACACAAACACCACCACACCACCCGAGGACTGCTGGCTGGAACAAATCATCCAGGCCTCCTGCCCTGCAGGAAGCTTCAATCTGCAGATCCACAAGAGACCTCCAAATTGTATAAATTCATTTCTTTCTTTTTTTTATGTGACCTGAATGACTAAAGGTAGTTTGTTTTATTTTATTTTATTTTTAATTATTATGCTTTAAGTTCTAGGGTACATGAGCACAACATGCAGGTTTGTTACATACGTATACATGTGCCATGTTGGTGTGCTGCACCTGTTAATTCGTCATTTACATTAGGTATATCTCCTAATGCTATCCCTCCCCTCTCCCCCAACCCCATGACAGGCCCCGGTGTGTGATGTTCCCTGCCCTGTGTCCAAGTGTTCTCATGGTTCAATTCCCACCTATGAGTGAGAACATGCGGTGTTTGGTTTTCTGTCCTTGAGAAAGTTTGCTGAGAATGATGTTTTCCAGCTTCATCCATGTCCCTACAAAGGACATGAATTCATCCTTTTTTATGGCTGCATAGTATTCCATGGTGTATATGTGCCACATTTTCTTAATCCAGTCTATCATTGATGGACATTTGGGTTGGTTCCAAGTCTTTGTTATTGTGAATAGTGCCGCAATAAACATACGTGTGCATGTGTCTTTATAGCAGCATGATTTACAATCTTTTGGGTATTTACCCAGTAATGGGATGGCTGGGTCAAATGGTATTTCTAGCTCTAGATCCTTGAGGAATCGCCACACTGTCTTCCACAATGGTTGAACTAGTTTACAGTCCCAGCAACAGTGAAAAAGTGTTCCTATTTCTCCACATCCTCTCCAGCACCTGTTGCTTCCTGACTTTTTAATGATTGCCATTCTAACTGGTGTGAGATGGTATCTCATTGTGGTTTGGATTTGCATTTCCCTGAGGCCAGTGATAATGAGCATTTTTTTCATATATCTCTTGGCTGCATAAATGTCTTGAGAAGTGTCTGTTCATATCCTTCTACAGTAACCAAAACAGCATGATACTGGTACCAAAACAGAGATATAAACCAATGGAACAGAACAGAGACCTCAGAAATAATACCACACATCTACAACCATCTAATCTTTGACAAACCTGACAAAAACAAGAAATGGGGAAAGGATTCCCTATTTAATAAGTGTGCTGGGAAAACTGGCTAGCCATATGTAGAAAGCTGAAACTGGATCCCTTCCCTACACCTTATACAAAAATTAACTCAAGATGGATTAAAGACTTACATGTTAGACCTAAAACCATAAAAACCCTAGAAGAAAACCTAGGCATTACCATTCAGGACATAGGCATGGGCAAGGACTTCATGTCTAAACCACCAAAAGCAATGGCAACAGAAACCAAAATTGACAAATGGGATCTAATTAAACTAAAGAGCTTCTGCACAGCAAAAGAAACTACCATCAGAGTGAACAGGCAACTTACAGAATGGGAGAAAATTTTTGCAATCTACCCATCTGACAAAGGGCTAATATCCAGAATCTACAAAGAACTTAAACATATTTACAAGAAAACATCAAACAACCCCATCAAAAAGTGGGCGAAGGATATGTATAAATTCATTTCTGTATTGCCATGATGTACGTAATTCTCAGTTGAGCAGAAATCACGGATGTCCGGGGCAGATTCCAGCTGAGACCCGCCTGTTTCCAGTCCAGAAGGTGCACTCATTCTCTAGGCAAACAGCCCCTCTGCAGGCGCCACCAGGGCCCTGACACCAGCAAGGTTTCCTCCAGTTCAGAGGACTGAGCCCTGCAGTCGGCCCCTCTTTTCAGCCCTGTGCTGATGAACAGCCCTGGACCCTGAAGGCCAGGCTTTCCTTCTCTGCTTCAGCTGCAAACAGGGAATCTAAGGAAATAGAGAGGGACCCCCGCTGGGGGCAGCCTCTGGGTCTGGGGAGAAAAGCCATCTGAACGCCACCTTCTGCCCAGCCCCTCGCTGATGCTCAGGCCCCCTGCCCACCCCAAATGGCCCCTCCCCTCCCTCGGGACTGTGCGTCCTCTCCCAAGGTTCTCCATCCACACTCCCCCAGGCCCCTCCAGAGTGGGGTCCGGGGCCTGCACCCACCCCCGGAACAGCTGCCCTGCCCTCGTGCTTTACAGTGGGTTCTCACAGCGGCCTTAGTGTTCATCCTTCCCCACAGGGCTGTAAGCACAGTCTTTCATGAAACATTCACATACACACACATACCTGTATGATCATATGCAGGGGTGTGATCATGGCCCGTGGGCCTAGGTGAGCCGCACAGTGCAAGCGTGTGGCGTTTTATACAGATTGATGCACGCGCCACATTTACACTCATCTAAAAAGTGTACACCTATGCACACACACAAAATGTCGATGTATACGTAAATCATTATGAATATGTGAGGTAACACCTACCTCTCTGCATCCCACATTTCCCAGCCACATGGCTTTGTGGAATCCCCTCCACACCAGCGGTTGAAACTCCAGCCCCTCTGCCCAGTGGGTGCAGGACCCCCGTGGTAGGGACACTCTGCCCGGTGGGTGCAGGACCCCCGTGGTAGGGACACTCCACCCAGTGGTGCAGGACCCTATAGTAGGGACATTCTCCCCAGTAGGTGCGGGACCCCATGTTAGGGATGTTCTGTCCAGTGGGTGTGGGACCCCATGATAGGGACGCTCTGCCTGGTAGATGCAGGACCCCACAGTAGGGACGCTCTGCCTGGTGGGTGCAGGACCCCATGATAGGGACGCTCTGCCTGGTGGGTGCAGGACCCCACAGTAGGGATGCTCTGCCTGGTGGGTGCAGGACCCCACAGTAGGGACACTCTGCCTGGTGGATGCAGGACCCCACAGTAGGGATGCTCTGCCTGGTGGGTGCGGGACTCCATGATAGGGACGCTCTGCCTGGTGGGTGCAGGACCCCACGGTAGGGATGCTCTGCCTGGTGGGTGCGGGACACCACGGTAAGGACGTGCAGGACCCCATGGTAGGGACACACCATAATTTCCTCTTTCAAGAATGAGCATTCATTTTGTTTCCATGTTTTTTGTCGTATGGAAAACATGCTGCAAACCCCACTTTCTTGTGTATCTTCAGTGTCATCGCCGTTACCATATTGCCATCAAGGAGCTGGTGGCAGAGCACACAGGTTGGGGGAAGAATGTTTGTCAGGTCCGCTGGGTCTGTAGCAGTGTTTAAGTCGGCTTTTTCCTCATTGACTTTCTCTGGATGGTCTGCCCGTGACTGTACCGTTCTGGAGTCTCCTACATTTTCGTATAGGAGTTCTGGAGTCTCCTATATTTTCGTATTCTAATTCTCCCTCTGGATCTGTCCATGTTTGCTTTACAGTCATGTACCACATAATGCCATTTTGGGCAAAAATAAGACGGCATATGCACCAGTGGCTTCATCAGATTATAACAGCACATTTTAACCATTCCTTTTCTAGGCTTAGATATGTTTAGATACTGTTGATGGAAGAAAAGAAGTCAAGCTTTGAAGGCATTTAAACCAGTGTTATTCAGAAGTCTTTCTGAGGACTCCAGACCGAGTCCTCCAGGCTGGGAGCAGCCCCTTGGCAAGGTCCTGTCCAACTGCCCCGCACAGGGTGTCAGTGCACTGCGGAGATGCAGGTGGTGGGGTTCAGGACACAGTCACGTTGAACCTGCTCAGAAGTTCCCTGAGAGCAGAATCGCATCGGCGTTTGTGCAGGACATCAGGTGGTAGATCGCACAGGCACAATCACTAACTCACAGGCATTACCTTGTGCAGGAAAGACATGGAACGCAGTGACTCGGGAGGGAGATGTGGGCGTGGCGTGTGCTCTGCCGTTTTGTCTTCAAAGCATCTTTGGAGCACTGCACACAGGGACTTTGCGAAATGATGCTGGCAAGCAGAAATGAGCAAACAGGGCTCCTTAGGTTTGACACTTTGTCTCACAACACACAAATGCTCAGCATTGTGTTCCGGTTGTCTCCAGGATTCAGTAGTCACGAGCTGTGCAGGTGTGTGGCCTAGGAGCAACAGGCTGGGTGTGTGGCCAGCTAAGCCATCTAGGTTTGTGTCAGTCACTCCGTGATATTGGAAGAATGACAGAATCACCTAATGAGGCATTTCTCAGAAGGGAACACCGTCACTAAGCGACACAGGACTCTGGGTAGGTGTTCTGACGTTGGGGCGTATAGACATGGGCACACGCCACATTGACACTCATCTAAAAAGCATGTGTCTCTGCACACACAGGAACACAATGGCTATTTGACATGTATATAAATAGATAACGTCGGAAACACACACCTCTCTGCATCCTACCTCACATCTATGCATGGCTGTGTGGTCTTCTTCCCTTCTTCTCCACCAGCAACGGATGGTGTTTCATCACTCTTAAAACATTTACCCCTCCAGTGAGTAGAAACTGATATTGTGCTGTCTTCGCTGACCTCTCGCCTGCTTCTTGTGGTTCTGAGCACCTCTAGATAACTTCCCAGCCACTTGGATTGGTTCTTCCGTAAACTGTTTCTTAAGCGTCCTGTGCCCATTTTCCCCTCACTTGTTGCTTTGTTGGTGCCACACAGCGGATGTTCTCTGCATCTGGTAAACATTAGCGCCTCCGCCCCCTGCCCATGGCCTGTGCTCCCAAACGCTCTGTCCAAAGCTGCCACTTCTCTCCCGTTCAGTTCACATCTCTGGGGAGAGACAAGGAAGCTCGTGACACTAGAACGAGGTCTGGTAGGTTTGCCTCTGGAATTCCGAGTGACCTGGGACAAGTCATTCTGTCCAGTGAGAAGACAAGTATTTCTACAAGGTACAGGAACTTAGGACAGAGAGGGGAAGGCTAAGTACAAGGACACAGGGTTCCTGGGACCCACAGGCTTGCTAGTAATAATTAACGGCGAATACCCAGGCAGCGCTTGGACTACTGTGCAGGGCACTGCCAGAGCATTTCCGAGCATTTCCCACAGGAGCTCGCTGACCCCCACCCCCACCCCTACCAGGAAGCCCCACAAGGCATCATTATGACCCCACCTTACAGCTCAGGCACAGGGAAATTCCAAACCACCCAGAGGCAGTTAGGCTTAGGTCCAGTCCCAGGGCCCCTGTTAACCAGTCTCTCTCTCTCTCTCTCAAACACACACTTCCTGACCAGGTAGTGCATCCCAGATGTGTTCAAGCTCCTGCCTTTGGGTGGCGTGGCACTGCCCACATCGGGCCATGTCTGCTCACCCTCCAATTGCAAGGTGCTACTGTTCAGAAATTTGTGTCCCCTCAAAATTCACATCGAATCCTCACCCCCAACCCCCAGGTGATGGTGTTAGGAGGTGGGACCTCTGGAGGGTGATTAGGTCATGGTGGCAGAGCCCTCATGAGTGGGATCAGCGTCCGTACAGGAGAGATCTGAGAGAGACCCCATGCCTCTTCCACAGCAAGGCACCACCTAAGAGTCACCAGGCTCAGTGCCCTTGGGGTGGCTTTCTCTTCTCTCCAAAAGATCCCAGGATTCCGTCATTTTCAAAGTCCCTCTGTTGTTGCTTGTTTACACTTAAGAAATGCCTGCTGAGCACCCTGACAAAGGGACCAGGCATCCCTCGATCAGGGTTGCTCTGCCTTGCTCAGCCAGCTGAGCAACCCTCCCTGGATTCACTGCCCCCCAAGTGACAGCCATCTCTGATGGCAGGCCACTCACACCCCCTCAAAAATCACCCAGGAACCATTAAAACCATTCAAGACATACTTGAGAGTAGTATTTTGGGACTAATTGGAGGCAATGATTATTCACACAAAACCTGCGCTGTGTGGCCAAGATGATGCCACCAAGGTGTGCTGAGAGTCCGGGTGCTGATCCAGGGCTGGAGGCGGGCAAAGCGCACAGCTCGCAGAAGGTGGGCGAATCACAGACCTTCCTCAAGCCTTTCCCTTGGGACACAGTCCCCTTTGCCACCCTGGGAGGCGTGTTACCAGAGATATAGTGTGGAGACTGCTGGAACCACGGTGGAGAAAGAAACTGTTGTGGAGAAAGATTTTCTAGGCCCAAGAAGCCAGTGGGCAGGCAGAAACAGGAAGTAGTTGAGTCCAGGGATCTTTGAGCCCTGGGGCCAGCTGTCCTTCTGTGAGCCTTCCAACAAATTCCTCTCTTGCATGGATTTTAATGGACAGTGCTTCCTTCTTTTCTCACAGAAGCGTCTTCTCCAGGACCCCAGAAGGCTCCCTCGCCCTCGGCCCATTCTGCTCCAAGACGCAGGCAGGCATTCCCCGCAGAGCTGTGCTGCCTTGCTGAGGTTCATTATCTGGCCGGCAGCTGAGCCTGCGGTCCCCCAGCAGCTTTCTAAATGTGGCAGGGATCGGTATAGAGGTCTCTGTGATGAAGGCGATCAGGTATAAAAACCGAGAAAATACCTCTTTGTCAGTGTAGGTGAAGACACATCACTGACAATGGCTGGAGTTTTGCCACGGGAGTGACCGTGGCTGGGCCCGTCAGCTGCAGTCCGATCACCCAGGTCATCACTCTTCCTGACAGCCTCACGGTGACAGCCGAGTCACACGGAGATGAGGAAGAAAAACAGGTGGCAATGCTCGTGGCCTCATGGTATTGAAGAAGCTGCAAGGATTCTGTGAAGGCAAAGGGAGGTCTCCTAGAGCCCACACAGGTCTCAACATGTGCAGAAGACACTGACATGCACACATGTGCAGACTGCTATTCACAAAGCAGCTTAGACCAGGCAAACCTGAAATTCTACGGCCCACACAGGAGCTTCTGGGGCTCACAGGCCTTGGTCTAGAAGGGGTGTGCCCATCTGCACTCTGCCTGAGTTCCTCTGCGGCAGCTCTCTTCTCCACCTGGGATCATTCCTTCCTGCTGAAGGCCAGAGGCTGACATCCCCATTCACCAAGGAGGAAACAGAGGCCCAGAGAAACATTTCTGGTTTTGTCTAGAGACAGGGTTTCCGTGGCCCAGGCTGGAGTGCAGTGGTGCAATTATCGCTCACTGCAATCCTGAACTCCTGGGCTGAAGTGATCCTCCTGCCCTAGCCTCCCAAACAGCTAGGACTATAGGCACGTGCCACCATGCTCAGCTCATTTTTTTAATTTTTGTATAGAGAGGGGGGTCTCGTTCTGTTGCCCAGGTTGGTCTCAAACTCTTGGCCTCAAGTGACCCTCCCGCCTCACCCTCCCCAAGAGCTGGGATTACAGGAGTGAGCCACTGTGCCCAGCCCTCCAAAGAAAGGAACGGATTCAGCAGGAGCCTGCAGCTCGCTGGCAGTGGTGTTTGCCACGGGCCAGTCTGAGTGTAGCCACAGCCCTTACCACTGTGTACTGCAGGCCCTGTGGGACTGCGATAAACCTCAGCTGAAGGGGAACTGCAGGGTAACCACCTGATCACGACAGAATTCACCCAAATACCTAGTTGTTCCCCACAGAGCCCTCTATGCCTGCTTTGAGGAATCCACTCATGAAACTGTAAAAACAACTCTCACGAAATGAATTGCAAGAACATAGCACTGAAAAACCCCACCCTCTCCAAGTGCAGACGACGTGCACGCCTGGCCGCTGGAAACCCTGCTCCTCGCCTGCAGATAAGCCACGTGGGTCTCAGAAACAAAGCGGCAGCCTCAACGTGCGGCCCAGTGCAGACCTTCTTACAGAGATGCACTTCTTACCTCTTCCGACACCACAGGCCGCTCTGCTGCCTTCCCACGGACCCCGTGCTCCGACTGCCCTCGCTGCAGTGCGGGAACCATGGAGGACTGCTGGCTTGTCCTGGGCAGTCCTGAGCTGCTGAGCCCCAACAAAGGACAGGAGCTCCATCAGGATGACAGGGTGGAAATCCACTCACCACTCATGAGAAAAAGAGGCAGAGCTGACATTCGGTTCTGCTTAAGATCTCACCTGGCCTCCAGTACAAATGTCTCTTCTGTAAACATGACAAGGTGACACCCTTCAGCGGGTTCTCAGTAGCGGGGGCAGCAGGTCCCTCCACTGAGGGGCTTTAACTCTGAAAATGGGAACTGCTGAAGTCCTGGGCCTGGGCGTCTCCTGGCCTGAGAAACACTCTTCACTTCGAGATGGATGTCAAACAGCAACTTCACTGCTTTACAGCCAGTATCGACTACTGAGCTGGGCCTACAGGAAACAAGACCCCTCTTCCCACATGGGCGTTACACTCTCCTTTGAAATGGACCAATGTGCATTTCCACGTAGAAGGCGTCTCCTGCAGTCGCATCCTGTCGTCCTAGTTCTTAAGCCTAGGGGCAGCTGCCCTGACGTGGAGGCCAGAGGACAGCATAAGGACGACTGTGCTGACAGACACACACAGTGGGAACCTGCCCACACAGCAGAGGGGCGGCCCCGTGGCAAGGTCCTCCAAGTGCTGTCAGCAGGCCCAGCTGTGCACGGGCCGCGCTGCCTCCTGCTCCAGCACATACAGCACCTTAACACAAGGTATCTGCTACCAGACAAATGTGGTTCTCTCAGCGTGCTGACAGATGCACGCACATGCATGCACACACAAACACACAGAGACGTTTAGGGACTGCAACATTCACTCATAAGTGCAAGAAAGAGATCACTCCACATGTGACATTGCTTTCTTTTAATTGGAGTGAGGACAAAACCTGATCCCGTTCAGAGATGAACAGAATCATCTAGGTCGTTAAGAACAGTCTTATCTTTCTGGTTAACCAGGTCCTAAATTCAAGGGATTTCCACGTGTTCTTTAAAACCACCTGAAACTGTCCTGCGCAGGCTCACACTGCGGCTCTGTACCAAGGGCTTGGCCCCGCCTGCAGCCAGAGGGCATCTCACTGGATGTCATCATCATCAAAAAGATCTTCAAAATCTAGGGAAATAAGCAAAACCACGTAGTTACACCTACAAGGGTAAGGGCTGAAGAAATCACTTCAGAATGAATTATATAGTAGTCCAAAATACAGAGATAATCGTCAATGATCCAATGAAATAAAAGACTTTTCCCGTAACAGACTTTCAGTTTCAGCCAACCAGGGCTCGTACATGTAGTCCAAGGGGAGAGTGTTGGCTAGAGTGCTTTCTAGCTTTCATTTAAAAGACAATCCTAAGAAAATGCATGCAGGGCTGTTCTGAGTCCCACGGACACCACCGCACAGCCACAACTCAGCACTCAGGACACGCCAGTGCCGTGTCTGCACCCACGAGTGCACGGGCACCCAAGATGCTGCCCTCGCTGCCGGGGCCGGGGAGAGATGAAGCTGGGAGGCACGTGCTGGGTCCTTGAGAGCAGAGGGAAACCAGCCGGCTGCCGCTGTGAGCATGAGAAAGCCGGGCTAGGCTGCAGAAAGGTGAAGCCTCCAGTAAGGGAGCGTGAATGATACTCAAGCCTGAGAAACACCTGCTAAGGCCCATTCTCACTGGAAGAAACGCAGCAAACACGTAGTGCCCTGCTTTGGGTGATCAAAATCAGGCCCCCCAGGAAAGATTTTGTCCTTCTGTTTAGTCTTCTGTGTTTTTCAAATTCCCTACTACAGGCAATCATCACTTTCACAATGGGAGGTGAAAATACAACTAAAAGCCCACCCACATGTACTGCGCACTGAAAATGTGCAGTATGAATTATGAACTAGAAAGAGGAGGTTCAACTCCTGGAGGGTCAGAGCGAAGAGAAAGGGGCCTGCTGGCACCACAGCATCCAGCCTTCCTGGGGAGGGTGGCGTCCCTGAGGCATCTCTGGATACTGCAGAGGGTCCCGACGCTCCCCAGCCACACTGATGCACCCCCACGTCCTCACTGCCTCCCGACTGCTGGTTGTGGTTCGCCGCTAGGAGCACTTTTGCGCAGTCCTGGGCCTGGCTGACTCCACACCTTCCGACCTCTGCTCTGCTGCCCCCTCTGGAGAAACCTCCCTCTGCAGTGCTCCCAGAAACAATGCCGTCCACGCTTTGCCAGGGCTCTTGTCACAGTCCAGCCCCTGCCTGCTGACTTGTCTGGACCCACAATTTTGTAAGACATGGCGAGGGAAGAGAGAGTGTCTCTTTCGTGGCTAGAACCCTGGTGCCCAGGGTGTAACAGCCCAGCAAACCCATCTGTTTGACGAGTAAAAAGGACTTAGCAAAAGCCTCATCCACAGCCCACAGAGGTCTCTCAAAGTAAATGGCTTCTTGAACACATGGGGTTGTCACAACCTGATGGGACAGTGAGTGCTTTGTGAACTTAGTGGGTGGGCAGGCAGGGGACACAGAGCTCTCCTGCGTCCCCTCCCTGACCGGCCGTGGCTCAAAGGCAGACACGCGCCCACAATGCTCAGGTTGCTGGGCGCTCACCTGACGGGTAGGACCTGGGTCCCTCTCAGAGATGCTTTCCCGTCAGGATTCAAGGGCTGACTCTGGAAGTCATGTGAACTCAAACACTAGAACACAGCAATCGCCTCTAACCAATGGGCTGGCAGAGGATAAATGGGACTTTGAAGGAGATCATCAAAATGCAAGCGTGTGGTGCCAGCATTAGCAACTGCCCAATCCTGCCCACGTGAAAAGCTTCAAAGTCGCCCTGGTGAGCTGGTGTTTTTGCAAAGCAGCTTTGGAGAGCGCTCTGCAGCTTTGTACAATTTGTTCCCTCTGAAGGCAACACCCTTCTCCCACCTCGCTCTGGCATAAAGAATTGAAATAAATGCTATTCAGTTCTCCAGGCTCATCTCAAATGTCATCTGCCTCAGTTCTGACTCCAGTTGGTAGCAGTAAGAATGCTGCCTCAGGGGCATGGCCAGGCACCCTGGGAAAGCCTGCACCCCAACTCAGCAGCTTGGCTGCTCCCCTCAGGCAATGGCTGCCTGACAGTAAGCCTGATGAAGCAGCAGGGACTCAGGATGGCAGGGGGTCTCTGGTAAATTAGAAACCGATGTGGCAAGCTCAGGTCCTAGCTGTTAACTAGTAACAAGAGCTTTCTGTAGAGAAAAGCACCATGGATTAAACCAGGATGAAAAATGCCACCTCACTCTCTGGAGTAAGAAACCTATCTTATTTACTTATTATTTGAACCCTTAGTAAAGGTTAATATCATCTATAGGAATAAGGCCTGAAGAAATCAGAAGAGAATGAGAAATATTCCCTCTAGCAGGTCTGAAGATGTTACAGAAAATTTGCTTTTCACTGTTCATTTGGTTTACCCATGTTTTTGGTAACTAGCACTGAAGCCCTTAAATCAAGAGGAAAACACATCCTGCGTCCTGATTTCAGAGCTGGGCAAGAGCTGGAGTATGGCTGTCCCTCTGCAAAGGCAGCTGAGGGCATGAGAACCCAGGCAGGCAAACACAGGTGGGCTGGGAGAGGAAAGGAAACCGGCTACCCGGAGAGGGCGGAGACAGGGAGACAGATGGGGTTCCTATGGCCGTGTGTGGGGTGAGGGCCCAGACCTGGCTACAGTCTGAGGTGTCCGCAGGCACATGTAACACGCATGCCAGAGCTCAAACTCAACTACTGGGCTGCAAGCTGGGAACAATTTCATGCTACTTTTCTCCTGAAAAATAAGGCTGCCTGCCAGTGGCCGCAGCCCGTGTCATCGCTCCACAGAGGCTGCACTGCATTCTGAGAGGAGCGCAGGGGCTCTACCACCTTATGATCCAAATTATTCATGTCACCAAGTTGCTTCACTGCCTTCACCTAGAGAAGAAATATTCAGATTAAATCTGGCATCCCATTCCAAGCATCCTTACCGTTAAAAAAGTCTGCATGAACGGCCTTTTCATTGGCTGCCAAGTCCATCAAGAGCCCGGTGCTGCCTCCCGCCTGGGGAATGGAAAGGCAAGGTTATGTCAGGTGCGTTTTCCGAAAGAACAGGTGATAAGTGCATTGCAGGGCCACTACCCCCACAAAAAAAGAAGATGGGTGAGGGGAAACAGGCTCAAGTTGGAGTCAACATTTTAGTTCCAGACACAGGAATGTGTATTGGGGGGAGGGGGAGGAATTCAAAGGAATGATTTTTAAGGTCTCTCAAGGGCTTCTGTTCCTTGATTCCTGTCTGCCTTTAAAAAAGAAACCTACCACTGACCTAAGCACCACTACTTCTCTGTGCCCCTCAAGGAGAGCTTTCCGATCCCTCGCCGGACATCGCCAGAGGCCACAAACATGCGAAATTGAGCCCATCGCCTCCACTCAGGATCCCTTCCCTCTCTCTTCTGGGAATGAAACCACTTCCCCGAGGAAACTGACCTGCTCTGCCTCTGAGGTTCTGGTGCCCCGCTGCTATCATGGACCGTCCACTGCCACAACTCCACGGCAGTGGAAAAACCATGTCACAACCCAAGCTGGGCAATCTGAAGCCCTCAGGATTTTGGGTCCTGTTTAGAGTCAACCGGTGACAGAGGGAGCAGATTCCTCTGACAGCAGCACCCTGGACAGCTGGCCACAGGTCCTGCTGCTGCCCTGGCCCCAGCATTCACAAGGCCGCTTGCTCAGACCTGCCCTGATCCCCACATAGCTGCATGCCCTTGTTCCCTTTCAGACACTCTCAGAAAAGCCAGGACACTCAGTCTCCTCCCCTGGCTTCTCAGCCACCCTCCCTGTCCCCATCAGCACAGTAAGCCACGCGCATTCTACCACTTGAAGCTTGTCCCTACCTCCATCTGCCTCATTCACACCCTCTTCAACTCTCCTGTTCTCCCTGCTCTCATTTTTCTACCCTCTCACCCGTAAATGCTGCCACCCTACAGAGCAAGTCGGAGCCTCTCACTCCCCACTGTAAAGCCCTCCGGTGGCTCCACATCGCCTAGGACTGTGAAGCCTAGGACTGTAAAACAGGACTGAGAAGCCTGGGTTTAATGGAAGTGCTTCGGGAGCGGGGTGCACAGAGCCACCCTCTTTAGCATGGTTCCAGATGGTTTCACGATCTGGGTAGGGAGAGAGTCCCTACCCACTGTCTCCCCTCTCTCTGGCACTGCACGCTCAACCATGTTAAACGACACAACATTCCCTTCCCTTGGTGAGCCAGTCGGCATCCCCCAACCCAGGGCTCTGCTCCTGCCGGGCCTTCATCCCCCACTACCTGGCAAACACCAATGTGTCCCCCAGCATTTGGCCACAGAGTCGACTCCTCAGCTGTACCTTTGCTGAGCCCCCTCAAAGCCCTGAGGGTCCATCCGTCGGTGCGCCTTCGGCTTTCTATGACACCTGGTATTTGCAATCAGCCGCTCTGCCATGCTATTACCTCCACAAGCACAAGGGCTGCCTCTGACCACCTCTGCAGCCCCTAAGCTTTGAGAAAGAGCACATAAGGCCCTGACATGTAGGAGCTGGCCTGCCACTCTGAGCTAGGCTGTGGTGCTCTCCTGCTGACCATAAACCATCTCAGAACGCTCACATCAGACAAGGTCACTCTGTGAACACAATAGAGACCAACAAAACCCCAAGACGACTGTATAATCCTGTATAATTAAAAAGAAGAACGAGGCCACTACGCAAAGCACATAAATGCCAGATGTCTCCTTTTCCGCTCCGACAGGAATGACGGCTGCTCCAGTCTTCCCTCATTCTAGTTAAGATTAAGAGGCCCAATCGGAGAATTATCCTCGCTTCCAAGGCACAGTAAAGCCCACTTTCTTCCCCCAAATCCCCTAACACGAGCTCAAATCCCACACGAGGTTATGGAGACGCACCGCGGGCCCCCATGGGGTGCTGCAGCCATCGAAGAGCAGCAAACGCAACTCCTCTGACCACGGGTGTGTTCCCGGGGGCCGTGGGGGCACCCAGCAGGCACTCAACCCTCAGGCTGCGCCTCCTGGTCCCCCGGGCTAGGGCACACGCTTCCCGCCGCGGTCGGTCGCCGCCTTTCACCAGGTGCTCGGAGAAACCGGGATTTGCTCTCCGCGGGGCAGGGAGCCTGGGAGCCGCGCCCATCGCCCACCCGCCCGGCCTCCCCTCCCCGGGACCCGCGCACCAGGACGCCGCCCTTCCGCTCCCCCTTCCCCGCTCCCCACGCTCGGAGACTCCCGCCGGGCCCGTGCCACCTCGTCCAGGTCCACGTAGGGCCCGGCGCCCTCGGGGAACATCTCGTCCACCGCCGGCTTCATCTCGGGGCCGCGGCGCTCTAGGCTCACTTCCGGCCTCAGAGCCGCTTCCGGCGCGCGCCACATGGCAGATCTAGACGCCGGAGGACCGCGCCTCTGTGGTGCCCGCCCGCTGGGGTGCTCCCGGCCGCCGGCGCGTCCGCGGCCACCGGCGTTTGTCTTTGCGCTGGCGAGGGCGGGCGTCTGCAACGCCTCTGATGGGCGGCCGGGCGGCCACGGGGAGAAAAGGCTGCCAGCAATGGGAGCAGTGCCTGCAGAGCACGCCTCCGACCAGAGGCCGGATCCAGAATAAAGAAGGAGCCTCAGACTCTGCCGCAAAGACGGCCGGGTTCACAGGAGCCCAGGGCTTGACCTTCAGACGTTTGTCTGAAGAAGACACACTCGCGGCCAGTGAGCAGATGAAGAGGTGAAAGCAAACCAGGGCCCCACGGCCGCTGCACCCCTGGGACGCCCAGAGTCAAAAAAACAGCAAAACACGGGTGGAAGGGTGCGCGGCACACGGGGCCCCTCGCACCGCGGCGGGGAGTGAGACGCGGCAGCCGGGGCGGGAGACGGGGGGGGGCAGGTCCCAGAAAATCAAACACGGACACCCACGTGGCCCAGCACTCCCCTTCCGGGCACAAGCCCAGAGGACCAAAAGCCGAGGCTCCAAGGGGCGTCTTTACCCCACGTTCACAGCAGCGTTATTTATAATAAATGAAAAAGGGAAGCGTCCCCCGCTGTCCCTGCCCATCGATGGATACGTGCATAAGCAAATGTGGGCCATGCACACTGTGGAACATTACTCAGCCTTTAAAAGGAAGGGAATGCCGACACCTGCTGCCACGCGCAGGAACATTGAGGACGCTCTGCCGAGGGAAACGGGCCAGTCCTAAGACAAACACCGCATGATTCCACTCAGCCGAGGCCCCTAGAGGAGTCAAAGTCATAGAGACAGAAAGTAGAAGGGGGTTATCAGGGTCTGGGGAAGGGGAAATGGGGAGTTCGTGTTTAGTGGGGACAGATTTTCAGCCTTGACAGATGAAAAGGATCTGTAGAGGCTGCTGGTGATGGCTGCACAGTTCGTGAATGTGCTTAACGTCACTGAAATGTGGTTAAGATGGAAACAATTTGTGAAGTTTTACCGTAATGAAAAAAACAACAAAAAAGAATGTGACAGAAATGCGAGGGAAAGGAGAAGGAAAGGGGTAAGAGGAGGGAGAAGGTTGGAGGAAGAGAGGGAGAGAGGAAGAACAGGGGAGGGAAGGAGAGAGAGCAACAGGTCCTGGAACTAGACTTTGCCAAAGATTCCTTGCTCAGCCAGACTTCGGTGGCCTCCTAACCTCCTCCCAGGCCCATCTGTGCACTGCATTGTCAGGTTCAGTTTTCGCAGAGAGCCCTGCTAAGTTGGTTTAGCCAGAGCCCCCCACCCTGGATATTGGATCGGGTTCCTGGTCCCCCAGCATCCCCAGGATGTCTGATGGCCCAGACCTGTCTTCAGCGAAAGCCCTGCGGGGTCGGCCGAGCCAGCATCCCGTCCCGCACTGTGTTCCTCCCAGTCATTTGCCACCCGCGACCCCACCTGCTCCTCAGCCGCAAACCCCCACTGCCTGTGCTGTTCGGAGCTGAGCCTGGTCTCCCTCCCCCACTGCAAGATCCCGTTGCAGTGGTCCCCACACCCGTCTCCAGGGTTCGGAACAACTTCTGAAAATTTCCAATAATGTTTTCCTTTAACAGGCCTTAGAGGAGTTGGGTTTGGGGGTTAGGCTGTAGAGAAGGGGAGTGGGGGGCGGCATGGATGAGGGTAGTTCCAGGGACAGGAATTGAGCTGAAATGTGAGGGGTGTGTGTGGCCTGAAAAGGGGCCGCCTGGCCTGAGTGGACAGTGTGGGACGCAGGGAGAAGCTGGCAGTGGATATTGGGTGAGCCTCATGCCATGCCAATGTGCATCACCCTGAAGGACCCAAGTGAAAGTCAGTCCGATGGAACAGGGGCTTGGCAGTGACTAAGAAGATTGACCCATTAAGTCAAGGTCTTTACTAGCTAAGGGGTGGAGCTGTGGGTCTCCACGGTCTGCTTGTACACCCTACAGGGATGGGGGGCTCACCACCTGTGCAGAGGCCATCCTATTGCTGGAGGCCCATCCCTGAGACACCATCGTGCTGCCTGCCCAGTCTTCCAGTGCCCCAGGTGAAGCCCCCTTCCTCCCAGCATCCTCAAAGCCTAGAGCCGTCCCTGGAAGACAGAGCCTGCCCAGGCCCCGCTGTCCCTGACCGATGACAGATACAGGTGGGGTTTCTCAGTTCCGTTTCCTGCTGCCTCCTGGGCACTGCTCCCAGGGGTGTGTCATGGTGTGGAGTCAGCCTAGCCCTGACTGTGGGTTTGTGTGCTGCCCAGCTTAGTGGCCCAGAGCGGGGGTGCCTGGACTAGAATCTAGCTACCCCCTAACCAGCTGTGTGACCTTAACAAGTCAGGCTGTGACCGCATGTCTCTGCCTCAGTTTCCTCACCCGTAATCTGGGGGAACTGCAGTGCCCCCTAGGATCATTGTGGGAAATGGATGAGTGAGAGACACAGAAAGCCAGTCCTGAGCCTGCCCAGGATATAAAATCCCTTGTTGATGCCAATGTGGATGGAAATGTTGCACATTTATGAAAGAGTTTATGAAAGTGCTCCCCAGGAATCAAAATAAAACCAGCTTCATTTGTGAAATAAAGTAAGTGGGGCCTGAGCGCAGCTGTCCTTGAAAGACAACCCACAACGCTGGTTGTGCATCTTCAGTCCGGAGTTTATTGAGCGTGAGACCAGGCCTGACTCCTGCAGGGGCCAGGTTTTTGCGGGGACTCCATGCCTGTGGAGGCCCGACCGAGTGCAGCCTGGCGGGGTGGGCGGGCACCAGGCTGGACACCATTCAGTCCTCCTGATAGGGAACGTGGAAGCCCAGCGTGCTCCCCAGGGGGAAGTGGGCAAAGAAGGTTCGGGCCATGTCCTCGATCTGGGGGTAGGCCCCCAGGGCCTGGAAGTGCTGCACATAGTTCCAGAAGTCAGAGGTGGAGAAAGGCCAGTAGGGCATGGCCGGCAGCTCCGCGTAAGGGTCTGAAAGACACAAGACACCTGCCTTGGGGGCTGTCCCCATGGTCCTGCCTGGAGACACCATCCTCAGAGGTCTCAAGGCAAGTGGATGGTTCCCAGCTCTACCTACAGTGATACAACCTTCCCAGAGTGGGGGCCTGAGCCCATCCCCTCTCAGATCCTTGGGGATATCTGGTCGGGGAGACAGAGGAAGAAGAAGAAGGGGAAGAGAGGGAGGGAAGCCCTGTCCTGTTTGAGGAAGGAGTTGTGTGGGGAGGGTGTGGGGCACCAGCAGCCACCTGCTGGGATTTCAGAACAGAGCACAGACACCCCACTCCGCTACCCCCCGTATAACCTGTCCTAAAGCTTGGGCAAGAGCAGCCCTGAAGATACTGGACTGAGCTAGGGCTCAGAGTTGGGAGGGCCTGGGGGCTGGAACCCAGGTCTGATAGTGGGAATGTCAGGGGTCATGGGGCCCTGGCTCCCCCTGCCCAGTGTGTTCCCTGGTGGCTGGAGGGCAGGGTCCCAGCTGGAAGGAGCTCATAGACCCTCTGCTTGCACAGCTCCAAGCTGGCTCTCAAGGGCCATGTTTTCCATGCTTGGGCCTGAGCTGAGCCAGGGCCCCTGATGCGTCTGCTTGGGATAAGAAGCTGCTGCTCTCCCCAGCAGTTTCTCCCCGCTGCATACCAGTTACTTATGCAAATGAAAGGAAAGAAATTGGAGAACGGTACCTCCTTCCTCCTGCACAGGCTTGGCCCCTGCAAAGGAAGAGAAGAGCTGTCACCCAGGAGGACCACCCAGGTGCCGGTTGGGCCCACCCGACACCAGCTGCAGGGCTCTAAGGTTTCCTAGCAGCCTGGGGATGCATGCGGGAGGGGAGAGAACAGGAGGGCTGTCGGGGGTCCTGGTGGCTGCCTCCCTCCAGAGCGGCCCCTCACCTGCAAGAGGCCCCAGTAGGAGGCAGAGGGCCAGCCCCGGCACCATGCAGGCCTGCATCTTCCCGGTGCTTCCTGATCTGCGACTCAGGCCCACCTGCAGCAGGATGAACCCAGGAAGGGCGAGACCACCCATCCGTCAGGGCCGGCTTCCTCTACCAGTCCCAGTGTGGGCAGCCCTGGGGAAAATGGCATGGATTTAAAAAAAAAATTCTTACTGTTTTCCTAGCAATTTCCATTTCAGTGGTTTCAAACCACTATTTGGAGGTGAAATCCCTGCCTCAATTGGCCTTAATTCCCATGACTTAAGAAATTGCACCCCCCTCCACTCTGCCTGGCCTCTCCAGAGCTTACCTTGTCTCTGCTCAGCCAGCCGTGCTGCCTGGATGGGCTCTGCTGCCAGCTCAAGAGTCCTCTTTATAGAAGGGCTGCAGATGAGGAAGGACACGTCACCTGCCTGAACAGTCAAACTGAATATTTCATCCCCACCGGAGGACTGTGGGCTCCTGTCGCCCTGCTGGCAGGCACAATCAGAGTGTCAATTTCTGGGAATCTGATCCAAAGTTCAAACTGAGAGAAAAACATCTTGGCTCGGCCATTTCTGAAATTGTTAGGACTGAATTCAGCATTGGTACTTGAAACAAACCCAGTTTACTCTCCGCAAGGAGCGATCCTACGTCCAATACCGGGGCTGGCTGAGATTTCCTCCCTCGTGAGGAGGAGCTGAATAATTCCAGCGCTGCTTCCACTTAAACCAGCAGGCAGGAGGAGCCCCCGTCAGCGGGACCTGCCTGCAGGACGTCCACTGAGCAGAGCCCCAGCAGAAAGTGTGGGGTCAAGATGGACTTCCATCTCCAGGTGGGAGCTTCCCTGCGATCCAAAGTGTCAGTCTGTAGGTGGGCAGGAGGCTGTCCCCACCCTGGGACACCAGCAGCCAGCACCAAGGGTCTCTGTGGGCAGGGCCATTCTGACTACACAGCTGCCCCACTGACCACATCGGTTCCTATGCTGACCTGTCTTTCCAGTACATAGAGCCTCCTCCTGGTCCTGCTCCTTGGGGTCCCGCCACCCCACTGAATCAGGGGCCGAATTTGCTGTGGCGGTCTCCCCTGTCATTCCTGGTCACCCTGGGGGCTGTTTAAGGACTCTGGGAAGCTCCTCACCCATGTGTCCCATGGTTCTGGAGTTCATCACAGTCTGCTCACATGTCCCCATCCAAATGATTAAGGGCTCATTTTTCCCCACACAATGCCATACATTTAACCAAAGATACCCAGAGAGGTGGTTAATTTAATTCAGATGGTAAGGCAGCCATCCACGGATTAGATTTTGGGTTTCCTTTTCAGAAATCTGGAGCCTGTGGCTACAGGAGGCAATGGATTCTTTCAGGGCAGTTGTATTCGGGGTCACCAAGAGCACCCAGGTCAATGATTCACTAGGAAGATGCCCTAGGAGGACTCGTGGGACTCAGCATCCTCTCGAGGACCCCACGGGATGCTCTCCATTCCCCAGCACCACGTTGTGGTGACACCTGTGGAATCTCCCCATGAGGGGAGCCCTTCAGAACCTCAGAGCCCAGGGCTGGTCGTGCAGCCCCCTCTGACTCGTGCATGTGCAGATCTCCGACCCCCAGGAGGAAGCAGGTGCTTAGCACAACCATTTGTTGGCACATAGAGCTTAGGGGCAGTGGCCCCTCTGAAATCCAGGTGCCGAGGTGAGGACCCAGGCCTGCTCGTCGCCCTTCCCTGCACAGCTCAGAAGATTTCTGGTTCCTCACCTGCCCCCTGAGCTGGGAATTTAAGCTCTGCGCTCGTCATTGTCTTTTCGCAGATTCGGCAGCACACTTTCCAGTTACCAACCAAGCCCACGGTCCTTATTTCCGTGGCTTCAGCTGCTTGGTCACCCAAAGTCCTGCTCTCTATAGCTCTGTTTTGCACTGGGTGGGTGACAGTGCCCTCTTTTCCATGGGAAATGGAACCAGTCTTCGATCTAGTCAAGCCAGAGATCCAATTCCAGATTCCACCCTGAGCATTCCCATCCCTGGGCCCCTCTCGAGCACCAATACTGTGTCCAGCTGGGTTGGGGAGAGTGTGGCCAGACACGGAGTGAGCTTGCTACAGGAATGGGCCTTCTGCGACTGTGGGAGGTGGTGAAGAAGGGAGGGCCTGGGAGGGCGAGCCGGGAAACAGTCTGGGAGGCCCTGTCTGAAAATGCACAGCCCAGCATCGGCGGTGGGCCTAGGACCTCCGTGTCTAGCAGGGAAGGTGGGAGCTAGATGCAGAGGGGAGGAGGGTGAGGGTGGGCCGGGCCCTGCCGCAGCCTCTGACCGTGATGGGGCCGCCAGAGAGGATGGGCCTATCATCCTTCTGTTAATAACCGCATGTCTGAAGATGATGTGAAAATACGCCTATGGCGTTAGGAAAGATGAGATATGATAGCATGTACCATATCTTTATAATGACTGAATAAAAGACTATACGTGGAAAAACTCTAGAAGTAGTAAGCAGTGATGGTGTTGGACGGTGGACCTATGGGCGTATATATGTGGTTTTTCTTCATTCTGGGTATATGTATGTTCCTTAATTTATTATTTTTATGTAAGGAAAAAAATCTTAAAAAGAAACCACCCAGCACCACCAATAGCTGTATGCTGCTGATCACTCGGGCTGTCCTGGTCCATCTTGCCACTTGCACTGCCCCACCGCCATGCACTGTCCTGCTTCCTGGGTCCTGCAGGACCACTCTCTTGAGAAGATGCTTCCTGGGTCCTGCAGGGTCACTGTCCCTCGCTGGCCTGGACACAGCCTTCCCTGGCCCTACCCAGAGGGCCCCGGCTCCCCTGCACCCTGGAGGGCACCACCCTGGCCACTCACTCATCATTCCTCTCTCACCTGCTCTCTTGCAGCCCAGAATGCCCTCTGTAGGGGTTTGCACACCAAGCTGTGTATATTGTGTATATCGTTCTTGTTCAGTGACAGCCCCTACAGCAATGGTTCTCAAACTGTAAGAATTCCCCAGGGGTCCTGTTAAAATGCAGGTTTAATTCAACAGGTGGGGGGCCTGGGATTCTGCATCCCTAACCAGCTCCCAAGAGCTCAGGATACTACTGGTCCCCCAGCACACTTTGGGCTGTGAGGCACGGGCAGCGGTTCTCAGCCTGGGGGTCAGAGTCCCCTGGGGGCCTGACCTCAGAGTCCCTGGAGTGCTTGTTAAAATGCAGGTCTCTTTCTGGCCCCCTCCCACTCAGAGTTCTGATTCACGCGCTTGAGGGACCTGGGAATCTGCATTTCCAACACGTCTCTAGGTGGTGCTGGGCAGGTCCAGGGCCACCATCTCAAGCAGTGGCTCTTAACCTTGGTGGCACATTGGGACCACGTGGGAGCTTTTGAATAGTCAGGATTTCCAGCCTCCTAACGTGAGATTCTGATTTAATGGGTCCAGGTCTCGGTGGTTTTGAAATTTCTCCAGGTGACTCTGCAGGGTCTCTGCTCCCCAGCCCCAGCTCCTGCCCCTGCCCCGCACAGTCCCCACCCATCGTGGATGCATCGGAGGCCTCTGGAAGTCTCGTCTACCTGGGGCGAGAACATGCTCACACACACAAGACTGTCTTGGTGGGCACTGGTGGGTCCCAAGCCAACCAGGCAGAGCCGGGCTGCGGGCGCCGCTGGCAGTGCAGAGATCGGGTGGTCTCTGGTGCCCCCTGCTGTCCAGCTCGGGAACACCAAGCCTGGGCTATCGCGGATGTCACTGAGCCTGGGGTGGCCGGGCCTGTGCCCAGCCCACCTCTGTTTCCTGGAGGAACAGGCCAAGCACAGACACTTGTACATGATTTAAAGCCCTAAAGACACAGTCCCCCCGGACATGGGCTCTGGAGGGCTGTGCCTCCTGCGTGCTCCTCCCTGTCCCCTTGTCTTGGTCTTCACTGAATGCCACCGACTGGGCATTTATAAAGGACAGGGGTTTGTTCAGCTCACGCTTCTGGAGGCTGGAGAGTCCAAGCCTGGGCAGCCACCTCGGGGGAGGGCCTCGTGCTGCTCCACAGCATGGCTGGGAATCAAAGGGGCCCCCTGGCGAGAGGCAGCCGAGCTTGCCTTTATAACAGCCGCGCTCCCGAGAGGGTCGACCCACTCCCGACAGGAAGCACCAGCCCCTCTTCACGGACAAACCCGTCCCAAAGGCCCCGTCACGACACCGCCATCATGGTGACCAGATTTGGACCTGTGTTCCGGAGCAGACAGGCCATATTCAAACCACTCACCCCTCGGCTGCCAGGGAGGCTTCTGGCAAGTCCACGCTGCTCCCACGTCTGGCCTCAGAGCCCAGGCTCCTGCTGCTGACTCACTTCCCAGCTCCTCTCTCTCCAGCCCGCCATCAGGGCCCCAGGAACGTGCCCCCTGCTTCGGCACTGGGGCTCTGCTTGCTGCCTGGAACCTGTCCACCCCTCCCAGCAGCCCCACTGATCACATCAGTTCCTCTGCTCACCTGTCTGTCCCATAAGTACAGCCTCCTCCCAGGACCCTCGGGCAGCCTCCTCCACTCCCACCCCAGCCCCCATCCCTCTGTTCCCTGTCCTTGTTGTCCTCGGTCCCAGCAGGTGACACAGCCTCCTTGCAGCAGCCCACCCCCGCCCCCATCACCCTGTCCCATGTCCTCGGTCCCAGCAGGGAACGCGGCCTCCTCGCAGCCCATCCCAGCCCCTGTCACCCTGTCCTGTGTCCTTGGCATCCTCGGTCTCAATGGGGGACATGGCCTCTCCTTACGGCCCACCCCGCCCCCATCCCCCTGGCCCATGTCCTTGGTGTCCTCGGTCTCAGCAAGGGATGCGGCCTCCTGCCTGGCTGTGTCCTGCCTGCCTCCTCTCCGAACCTGTGTTAGTGCCTGGTCCAGGTCCACCCAGCCAGTCAGTGTCAGAGCCCACCGTGCCTGCAGGCCGACCACCCTGCTGTCCTCGCTGAGCCACAGGGAACGCGGCCCTCCCCACCCTCACTGCCCACTTGCTTCTCAGCTGCTGTCTTCTGCCCCCTCCATAAACCCGAGGACAGAGCCCAGGTACCCAAGGAGTAAGGATAAGGGCGCCCTCTGACAGTCACCTACGTGGGTTCCCAACCCCACCGGTGCCGATTGTCCTTGTTATTTTAATAAAATAACGAAATGTCTTGATTTCTAATGAACATGAAAAGAAAGAGCTTTTTGGATTAAAACTAAGCTGACTTGGAGAGGCCTACTTACAGTAAAAATCACGAAAAACTGTCTAATTAGATGTGGGTGTGACAGCTTTAAAAGATTAGAACCAAAGTAGTGAAAATCCAGCTGGACCTGACTTTGGATTGCAGATCACGGGCGTCCGAAGGCTCCGTTCTCGGGAAACCAAGCTGGGAATGAGGAGGGGACGTGGCGGAGGCGCACCCCAGGGGCGCTGTTCTCACCGGATTCTGCACAGCTGGGCCTCCTGGGGTACCATGCATGGCAGGAGATGGTCAGAGAAAAGCCCCCCGCATGTTACAAGACGGTCCCATAAAGATGGCAGATTTGAAAGCTAAACTATTTAAGGCCCATTTGCTGCTTCTTTTAAAAAAAGATATAATTCCTTCCTTTAACCAACTCAGAATTCCTGACCAGGTCCCAGTTCAGGGCCTGAGAGGCTTCTCCTGAAACAAAGGGGAATCTGGCCTGGGGTCGAGTGGGGCTGGGGTTGTGGGGGGCCCTTGGGACCCTGGTCGTCCTGAAAAAAATACAAGATGCCATGTTAGATGTAAATTTCAAATAATTAATGAATACTTTTTTTAGTATAAGTGTGTCCCAAATATTGCCAGGGACATATTTATACTGATAAGCATCCTTGTTTAACTGAAATTCCAATTTTACCTGTTTTTCTTTCTTTTTCTTTTTCTGCCAAATCTGGTAACCCTGTGCAGGACAGAAGCATGTGGACCCGCCTGGCCCCTGGCTCCATGCCCAGGTCTGGCCAAAAGCCAAGGCTTTGAGCACAGGCTGGCGGGGAGAAGGGGCTCCAGGCCCCCGACCACCAGCGTGGCCCTAGCCCTGGGGGCAAGGCGGGCAGCTCCCCACGCCCACGAGGGTCTTTTCTGAGATGCTTCCTCCTGGAACTCTAGGGTCATGGTCATTACACGATGTGAGCAGATGGGCTGCAGCCCTGAGCCTCCCTGTCAGCTGAGGCCCCTGGCCCAGGGACTTATGGCTGTCTGGAGCTGGTCCGGGCTGGGCTCATCACAGAGAGAAGCTGATAGAGCCAGAGAGGCGGGCAGGTCACTGCTGGCAGAGCCTTCTTCTCTCAGACTTGGAGCCAGGGATGGGGACACAGGGCAGAGGGAGCCCTCCCATGACTCAGGGAGAGAAGCACCAGCTTTCCAGGTGGGCTGTGACAGGTGCCTGAATCCCACGACAGGACCCACACTCCACATGCCATGACACAGGCACCTGAGGACCCTGCGCTGCTTGGTGGAAACATCACCGAGAGGCCAGCCAGGGCCCCAGCGCCTTGGTGAAGCAGGAGGAATCTCCACGGGCACAAGGCTGGGCTGGGGTGGCCTGGCCTGGCTGCGCGGGAGGAAAGGGACCTGGGAAAGGGAAGGGCCCACGGCCCCCACACCCTTGGAGCAAGAGAAGGCGGGAGACACCCACTCATCTTCCTCTTTCCAGAGGACCCAGAGCCTCCAACAGCCACACCCAGACACTGCATCAACATTTAGCCAGTGTTGTCTTAGCCTGAAGAATGTGTGTGTGTGTGTGCGCGTGTGCATGTCCATGTGTGAGGTGGTGTGTGTATGTCTGTGCACACGTATGTGCATGTGTGTTTGTGTTTGTGTGCTTGAATGCATGTGTGGGATGTGTGGGTGTGGCATGTGCATGGGTGTATGTCTGTGTATTGTGTGTGTGGGGGGGCCTGCATGAGTGTGCTGTGTGCTATGTGGGTGGGGTCTGGGATGTGTACTTGTATGTGTGCATGTCTGTGTATTGTGTGGGGGGGCCTGCTTGTGTGTGCTGTGTGCTCTGTTGGTGGGGTGTGTGTATGTGTGCATGCATGTGTACTGTGTCCATGTGCATGTGTGTGCTGTGTGCTCTGTCGGTGGGGTGTAGGTTGTGTGTGTGTGTACTGTGTCTGTGTGCATGTGTGTGGTGTGTGTTAAGTGGGTGGGTGTGGGGTGTGGGGTGTGGGGTGTGTGTGTACTCTGTTATTGTGCATGTGTGTGTCCGTGTGCATGTGTGTGTTGTGTGCTGTGTGTGTGGTATGTGTGTGCATGTGTGTGTCCATGTGCATGTGTGTGTTGTGTGCATGTGTGTGGTGTGTGCTATGTGTGTGTGGTGTGTGTGCATGTGTGTGTCCTTGTGCATGTGTGTGGTGTGTGTGTGTGTCCGTGTGCATGTGTGTGTCGTGTGCATGTGTGTGGTGTGTGCTATGTGAGTGTGGTGTGTGTGTGCATGTGTGTGGTGTGTGTGTGCGTGTGTGTGTCCTTGTGCATGTGTGTGTCGTGTGCTATGTGTGTGTGGTGTGTGTGTGCATGTGTGTGTCCGTGTGCATGTGTGTGGTGTGTGCTATGTGTGTGTGGTGTGTGTGTATGTGGCCGTGTGCATGTTTGTGGTGTGTGCTATGTGTGTGTGGTGTGTGTGTGCCTGTGTGTGTCCGTGTGCATGTGTGTGGTGTGTGCTATGTGTGTGTGGTGTGTGTGTGCGTGTGTGTGTCCGTGTGCATGTGTGTGGTGTGTGCTGTGTGTGGTGTGTGTGCGCGTGTGTGTCCGTGTGCATGTGTGTGTCGTGTGCTATGTGTGTGTGGTGCGTGTGAGTGTGTGTCCGTGTGCATGTATGTGGTGTGTGCTATGTGTGTGTGGTGTGTGTGTGCCTGTGTGTGTCCGTGTGCATGTGTGTGGTGTGTGCTATGTGTGTGTGGTGTGTGTGTGCGTGTGTGTGTCCGTGTGCAAGTGTGTGGTGTGTGCTATGTGTGTGTGGTTTGTGTGTCCGTGTGCATGTGTGTACCCATGTGCGTGTGTGACATGTGTGGTTTGTTGCATGGGCATGTGCTCTACCTGGGAAGTGACCCAGGCAGTGGGAATGTAGTACTGGGAGCAAGACAGCAGGGAAGGAGAAACAGGGTGAGTCGCGGGCTTGGTGCTGCTGCGGGCAGCGGGGGCATGCCCCGGGGCTTCTGATCCTCAGCCTAGAAGGAGGCGTGTGTATCCACTCCACTGTCTCCCATCTCCACTGGCGGGGGGCTGCCCCATGGGATAAACTCCCCCACTTCCTGTTTGGGGTGCCTACTGGGCTGCTGCAGGCTTCCAGAGCAGTTATCTCAGAGAAGTCAGGGAGGAAGCATGAAGTAGGAGCAGGCGCTGCAGGTGAGGTGAGGACTGTGCCGCAGGGCAGGTGAGGCCTGGGCAGAGCGCATTGTTGTAGCTGAGGCTGGAGTTAGAGGGACCATGAGGAGTGAGGTGGACGAGGAGGTACCCCGATCCGTGCATCCCTCAGTCCTCCTGACATACGGGTCTCTGGGGACACGGGGGCCAGCTCCAAGGGGGACCCAGAGCCAAGCCAAAGATAGAGCACAAGAGACCTGCCTGCCAGAAGGCAGAGCGTGACCCTCGGAAGGCCATCAGTTACCTCCTTGTTTGATCAGATAGGTAGATACTTGCTTCAGGTGACCCGTCCCTGGGTGGGAGTGGGGAGGTGGGTCTCTTCCCACAACAGCATCACCGCTTGGTGAGAAAGGTCTGCGCCATTCCAGCTCACGTCCCCAGCAGCTGCTCTGTGCCACACCCCTCCATAGAC
Source organism: Homo sapiens (assembly GCF_000001405.40). NCBI lineage: Eukaryota > Metazoa > Chordata > Mammalia > Primates > Hominidae > Homo > Homo sapiens. Next base: position 240,149,047 of record NC_000002.12, read on the forward strand.
TGTCCCCTGAAATCCTTGGCTCCCAGCAGGGTCAGCGCTGTTCTTATCGTCTGCATCTCCCTGGAGAGGAAACAGGCTCTACAAGGGAAGGTACCTGCCCAGAGTGCACAGCCAAGACTGGAGTGGGATAATAAGCCCAGTCTCAGGGCAGCCCCAGCAGGTAAGGGTCAGACCACCCTTCCTGCCTCTCCCAAGACACTCCTCTGTCACCTGCACAGAGGCCCACTCAGAAGGCCTGGGCAGGGCCTGAGCCTCTGCATGGATGCCCTGGTCCTCCAAGAGCCCTGAGCAGGGCCTGAGCTTCTGCACAGATGCCCTGGTCCTCTGAAAGCCCTGGGACTGCAGGTTGCTGATGTCTCCCGAGGCCTCCCAGACAGAACTGTGCGGCCCCTCCTGTGAGGCCAACTCTGTGAGTGCTGCTGCTTCCTCACTGCGGTGCAGGGGTCTGGGGCTCCGTCCGTCCAGGTGTCTGTCCATAAGAACGCCCAGGGGGCTCTCTAAGCCATGGCTCTCAAAGATAAACAGTGGCAAGACAACTGCAGCAGCTTACCAGGGGTACTCGATTCTAAATTTGCTCACACTCTGGGTCCTCGACCATGGGGCCAGGACGCCAGCTTCCTGGAAGAGGAGAAGGCAGAGGAGCCCATAAGGACTTGGTTGGAAGGGAAGGGAGGTGCTCTCGTCCCAGCTCCTTGCCTCCTTCACAGCTGGCCAAGCACAAGGCTGAGACTCATGGGCAGCCCTTGGGGTGGGACCACCCACCCCTGGACATTTAGCAAATGGGCATTTGGGATCTCCAAAAAGGAAGAAATTCCTATTGCACAACCCATACGGATTTGTCTAAGATAAACTTTTCTCCCTGCGTTAGTTTACCACCTGGAAAAAGATTCCCAAGGAACACAGGTGAGGAAGGGCTAGTTCCAGACCCAGCCCGGAAGGACACTGTCATCCTCTGTCACTGGACATGCGTCCCCTGCCCATCCCCACAGTCACCCTGTGTGCCCACTGGCTCTTGCCATCCCCTCCTGAACCTGCCGATGTGGGTCCCAGTCCAGGGCAGGATGCCTGGAGACACAGAAAATCAGGGTGTGCAGGGGAGGTTGGCCCCTGCCTGGTGACATCCATCTCTGCCTTTGGAGAGAGCTCAGCGGACTCGCAGTCAGCAGATACCTGGACAGAAGGAGACCTCCTCCACCCCTCCCTGTCTCCCCTGGGGGAAGGAGGAGCTGGGTCAGACCCTTGCTAAGGTCTTTCCAGGTTCTGATTATCTGGGCTTTCAAGAAACAGAAAGTCCTGAATGGGGATGGAAGTGCACTGGCACACCAGAACCAGGAGAGGGCAGCCCTGCGCAGGAAGCCTCGGCCCAAGGCCACAGGTCCCAGTGGGTGGGCAGGTGAGGTGGGGAGGGGAGCCTGCAAGCTCCCTGGGGCACTTGTGGTGCTGCGCTGCCTGTAGGTAAGGGTGGGGGGTCCAGGCGTCCCTATCCAGGTCTGTTGCCCAGCTCCTAGGGCCGTGCACTGACTGGTCCCACCTTGCAGATGAGAATGGAGGCTCAGAGGGGTGAAAACCCAATGGACGAGAGCTCTGGAGGTCCCCCCAGTTAGGTCCCTCCTCTGGGAGAGGCACTCTCCAACTTTGACCCCAGCCCCTCAAACCCAGCCTTCCCAGGCCGTTTTCCCACTGGGGTAACTCAGCCAGACCCAAAGAAGTGCTCTAAACCATTTCCAGTTCAGGATCTTGGAGTGTCCTGGTTTCTTGTGAGATCTCAGGCCAGTTCCTGGGGTCTGGCAAGCGGGTGACAATGGCCAGGTTCACCCCACCCAGGCTGCATCACTCCTGCCCACCCAGAGCCCACACCCTGGAAAACCGCACCTGTCTCTGAGTCTCCAGAACACAGGGGTGGTAGGAGCCCTCTGCACCTGACTCTGAGTCCCCGGAACACAGGGGTGGTAGGAGCCCTCTGCACCTGACTCTGAGGCCCCGAAATGCAGGGGTGGTAGGAGCCCTCTGCACCTGACTCTGAGTCCCCGGAACACAGGGGTGGTAGGAGCCCTCTGCACCTGACTCTGAGGCCCCGAAATGCAGGGGTGGAAGGAGCCCTGGGCTGGGACTTTGCCAGAGCACCCTCCCACCTCTGGCCAGCTCCTTCCCAGCTGCTGCCACTTCACCCCTGAGCTGTGCTGAGACCACAGGTGTCTCATGTGAGAGCATCTTGGCTTCTGGGTCTGCCTCTTACTAGCTGTGGGACCCTGGGCAAGTTACTTAACACCTCTGTGCCTCAGTTTCCCCATCTGTTAAATGGTGGTGACCCTGGGTTGTGAAGGAAACTAAAGAAGAGGGGTCCCTGGCACACAAGAAGCCCTCAACAAAGATACGCCTCGTTGTTGTCAGAGCTCACCGTCTGCAGCTCATATCACCTCCACCTCCCAGGCAGTGACACACGAGGCCCTGCAGTGGCCAGTGGAGACTGGGACTCGGGAGTCTTCCCAGCCCTATGATGCTTCTGAGAGGAGTCACTGCCACCTCTCAGAGGCGGGGGACACTCCACTGGGTCACAGCTCGGGGTCTGCCCCTAGCTGGGGTGGGTAGAAGGACTTGTGACTTGTACTCCGATGGGGTGGGGCGTGAGCCTCGAGGAGAGGGGGCCTCAGAAGGATCCTTGCAGGGAGAAATGCGACGGTTCTTCCACCCCACCAAGAAGACGTGTGAGAGACACCAGGCGGACGTGCAGGGAGGGAGGGGCTGAGCCTCCTAGGCTGGCTCATGCCCCAGGCTTGGAAGGGATCCCTACCGGTGAGTCTGGCCAGGCTGTGACAGGCTATGCGACTGGGCAGGACACTCACCATCTCCATACCTCAGCTTCCATATCTGAGAAGAGTAAAACAATAGGATTGTGTCCAGGAAGCTCCTGGCATGTGGCGTCAGCTCTCAGTGATATCCACAAGGTTCAAGGTACAAGCCTGCATTTAGGGAGGATGGGGGAAACACGGTGGCAGGATCGGGGTTAGAAAGCACTGGCGTTAGACAGCATCGGCTGAGACAGCACTGGGGTTAGACAGACGTTCTGTCCATGAAACAAAATGGGAGGCTACAATGAAAGCTGCATTCTGAAACAAGGAACATTACTGGCCATTGAAAATGCAATAATCTAAATTTTAAAAATTAGCAGAAAGGTAAGAAGACAGCAAAAGTCTCTCCTAAAATAGAACAAAAAGACAAAATATGGAAAATTGCTGAGAAAAGTAGAAACATTAGAGGCTCAACTCAGCAGAGCCAATGTCCACAGCAATCATGAAAATATAGCAAGTCTCCTTCCGGCGAAGGAGAATAGCGTCTCTGATGACCAGGCTCACTCTCTGCCCTTTTCCTCTCTTCCTTTTTCTCTTGCTCTGTCTCTGAAGTCAGAATCCTCACTCTGGGAGAGGCCAGAAGAGGAAAAAACCCACAAGAAGGCACAGCTTTGGACCTTTCAGGACACTGGAAACCAAATAAAAGCTTACAGGTATCCAACCTGCAAGGGCAGATCACATAAAAAAGGCAGGAACTCAAAAAGCATCAGGTCCCTCCATGGTCACACTGGAAGCTGGGACGTATGGCAAGATGCCCTGAGTACTTCAGAGAGAACCTAGAATATCACACCTAAAAAGTGACCAGTCCACCATTAGGATTGAAAAGGGTATTTTCAGACCTACTGGGACTCAACATTTTATTTCCCATGTTCCCTTTCTTAAGACTCTACTAGAACTGTGTTTGGGTGACATAGTGTACAGAGAAACTATACGATACAGAAAACAGGTTGCACAACTCAGACGAGAGGTGAAGGGAGTCCCCCAGAGTGGCAGGTACAACTCAGGTCCAGAGAATCAAGACTCCAGAGGAAGGGGCAAAGGTCCGAAGAGGGAAATTGCCAGGAGAAAAGGAAAATGGAAACAATGGATTATCTGGTGTATTTCAGCGTTTGAAAATGTATTGCTGACATTTGAGAATTCTGTTAAAACATTTGGAATATAAATAGGCACATAGAAAGCTAACTTTTTGTTTTTAAATAAAAGCAAGGCAATAACTAACTCCAGGAAAATAAAAATGTGCTCAGAAAGAAATACCATTAGAATGCACTACCTAGCTCAGTGTTATGTTTTACTTACATGATCATGATCCCATGAGGCATGAATATTGATTTAACCCAAACCATGATATAGCTATACTGGGAGGAAGAGGAAATGAAAATCAGTGTGAGACAGCAACAATTCAACAGATAAGGTCTAAGATGACAAAGAGAGAGTGGTGCATTAGTTACCTATTTCAGAGTAACAAATTACTCCCAAAACACATTGGCTCTAGAAAACAGACCCCAAATCACAAGTGTTTATTAGTTCATGAGTGGGTCAGGAATCCAGGCACAAGACCACTGGGTCTTCTGACTCAGTGTCTCTTGCAGGTTATCAGCTGGAGGACAGTCACCTGAAGGCATGACTGGGGAAAGATCCACTTCACTCACATGCCTGTCACCAGGATTCAGATCCCTAATGCCTGGTGGCCTCCTTGCCACATGGCCTCTCCATAGGGCCGCTCCCATCAGGGCCACTGGCCTCTCCCAGAGTGAGGGTTGTGACTTCAGAGAGGGACAAGAGGGGGAGAGCAAGATGGAAGTCTTTTTGTAACCCGTTACATTTGCCATACTCCACACAGTTGATCCATCATGACGCCCTGCCCTCACTCAAGGGGAGAGAATTATACAAGGGTGTGAACACCAGGAGCCAGAGGTCAGTGGGGACCATTGCGAGGGCTCCCTTCACTGGAGATGTGTATTGGTCAGGGTTTTCCAGAGAAACAGAACAAATAGAATATCAGTAGGATGTGTGTGTGTGTGGAGAGAGAGAGAGACTTATTTAAGGAATTAATCCATGCAATTGTGGAGGCTGGCAAACTCAAAAGTCCATAGAGCAGGCAGCAGGCTGGAGACCCAGGGAAGAGCTGAGGTTGCCATCTTGGGTATAAAGACTGTTTGGAGGCAGAATTCCTTCTCTGGGGAAACTCAGTCTTTTCTCTTAAAGCCTTCAACTAATTGGATGAGGGCCACTCCCATTATAAAGAGGGATCTGTTTTAATCAGTCAACCGATGTAAATGTTAATCTCATTTTTTTTTTTTTTTTTAGATGGAGTCTCGCTCTCTTGCCCTGGCTGGAGTGCAGTGGTGTGATCTCAGCTCACTGCAAGCTCTGACTCCCTGATTCAAGAGATTCTCCTGCCTCAGCCTCTCGAGAAGCTGGGATTACAGGCATGTGCCACCACGCCCAGTTAATTTTTGTATTTTTAGTAGAGACAGAGTTTGACCTTGTTGGCCAGGCTGGTCTTGATGTCCTGACCTGGTGATCCGCCCGCCTCAGCCTCCCAAAGTGCTGGGATAACAGGCATGAGCCACCGTGCCTGGACAATCTCATTTTTAAAATGCCTTTGCATTGACATCTAGACAGGGGTTTGGCCAAACAGCTGGGTACCACAGACTTGCCCAGTTGACACATAAAATTAATGCCATTAAAGGTGTTCTTTGGAAATACTGCATGTAGGTGAAAACTAGGGGAACAGCTAGCAGAGGTGAGAGTGGGTGCTTCCAGGAGGTGGGGTGGGTGTTGCGGAGGGTGGGCCCACAGCATTGACCCTGTGCTGTAGGTGCAGAGGGCTGGGGGCTGAGTGGGCACAGATGAGCCAGTGAGGCCCTGGGCTCAGGAAGTGCAGGGTGGGGCTGAGATTCCTCTGTACGCCCAGCCCCCGCTGGATGTGATGCCCCAGATGCCAGCAGGAGGAAAAGGGTTTGAAGAGCGGGAGCCATAGTGTGGAAGGGGAGTAGGGGGTCCCATCCTGAGGGAAACTGGAAGGCATGACTGAAGGCCGCGGGCCGAGCCTGAGCCCACGGCAATGGGAATGGTGCAGCAGCCACCATCTGGGATGCAGGCAGCTGGGGATGCCAGGGAGGGGGTCTGGCCAGCAACAGACCCCAGGGGATGGTGGAATCTCCTCCCCCAAATTCAAGCAGCCGGTGGTGTTTATGAGGCTTACAGGCAGGCCAGGGGCTCCAGAACCCTGCCTTGCCAAGCCTCCTAATTGAGGGAGGGAGACCCAAGCTGGGCCAATTCTGTGTAGCCTGCAATAGATCCATTGTTCACCCCTATTCACCGCCACATAAAAGCCGAATTTGTGGGAACCAGGGCTCAGTGTGTTTCTCAGCCTGGCTGAGGCATCCGGGCGGTGTGGCCCCGTCATGCCGCCGTTGGGGCCCCCCTGGGCTCTGCAGCCTTTGAGGGCCTCTGCTGGGAGTCGGGCACCAGCCCATCGCCCTCCTCCCTCTGACTTTTTGGCTCTCGCCTCTCTGATGTTGTTGGAAACAGGGAGATTAAAGAGCAGGTTGCCTGTTTCACTTCTGGCTGCTTGTCCTAGATTCGCTGATTCGTCCCAGAAGCAGGTATTGTGAGCCCACAGGGTGGGGAGTCAGAGGCGCTTGCTGGGCCAAGAACCGCATCTCGGAATTAAAGGGATGGAGATGCCTTTGAATTGTGCGCTGAATCACTCTGGATGGCTGGGAGGCAGCTCTCCAGCCCACTGGCCTTGAAGGCAGAACCTTGACCCCTGCTCTGCTCCCAGGGAGATGCCAGCCACTTACCCCACAGGCAGGCCAAATGATTGTACACACTGCAAAAGGAGATTTATATATATTTTTTTTTAATGAAAAAAAGACAATCGCCTCTCATTTCTCCAGGTCCCTTCTCTGAGCAAACGCTCCGTGCTAATGGCCCAGTGTGGACAGACCCTGTCCCCCTCCCTCCTGGGCCGGGCTGGGCACTGCAGGCAGATCAGACCACACACATTCATCCACAGCTGCATTTTCTCATTCAAGGATACATTCTGGACATCTGCCAGGTCAATATATATTAGACTCATCCATTCATTTTGTTAGGAAAAAAATTGGGGTGAGGTTGGTCATCATTGTGGATAGAGCTCCCGCATGAGGCCCCAACAGACCAGATCAAACCAAAATGAAGGCACTCGTGCTAAATGCCACATAATGAAACTGACACTTTAAAGAAGCAGATAGGTCCCAAGCAGACCAGTATTTCCTGAAAACAGGAGATTCCAGTCTACCTGAGTCAGGTAATAAGTACGTCTCCTCCGCTCTACCCCTTACACAAAAAGCCGTCGCCGTCTGCCTCTTGTTCTGATTCTTTGTTCCCACCTTACAAAACCTGCTGTTCTGCCATTGCCTGGTGGGAGTTCTCATTGTGTTTTGTAGAAACAGAATCGGAGCTCTGCCCCGATTCATGAAGAGTGAATAAAAGCCAATTAGACCTATAAGCAGATATGTTGTCATTTTGTCTCCTGACATTTCTGACAGCTGATAAACCTTAGTACAGGACTTCTCGGCCTCAGCACTGTAGACACTTGGGGTGGACCAAGTCTCTGTGGTGGGGCCGTCCTGTGCCCTGCGGAGCGTTCAACAGCATCTCCGGCCTCCGCCCACGATGTCCAGGAGCGCTCTCCAGTCTAGACAGCCCAAATGGTCTCCAGACATCGTCACACTCCCGTGGGGCCCTGCTCAATTGTGTGCACACACCCACGTGCATTCGGCGAATTTCTGCGCGTGCGTGCCCAGGTTACTTCCAGGACCTCGCAGCTCTAAGCGGTGAATCTCTGCAAGTGAGGGCCCAGGTTACTTCCAGGACCTTGCAGCTCTAAGCGGCGAGTCTTCTGCGGGTGCGTGCCAAGGTTTCCAGGACCTCGCAGCTCTAAGCGATGATGCTGGAAACATCTTGAAATATACCTGACATTCATGATTTTACTTTCATACAATTGATCCCTCCCAGTGAACCTGCTGCGGAAAGGCAGACTTACCTTGTCACGACGCCTAAGCTGCAGGACTTGTGCAAAGCTGCCCCCGTGATCTGGAAAGCCCAGCAGTGTGTTCACAGTCACGTGGTTTGATAGATTTTTGCAAAACAAATCAAACCAAACCTTGATGTTTTCAGGCAGCCAGTTAAGCCCATTGTCTTTGCTCTGCCTGCCCTGGCATGGCTGTGTGGTGGGCTGGCTGTGTGGGGCTCTTTACTGTGGGTTTGGTGGACCATCTTTATGAGGTTTGCAATCACTTCTGGGCAGAGCCAAGCCACTGTAAGCTGTCCCAGGTCCTGCCCACTATGCTGGCTGGCTGGGGATGGTGACATGAAGGAGCGGGCCTGAGGTCACATCACGCAATGAAGGCATTCCGCAGCTCGCTGTACCAGAAGTGTGCGTGTAAGGAGGGCAGGCTGTGCACACAGGGAGCTGGAAGCCACTCTGGGAAAGGGTCTGCAGTGGAGGGAGGGTGCAGTTCTTATCAGTGCATTAGCAAAAGGCAGTTGTCTTCTGCCACAGGCCAGGTGCACAATTAGAAACTCACCATACGCTTTTCCCCACCTTTTCAAAAAATGACAAATGGCGAAAATGGAATCCCTGTGATTGTAGGGCAGAAACCTGCAGCGACATGGCAAAATCCAGGACACCTGAATGCGGGGCACATGTCACACGCAGCCCCCCACGGTACCACATCCTGACGCACCTGAATGTGGGGTACACGTCACACGCAGCCCCCCACGGTACCACATCCTGACGCACCTGAATGTGGGGTACACGTCACACGCAGCCCCCCACGGTACCACATCCTGATGCATCTGAATGTGGGGTACACGTCACACGCAGCCCCCCCACGGTACCACATCCTGATGCACCTGAATGTGGGGTACACGTCACACACAGCCCCCCACAGTACCACATCCTGATGCACCTGAATGTGGGGTAGACGTCACACGTAGCCCCCCAACGGTACCACATCCTGACGCACCTGAATGTGGGGTACACGTCACATGCAGCCCCCCACGGTACCACATCCTGATGCATCTGAATGTGGGGTACACGTCACACGCAGCCCCCCACGGTACCACATCCTGACGCACCTGAATGTGGGGTACACATCACACGCAGCACCCCCACGGTACCACATCCTGACGCACCTGAATGTGGGGTACACGTCACACGCAGCCCCCCATGGTACCACATCCTGACGCACCTGAATGTGGGGTACACGTCACACACAGCCCCCCACGGTACCACATCCTGACGCACCTGAATGTGGGGTACACGTCACACGCAGCCCCCCCACGGTACCACATCCTGACGCACCTGAATGTGGGGTACACGTCACACGCAGCACCCCCACGGTACCACATCCTGACGCACCTGAATGTGGGGTACACGTCACACGCAGCCCCCCACGGTACCACATCCTGACGCACCTGAATGTGGGGTACACGTCACACGCAGCCCCCCCACGGTACCACATCCTGACGCACCTGAATGTGGGGTACACGTCACACGCAGCCCCCCCACGGTACCACATCCTGACGCACCTGAATGTGGGGTACACGTCACACGCAGCCCCCCACGGTACCACATCCTGATGCACCTGAATGTGGGGTACACGTCACACGCAGCCCCCCATGGTACCACATCCTGACGCATCTGAATGTGGGGTACACGTCACACACAGCCCCCCCACGGTACCACATCCTGATGCATCTGAATGTGGGGTACACGTCACACGCAGCCCCCCATGGTACCACATCCTGACGCATCTGAATGTGGGGTACACATCACACGCAGCCCCCCCACGGTACCACATCCTGACGCACCTGAATGTGGGGTACACGTCACACGCAGCCCCCCACGGTACCACATCCTGACGCACCTGAATGTGGGGTAGACGTCACATGCAGCCCCCCCATGGTACCACATCCTGACGCACCTGAATGTGGGGTACACGTCACACACAGCCCCCCACGGTACCACATCCTGATGCACCTGAATGTGGGGTACACGTCACACGCAGCCCCCCCACGGTACCACATCCTGACGCACCTGAATGTGGGGTACACGTCACACGCAGCCCCCCACGGTACCACATCCTGACGCACCTGAATGTGGGGTACACGTCACACACAGCCCCGCACGGTACCACATCCTGATGCACCTGAATGTGGGGTACACATCACACGCAGCCCCGCATGGTACCACATCCTGACGCACCTGAATGTGGGGTAGACGTCACACGCAGCCCCCCACGGTACCACATCCTGACGCATCTTGGCCTGAATAGGTCTGGGGCTTCCAGACACAAGAGAAACAAAGTTCATAGAGTGATGTGAGGTCGCTGATCAGGCCACATGAGGCATACCCCGTCGGAGAATCTGTGAGGCTTCTTGGAGAGTCACTCAGCCAAGCCCCGCACTTCTACCTCCAGGATATTCCCCAACCCGGTCGGCTCACGGTCCTCCTGCTGCCGCCCCACCCCATGCCCACCCTGGGAGCACCCGAGATCAATTTACCCAGCAGCCGCTGAGTGACACTTAGACACTCCTGCCCTTCCCCAAACCCCTGCAGAGCTTCCGATGGGGCTTCTGACGGCCTGGGACAAAACCCCGAACCTTAGCCTTGCCCGCCTCTAGGGCCTCCCTGGTCTTCCCTCAGTCCCTCAGCACCAGGGTCCTTTCCTGATCCCCGGCCTTTGTCCAGCGGTTCCCTCTGCCGGATACTCCTCTGCCTGCCCCTGCCTGATGCCCGCCTGCCCAATATCTCAGCTGAAGCATCAGAAACGTAGGGGTAATATCAGGTCTGCCGGCTCTGCTTGCTTTTTTATTTTTATTTTTATTTATTATTATTATGTTTTTTGAGACAAAGTCTCACTCTATCCCCCAAGCTGGAGTGCCGTGGCGCAATCTTAGCTCACTGCAACCTCCGCCTCCCACGTTCAAGCGATTCGCTTGCCTCAGCCTTCCGAGCAGCTGGGATTACAGGCATGCACCACCACACCTGATTAATTTTTGTATTTTTTAGTAGAGATGGTTTGGTCATGTTGGCCAGGCTGGTCTCGAACTCCTGACCTCAGGTGATCCACCCCTCTCAGCCTCCCAAAGTGCTGGGAATACAGGCATGAGCCACCGTGCCCAGCCTCTGCTTGCTTTCGGTCACTGGATTTTGTTTTGTTTTGTTTTGTTTTTTTTCTTCCCTTTTCCATGAAGCTGAAGGCCATGGTAGTTGAAGGTCATGCCACTGGGCACTGAAATTCACCCTTCATTGGCCAGTTTAGAGATAATGTTCATAGGGCACCATGGTAACGGTAGCTTCTGCTGTTTTTCAGAAACGTGGGCCAGCTCCTGTTCAGTTCAAGCCAGGAGAGACCACCAACCCTTCCACTGTGCAGAGACCATGGACAGCTACAAAAGTGCAGGGTTCACCAAGGACCCCTGCCTCCCCCCCAGGCTCTGGCCACCTGCTGCACCGCCTTGTGGTCCTGTGCGGTCTCATGGCCCTGTGCAGCCCTGTGGTCCTGTGCATGGTCCTTTGAAGCCTCATGGTCCTGTGTGGCCTCGTGGCCCTGCACCATCTCGTGGTCCTGTGCAACCTCATCATTCTGCATGGTCTCGTGGTCCTGTGTGGCCTCATGGTCCTGCGTGGCCTTGGGGCCCTGTACCACCTTGTGGTCCTGTGCAGCCTCGTGGTCCTGTGCGGCCCTGTGGTCCGTGCATAGTCCTATGTGGCCTCATGGTCCTGTGCAGCCTCATAGTCCTGTACTGCCTTGTGATCCTGTGCACGGTCCTGCATGGCCTTGTGGTCCTGTACCGCCTCATGGTCCTGTGTGACCTCCTGGTCCTGTGTGGCCTCGTGGTCCTGTGTGACCTCGTGGTCCAGTAGTGTCGGCTCACAGCTTGTCTCTAGCTCCCCGTGTTCACATTTGTCCACTGTCTGACCCCCAACTAGAGTGTCTGCTACGGGAGCAGGACTGGGTCTGGCTGGTCCCCCACTGTGTCCCCATGTTTGACCTGGCACCTGACTCACCACAGTGACCAGGGGGCAGGGTGGAATGAGTGGATGGATTGCAGCAGAGATGGCGGCCTGGGTGGACCTGGGGTGATGGGATGCAGGAGCAGCAGGCAACCTTGGTGCGGGCCTGGCAGGTGTAGTGAGGCATTGCTCTGGGGCCTTCTTGGCCTTGCCACCTCCTGGGCATCTTGACCTGGGCCTCTGGCCCCCATGGTGTGACGTCATCCCTGCATGAGAGAGGAGGGCCGTGGCCCCCGTGGTGTGGTGTGACGTCATCCCTGTGTGAGAGAGGAGTGCCATGGCCCCCGTGGTGTGGTGTGACGTCATCCCTGCATGAGAGAGGAGGGCCGTGACCCACGCACCACCGCCAGGCTTCTTAGGAGGCCGGACCCTCAGGCACCGCGAGGACACGGGAGCTGCGACCCATGGGCATTGTGGGAACTTGAGTGCCAGCTGCCTCTGCTGCCTGTATGCACGTCAGAGGGAGGGGTCTACTCTTCACCCTTGCCCCCTGAAAACCACCTTAGTGCGGCCAAGGAATACATCTGAATGCATGTCCCGGCTGCCACTGCAAAGGCCTGCAGGCTGGGTGGCTTAGACAACAGCATGACTCCCTCACAGTTCTGGAGGCCGCAAGACTGCGCTCAAGGTGTGGGCAGGGCTGGCTCCTTCTGTGGCTGTGGGAAGGACCTGTCCCGGGTCCCTCTCCTTGGCTTGTAGATGGCTGTCTTCTCCCTGTGTCTCTTCACATCGTCTTCCCTTGGTGCTTTTCTCTGTGTCCAAAAAGGGGACATTTGGATTAGGGTTCACCCCAATGACCTCATCTTAACCTCATTACCTCTGTAAAGACCCCATCTCCAAATAAGGTCACTAGGTGAAGTGCTGGGCATTAGGACTTCAGCATGTGAATTTTGGGGACACAAGTCAGCCAGAAAACAGCATCCACCCTGCCTTGCGAGGTGCAGAGTAACAGGCTCCCATGTCTGAAGGCCGAGTGCTTTCTCTCCCTTGCCTCATGTGATTTTCCTCATGTGATCACAGCCCCGAGATCCGCGTCCTAATCTTTGGACCCTGTGAATGCCACTTTAGATGGCAAAGGGGACTTTGCAGATGTTATTGCATTAAGGATTTTGAGACAGGAGGTAACCCTGGATTAGTTGGGTGGGCTCTGGATGCCATCATGGGTGTTCCTGTAGGAGACAGGCAGAGGGAGAGTGGATACACAGGAGGCCACCTGCCTCAGAGGCTGGGGTCAGGGCGCAAGCCAAGGACTGGCCACCCCCTGACCCTGGAGGAGGCAGAAAGGACTCTCCCTGGAGCCTCTGCGGCGAGCGTGGCCCTGCAGGCACCTTACTCAGCCTGCTGGTCTGGAGGGCATGGGGAAGAGGATAAAGAGCGTGGGTAACTATTAGTAACATTAGTGATAATATTGGCATTACTATTTTGACATTATGATATGTATGTTGTGGGACAACACAGTTTTAAAATTATGTTAACGTTGTTAGGAACCAAGATTTTCCACAAAGAATAAAAGAGATGCTGGCATAGAAGGACATACATGTCATCAACAATTTGAATTGGAAATACCGAGATGAACTCATGACTTAGGGGGGACAGGCAGCATCTCAGGGCGGGTGGAGGGAGGCGGGCGGCAGCACCCAGAGTCCTCTGCCCACAGCTCCTTCCCAGAAGCACCTCCTAGCCACTACTCCCTGAGCACCTGCTTTGTGCCAGCCCTGGCTTCTGGAGCCACTCTGGACTCACATGCAGGTGTCTATGGAGGGTGCTGCCCATCTCTCAGTGTCCCCAGGCTCCTGCTGGACCGATGTACTTCCTCCCATACTCCAGGACCTCACTGCAATGAGACCCAGCTGCCTTCTCCTCCAGCTGCCTCCTCCCCTCCCCATTCCTCTCCTGTGCCAGGTGGGTGCCTGCCTCTGCTCCAGAATCGGCTGCTCCTCTCCCAAGAATCATCCTCCCCACCTTCCTGTCCATCCATACCACATCCATCGTTCCAAGCCCAGAGAGATCCTTCCTCTGCCAGGCATTCCTCACTTCCCCTTCCCTTGTCATCCCCTCCTTGAGGGCGTGCCCCCAGTGGGTGGGGTGGGGGCTGACACAGCTATGGGAGGGGGGTCACAGTGAGGGAGCCAGCCTTGTCTCTCTCCCACATCCCCAGAGCCCCAGCATAGGGCTGTGCAGTGCGGGGGTCGCCAACCTTCCGTCTCATTCTAAATGGGACCTCTGGGTAATGACCATTTACTTCTCAGACACATCATTTTTTCCTGCCCTTGGGGGTGGGGGAAGCAAGTGCAGGTCACAGAAAATGACAAGGTTAGCAAGGAAGCAAGAGAAAACCGCCAGGCACGTTCCCGAGCCAGGGCTCTGCAGGATGGACGGCTTTGACTCTTCATCTTGTTACTGTTGTGAGGATAGTTTCCTGTGCCTTAGTGAAAGCCAGCACCTCTCTCTCTCTGGCCGCCTCCCATCCCATACCCCCAGGGCAGCTGGGGTGGGAACCCAGTGTTCACAGCCAAGGAAAGGAACACTGCTGCCTTCTGCACCGCAGGCTCTCTCTGCGCTCCTCTGGTCAGTAATGCCCATGCGGCCAAATGTTCCAGAAACGCCACATGCATGAGCTATGGCCACGCAGGCCAACCCAAGGGGCCATTTCTTAATCTTCAGAAGGAAAAGATGAGCTCCTGGCAGCCACACTGATGGGATGAGCACTTGTGCGGGCCTTTGAGAAGTAAAGGGAGAACACTGCAGTCATCACTCTCAGGTGTGTTCTCAGATGATGGATTCAGAGAAGGGGCTCACACAGGACAAGGAAAGGAGAAGTTCTCGGTGGCCATGGCTGGAGATCTCTGCTGCAGGGAACCAGCCTGCCCTCCAGAGGCCTGGCCTGGGGTGCATATGTACCTACATACATGTGCACTGCCACACACATACATGCAGAGATTTATACATGCACACATGCACACACCTACACATTGATGTGCCTGCATGCGCACACACACATGCATACACACATACACAACCACACACACATACACATGTGCACACCTACACATTTGTGCACGTGTGTGCACATTAGCACACACGTGCACATATGCATGCATACATGCACATAAAACATATACACATGCAAACACACACATGCATATATACATGCATACAAATGCACACACATATACACACATATGCACACACACATGCACATGCATATATATGCACACATAAACACACGTTCATGCATACACAAGCACACATATACACACATGCACATGAACACACACAGGCACACACATCTACACACATGCACACACATACATGCATACACATGCATGCATACAGATGCACACACATACACATACACACACATGCACACACATGCATGCATACAGATGCACACACATACACATGCACACACATGCACACACATACACATGCACACACACATACACACATACACATGCACACACATATACTTACATACACATGCACACACATGCATGCATACACATGCACACATATACATGCATACACATACACACATATACACATATATACAGGCACACATATGCACACACACATACATGCATATGCATGCACACACACATGCACATACACACACATGCCCTCATCCCACATGTCCCTCAAGGTGAGCTGACCATTTTCCTGCATCTGTTGATTCATTTATTGGGTGACTCTGAAAGGTTCATCCATCACCCACAACGTGCCTGGCCCTCTTTTTAAGCAAAGAGCAAAACAAATGCTCTGCTTTTCCATGCAGCGGGAGCCAGGCATGGTCTCAGCTACAGCCCCCAGTGTGAGCACAGCCCACTCGGGCCTGCAGGGCCTCCCCAGCACAGGGCTGGGCACAGGGCACAAAGCAGGGCGGCTCACTCAGCTCTGGTTCCATGAATGGACAAATGACCTGGGGTTCCCCAGCCAGAGGAAGAAGGGAGCAGTGGGTCAAAGATGGAGTCAAGTTTAAAGAACGTTTAAAGAAAGAAAAAGAATCTGCAGTCTTTGAGCCTGTGTACACCCTCAGCACCACCCCATGCACCCTCACTAGTGCAGATGCGCAGCTGACGTGGTGCTTGGGTCCTGGGTCCTCAGGCAGAGTGGCACGTGGGTCTCAGCACCTAGGAAGGTCTCAGCTGGAAGGGCGGGACAGTGGTGGAGCTGAGCAGGGACCAGGGCGGATCCGGGTGGCTTAGGGTCAGGGTACTAAGGCCTCTGCATGCCCCTCTGTCAACCCTCCACCCCATCCACACCTGCCTGCAGGTGTGGCAGCCTGGGCCTCTAGCCCACAGACTCTGCATCAGGGCTGTGCCGTTGGCCCAGGCCAGCCCTGCTGCCTGCTGGGTGGAGCAGCTGATGCCCAGGCTGTGCAGCCAGGAGGGAGATGCCCAGGCCCTCCCATCTTGTCGGCGCTGGCTCACATAGCGGGGTCAGCTATTGGAACACCAGCCTCAGTTGGGAAGGTGCTGCCACTGGAACTCAGCTCGCTGCAGAAAAAACTGGGTGGGAGTCCCAGGCTTAGGGGAGACTGAGGGTGTCAGCCTGTATGGAGAGCTTTCCTGGGAAGTGGAAGGAGGATGGAAAGAGCAGGGCCAGGCTAAGGAGGGGTCCGTAAGGAAGCAGCCTTGAGGGTCCAGTGAGGAGAAAGGAAGGGGCTGGAGTGGGGAAAGGAAGGGAGTGTCCAGGGAGGGGCCCTCAGCTCTGGGACCAGTTTCAAGGAGCACAGCAGGCAGCAGGCAGGGCAGAGTGCTCCAGAGGTGATGCTGCAGGAAGACCCCAGGATCCCCCCTTCCCAGTGAGGGGGTAAGGGGAGGGCGGGAGTTGGGAGGTAGACACATGGGAGACAGGTTGGCTGAGTCCAGGCAGGAAATGGCACGTGTTTGTGTCACAGGGATGTGGGTGGTGATATGGTTTGGCTCTGTGTCCCCACCCAAATCTCATCTCAAATTGTAATTCCCATGTGTCAAGGAAGGGACCCGTAATCTCCATGTGTGGAGGGAGGGAGGTGACTGGATCATGGGGGTGGTTTTCCCATGCTGGTCTCATGATAGTGAGGAAGTTCTCACGAGATCTGATGGTTTCAAAAATATGGCACTTCCTTACTTGCTAGCCCTTCTCCTTCCTGCTGCCTTGTGAAGAAGGTGCCTGCTTCCCTTTTGCCTTCTGCCATGATCATGTCTCCTGAGGCTTCCCCAGCCTTGTGGAACTGGGAGTCAATTAAACCTCTGTCCTTTATAAATTACCCACTCAGGTATTTCTTTATAGCAGCCTGAAAATGGACTAACACGGGGGGTAGGCACTGACATGGAGGATTTCTGGAGGGGGCCTGGGGACAGGGTGGGAAGGCGTGTGGCCGGAGCTCGGGCTGGGCTGGAGGAAGTGAGGGTGGGGTGAGACACCCCCTGCTCTGCCTCTTGCTGAGGAAAGCTCCAGGCAGGGGCAGGTGGGGATGGGGTTTCCTGCAAATCTGCCTCCTGCATCCAGGTGCCTCTTTGCTGAGGGGCTGAAATTCCCAGGTCTCTAAAGTCAGCCTCTTCATGGCCCTGTGGCTCTTCTCAGCCAGGCCCCCACCTACTGCACACCGGTGCCCCCAATTCTCCCTGCCTGTGTGTGGTGGGCGGGCTCTGTCTGCAGCCAGCTTTCTGCCTCTCATCTTCCTCTGCCTTGTATCCCCCACCCGCTTCCATAGAATAGCAGAGCAGGGTCTCAGGGGAGGTTCTGAGGAGGTCTCAGCAAAATGGCTTTCTGGGTATGGGTTTTTGGAGGATTTGCCTAGAGTTGCTGGGTGGCCCAGTGGCTGGCGGTCTCATTTCCTGATGAAGTGTGATGCCAAGCCTCCTCCTGGGGAGGCCAGGCAGGGGTGGAGAAGAGGGCAGACCAGGGTGTCCATGCAAAGGTCCTTTGCCCGGGCTGCCATCAGCCCAGCGATGCTGTGGGCGCTGCCATCCCCCACCCTCACCGTGATGTGTCACAGACAGTCAAACACTGAGTCCAGTCGGGGGGCTAGGAGGGAGGATGAAGCCAGAGGGGTCTCTAGCTGGGCTTCAGACCATCGGAGGTGGAACCTCTGGGCACAACCGAGGGAAGGGCTGTCCCCAAAAGCTCCTGGAAACACACGCCGCTGTCCCAGGAGTGCACAGCCGCAGCGTCTGGAGAGCTTCATAGCATCTGCGGGAACTCTCACAGTGACTACATTTTTCCTGGAGGGGGATACAATCTCAGATATGCCTCTTGGGGACTTGGGAGGTTCTCGGCCCTCACAGCCTTTCCAACAGTTGTTGCGTGCAGGCGCGGCTACCTGGTGGGCCCTGAGCTGTACAGACATCTGCCGCCATCCCCTGACCCCAAGGCAGGTGGAAATTCAGCCCCAGAACCCTCCTGTCTGCTCCTGGCTCCAGTTGTCCCACTGAGACCTCTCTGGGAGGGGAGGGTGACCAGGCTCCCTCAGGGACAGCCCCTCTGGGTCCCTCCTTGGCCTCCTGGAGCCTCATGAAATCCTCATCCCGGACTTCCTCACCCTGGGCAGTGGCGGCCTCCATGCCTTGCCTGGTGGCTACAGGCTGCAGGAAGCCGATGAGGGTGCCCCAGCTGTGTGGCCAGAGGCAGGCCCAGTCCCCATGGGCCTCAGTTGCCCCTGGGCTGACCCCTTCCCCCACAATTCTAGAGCCCCTGGGGCGGCCTCTGCAGCAGCTGAGGAACACACTGGGGCTGAGGGTGTACGTCTCCGAAGCTTCCGCAAGCCTTGACAAATGCCGCCAGGGTGAAATTGCTCTCATGGCTCTGGTCCGGCACAGGGATGAAGCCCATAAATCCAGAGTTCAGGGGCAGGAGGCTCTGAGGAGGGATGAGGACCGAGGGCTGCTCCCTGCTAATAGCTGGGTGGCTGCGTGGCACGTGCCACTCCAGGTGGCCGTGATGCCTGGGCTGAGGGGTGAGAGACCAAGGATGCATCGAGCAGGTGCTTCTAAAACAGATGGCACCAAACCCCACCGAGTATGTTCCTGCTTTCCTCAATTCATTACTCACTCAATTCGAGTGAGCCTCGAAACTGCACCACTCACAAGGACGCAAGCAGAGGCCACAGTGCACTGAGGCACTCGGGGCCACCGTGGTCAGCAGGGCCCCCTGCTCAGTGACCTCCTGGGACGGAGGCTGTTCCCACAGGGTCAGTCCCTGCTGACCCATTGCACAGGGGTGGCAAATAGGGCAAGGCCCGGCCATGACCGGCAAGGAAGGGGCCTGCACGGGGCGGCCGGCACGACCTTGCCCAGGGTCCGAGGCTGCAGCCCCAGAACTGGTCACAGAACGGCCAGAGGGGCACGTCCAGCATCTCACGGCCAGTCAGGGTGGCTTCTCGACTTTCGCCTGTCCCCTTGGTGACAACACCCAACACATAGTGGCCTCCATGAAGACGATCTCTCCTAGTGTGAATCCTGCAGCCCCCAGGCGAGAAGCTGCCAAACGATTTACAGCACGGGTCCCCAACCTTTTTGGCACCAGGGACCGGTTTCATGGAAGACAATTTTTCCACGGATGGTGGAGTGGGGAAGGTCTTAGGATAAAAGTGTTCCACCTCAGATCATCAGGCATTAGTTAGATTCCCATAAGGAGGGGGCGACTGAGATCCTCACCTGCGCAGTTCTCAACAGGGTTCGCGCTCCTCTGAGAATCTAATGCCGCTGCTGCTCTGACAGGAGGCGGAGCTCGGACGGTCATGCTCGCCTGCCCGCCGCTCACCTCCTGCTGTGCAGCCGGGTTCCTAACAGGCCATGGACCCACACTTGCCCTCAGCCCAGGGGTTGGGGACCCCTGGTTTCCAGGATCAAGTACTCAGCCAGCCCCACCTCATCTGGTCCTTGGAGCCCAGAGCACAGTCCCAGGGGCCCAAGCAGGGCTCTCCTAGTTACTTCTCCAGCTGTGGGGGCCTTGGGGTCAGGAGCAGCTTGGGGCCAAGGTGGCCCTTAAGACCCACAGGGGCACTGTGATGTAGGCACCCCGGGACGGGCTGTGACTCCACACGTGGTCCTGGCACCCCCCGTCAGGCCTGGTCTCTCACGTAAGCAGCTCCCAGCATGGCCTCTTGGGCGTGGTCTAGACCTCTGATGGGGTCCTGTGGATGCAGCGATTTTGGGGAATGAGTCCCTGACACAGTTGGGGTGCAGCAGAAGCTGACCCTGTGGGGATTGGCTGAGAGGCCCGCTGGTGACCTGCCTGGGCAGGAGGGTCAGGCCCAGAGGGCTCCTGGCCGTGGTGTGCACTCCCTCTGGAAGGGCAACCGGAGCTGGAGTCCAGCCTCCTCTATCGATCAGTGTTGTGACCTCTGGCAGCCTTCTCCGAGCCTGTCCCCTCCGACCCCAGGTAAGGACGTGGCCCCTGAAGTGCCGTGGGAGGATGCGATGGTGGTGCTCCCGGAGCCTTCGGTGAGCACCTTAGAAACATCAGCTGTTTCCAAGACACCCCTGGGCTCTATCTCTGGAACATCAGCTGTTTCTAAGACACCCCTGGGCTCTATCTGTGAAACATCAGCTGTTTCTAAGACACCTCTGGGCTCCAACTCTGGCCTCTGCTTCTCTGTGCCTCCTCTCCCCTCCTCCCTGAAACCCGCTGCCCTGCCCCAAGCTTTGTCTCTGCCACTGAGTAGGGCACAGCAATGACCAGCCCTGGGGTGGTGACTTTATGAGGCCTCCCCGCTCTGTGGCTGAAAGATGGCTGACCTCACCTAGCTTAGTCCAAGTTCCTGGAGAGACCCCAGTGCTTCCCCAGGATGTGCGTCCACCTGGCCGCAGTGCACTGTGGCCACATAATGGGGTCACGGGTCTGGGCCCACCACCCTGGCCTGTGAAGTGTGTGGCCTGTGCCCTCCTGGGGCCTGGGCACACTCACTCCTGTCTGTTCTAGGATTCACCACCTGTAGCCAGAGGATCTGGGCACGGTGACCTGGAAACAGGGAGCTCCAGCTGCCATCAAGAACACATCCAGGTTGGGCCCTGAAACCCCTGCTGTGGCTGAACTCAGAGGCTTCCTGGGGTCCTGAGTGAAGGAGGGCCCGCTCCCTTCTCCCACCTCTGCCCCAGCCATGAGACCAGTCCCCGCCAGCTGCTGGCTTGAGACATAGGAACAAAGGTGGTCCAGGGTCAGGAGCCCAGGGGTCAGGGAACAGGGGTCAGGGGACACAGGAGCAAAGGTGGGGGGGGGGGCGCCATGGAAACAGGGATCCCTTGGCTGGCAGGGACGGGTGGCTGTGCATCCCCGCTGTGTGAGGCAGCACGTGCAGGCCTGTGGCCCCGGCACGTTTACTAACAGTCCCTTTCACTTTCTCAAGTGTGGGGGGCAGGTGATCAGTTAAAGGCGTCCCTAGTGGGTGGGATGTGGAATTTAGGCCTATCAGCTAGGGGAGAGGCCAGGAAGCTTGACACAGCCAGCTGTCCCTTCACTCTCCTTCCTCAGTGCAGAGTTCCAGACTCCATCCTCCTGGGAAGCAAGCTCCAGTTTCTGAAAGGATCCGTCAGGCCCCTAGTGGGTAGGCATGGGGACTTTCTGCCTCTTGGACAAGCTCTGCCGGTGGGCGTGTCAGCCAGGGACCGAGTGTGTGTTTTCTCTCTCCTGCTCTCACAGAAATGCAGGGAGATTAGAGAGATCTTCTGGGGAGGCAGTGTTTTGTTTCCTTTAGCCTCAAGCGGCCAGCGGTTAAAGATGTGGTTACAAGGTTGTTTATTAAGTTGAGATTTATTTTACCACTTTATTAAGTCAACATGATTGAGTCCATTGAGAATTTGATTTTCAGGGCGGATGCAGAAGCTTATTTATACAACTAAGAT
Organism: Homo sapiens; assembly: GCF_000001405.40. NCBI lineage: Eukaryota > Metazoa > Chordata > Mammalia > Primates > Hominidae > Homo > Homo sapiens. The sequence continues at coordinate 240,170,799 of NC_000002.12, forward strand.
AATCATGAAAAAAATGAATCCATGGTTAATATATTTTAACTTAGTTTTGTTTAAAAGATTAAAGACGCCACTATGATCAAATTACTTTCTCATTGCTGGCTTGGGTTTTGGTGGTAGTTCCTTTAATCATGCCACATTATTTCAAATACTGGTGCCTCAATTAGATTATTAAAAGAAAACTATGCTGTTAATTGGATTGTGCAGGGAATAATAAGTCCTCTTTGACTTAGCAAAGGGTGGCTGCCGGGGGCCTCTGTCCTGTGCAGAGAACAGACTGGCTGCTTGATCCAAGGTTGAGTTTGTGGAGACCTCTGTGTGTTTTCCACGGGCCAGGCTGCCATGGAATAGATGTCTATTTCCGAGAACAAACTTTCATGATAGGATGATAAGGGCTGCTCCCCTAACACAGGCATTGACCATTTCAGTCTTTACCTACCAATCTCCTTGCATCTTAAATATATTTCTTCCATCTCTTCCTGTGATGTCCTCTTGTAGGAGAGTCTGTTCTGTAGAACACATCAGCGAACCAAGCCTTGGCTGAGGTTCCAGTGCTATGGGAGACTGCTGGGGACTGAGTCCCTGGCTCCACTGCACCCTGGGCTTATTTGAGTTGGGTTGTGCCCTTGACAGCCCCCATGGGAGGCAAGAGGGGTCAGCTTTCCATGCTGTAAACAAATGACCACAAATGTGGTACTTATAACACCACCACTTATTCTCTTCGTTTCTGTAAGTAGACATTCCAGGCATGGCTTAGCAAGGTCCTCTGCAGAGGGTCTCACAGGATGCAATCTGGGGTCACCTGGGCTGTGTTCTCATCTGCAGGCTCAACTCAGGAAGGACATGCTTCCAACTCCTGCAGGTTGTCAGCAGGATTCAATTCCTGTGCCTGTGGACTGCATGGCAGCTGCTCTTTTAAAGCCACAGGAGAATCTCTCACTCGACTCTGCAAAGACGCTGGAGTCTTACACAATTGCAGAGTGACGCCCAGCACCCATGTCACATTGTGTGACCTAGAAGCAAGCCACAGTCTCCACCACTCTCAAGAGGAGCAGATTATACAAGTTACCACTCACTGGGGGTCACTTTAGGCTGTGTGACATGCAGTGATTAAAATAAAGGGGCATTTTTAGCCAGGAAGGACAGGCAGAATTTAACGCCAGCCATGAAAAAGGTGGCTGGGAGGTGGAGGGAGAGGGGTCTGGAGGGCAGTGGTGAGCAGAGCTAAAAGCTCAAGGTAAAGGAATTTTGACTTGATGGTATAAACAGTGGGAGACAATCATTGTTTCTGAAGTTGCTTTTTTTATTTGAATATTGACATGTAGGTAGGTGGATAATGGGATTGGGCTGACCTCTTGACTTTCCTCAGCTTATAGAACCTCTAAAGGGTGGTCCCCACCCCTGCCCCATCTCCAGTCAGGCCCGTGCAGCGGCCTGACATCCACTGAACAGTTCTCACCAGCATCCTGGCCTGGCCACTTCCTTGGGTAGTCACGTTGTGGCAGTGCCTATGGCTTCAAATTCTCCGGGTGGTCCAAACCTTAGGGAGAATGAGCTGAGCAGGCTGTGGCAGCTGCGCGTCCTAGCCCTTCTGGCATAGAGCCTTCTCATTTGCCCAAGTGAGGCTTCTGTCATAGAATTTCAAGCATCCTTATTGTGGAAGTGTTTAGGTGAATGGGGCTTCCAGAAATTCCCATCACACCGCAGTCAGCTGCCTTGGACTCCTGGCTCCCCCTGGGCTGGCCTCACCTGCAAGGACAACGTCTGTTTGTCTGTTAAACAAAGCATCCTGTGGTACGAGGCCACGCTGTGAGGAGGGCTCTGGAATTTTCACACTTCTCTCCTGGGTGCCCTGTGGAAGAACAGGCGTTCTTTCTGATTCTGAGCTTGTCTTTGGCACACGTGTTTGTCCTGTCCTGGCTAGCATGGTGCAAACTAGTGTTTGCCAAGCGGGAGAGAATACCTGCCAAATGGGAAGTTCAGGGGAGACTGAGATGATTTGAACACTTAGTTTTCATGCATTCTTAAAATAACAGAGGTCTGAGAAACAACAACAAAGTAATCTTCTAGTTCTTAGTGTATTCAAATAAGCTGCTGTATTAGTCCGTTTTCATGCTTCTGATAAAGACATACCCAAGACTGGGTAATTTATAAGGAAAAAGAAGTTTAATGAACTCACAGTTCCACGTGGCTGGGGAGGCCTCACAATCATGGCAGGAGGTGAAAGGCATGTCTTACATGGCGGCAGGCAAAAGAGAATGGGAGACAAGTGAAAGAGGAAACCCCTTATAAAAACATCAGGTCTCTTGAGACTTATTCACTACCACAAGGACAGTGTGGAGGAAACTGCCTCCATGATTCAAGTATCTCCCACCAGCTCCCGCCCATCACACATGGGAATTATGGGAGCTATAATTCAAGATGAGATTTGGGTAGGGACACAGCCAAACCTTATCAGTTGCCTACTTGGAATATTCAGAAGGCCCAGAATAACTGCAAATGTTTCCTTCCCCAATTTGGTGTGTGGGGTTTTCCCCCAAGATGGAAATACTGTTACTATTCAGCGATTATAAACGTAATACATGTTTGAAGTTAAATGTTCAAACTTTACAGAGGTGTATATCATAAAAAAGAAAGTCCTCCACAATTTCCACTCTCATCTAGTTAATCACTATTACAATTATCAACATGTTCTTCTGTGCTTGTACAATTTATTTTATGTACCTGAAACCTGCTTTCTGTATTCGCTCTCTAACCTGTATAATTTACTTAGTACACCTTGGATATCTTCATATGTGTAGAGACAGCATTTTAGGGTTTGTTTTGGCCTCAACTAAACTCGGAGTTGAAATAAATTTAGGAAAGTGGATTTTTAACCTGATTGAGTAAATTCTTTCCTTTTGATTTTTTTTCCTCTTATTAATGTTCAGGTTTGGAGAGAGAGTACAGTTTTACTAAAAATGCATCACAAGTGAGCCAGAAAAATTTCTGATATATTAAACTTTTCTGATTAAATTTTAAAAACTAGTGGAAAGTAATATAATGATAAATGGGCCCCTTCCCACACTTCACTTGCCACCTCCATTTCTGACCTAACAGCGTTGGAAGAAAGGAAGGGGCAATGGGATAAAGGGTGGGCTCTGCTTCAGGCTCACACACGGGGAGGCACTGCTGGTGTTCTGCTTCCTGTCTGCTCAAGGCCCCGGGACAGACTGGGGCTGCTGCAGATGCAGACATCTTGAGCTGTCAGCAGGATGCCCTGTGCTTCACGAGGCCTCCCTAGGATGGGGCCATGGGAACCCATGCATGGAGTCCAGCAGACGTTGAAATAAAGACAACCTTGAGCCTCATTCATGCTGACAGGAAGGTCAATATAAATAAACCCATTTCATCCTTTCTTAACAGTTATATACTATCCCCCTGCGTCAAGGTACATCTTTAGGGATGGCCAAGAAGCGTTTAGTCGGTTATTCTGTTCACTCATTCAACACAGTATACCAGATGTCTAAAAGGTGATAAGCTCTGTTTCAGGCGTTAGGAATGCAGAGGGAACAAACAGGATGAAGGCGTTTCACCTTGTGGAGCTTTTATGAGTGTGTGTGTGTGTGCGCGTGTGTGTGTGTGCATGTGTGTGTGTGTGTGTAGGGGATGACAGCTAAAGAATGAATATAACACGTAGAACATTAGTGGGTGCCGTGGATGAAAATAAAGCAGAAAAGTGAATCAGGAGTGACTGTGTGCGTGTGTGTGTGTTTTGGGAAGGTGAATAGGGATTTTAAATAGGACGGTGGTCAGGAAAAGCCTGAGTGGTCATGTGTGAGGCAAGACCTAAGAAGGTGTTGGGGAGAGAATCCCTGAAGCAGATGTTGGGAAAAAAGCATTCCAGGCATAGGGAACAGCATGCACAAAGGCCCTGAGGGGAGGGCATGGTTAACACACAGCAAAGAGTCCTCTCTGATCCAGTGGACTGAGCAAGCGACAGAGTCGTAGGCATTAAGGTCAGGGGGTAAATGGAGGAGCGATCCATTAGGGTCTTAAAGTCAATTTTTGACATAGAATGAACTGCTCGTATTTAAAAATACCGTGATGATGTTTGACCCACGCACGACCCATAAAGTCAGCACCACAAACAAGATGACAGATGTGTCCGTCACCACCATAAGTTTCCTTGTGTTTAGTAACCCTTTCCTCCCACCCTTCCTGCCTGAAAGAGATTTTTAAAATTCAAATAAATATCAATTAATTCCAGCATCATTTTAAGCTTTTCTTTCAAAATTGAATAACTAAATTCTGATAAACTGATAAACCTGATAAACTGAATGATCTCTGCATCTTTGTCGTAAGTCAGTGGATCATATATATGTGGGTTTATTTTTTACACTATTCTGTTTCATCCATCTGTTTGTCTATCTTTATAGTAATATCACAGTCTTGACTACTGTAGCTTTATAATAAGTCTTGAAGCCAGGTAGTGTTGGTCCTCCGATTTCATTCTTCTTTTTCTATGTTGTTTTGGCCATCCTGGTCCCTTTACGCTTCCAAATGAATCAGCTTGTCAGCTTCTTCAAATGATCCCGATGGGACCTCTGATTAAGACTGCACTGACAATACAGATCTAAATGAGGAGGATCAGCATCTTGACAACACTGAGTCTTCTGGCTCATGAACATGGGGGTCTCACTCCATTTTTTAGTTTTTAAATGTCTCTCAGCAATGTTTTGTGGTTTCAGAGTACAGGTTTTATACATTGTCAGTTTTGTCTTTAAACATTTCATATTTTGATGCTATTGAAAAAGAAATTTTAAAATTTCAAGTTCCAATTATTTGTTTCCAGGATATAGAAATCCAGTTAATTTTGATATGTCGATTTTCTATCCTGCAACTTTGATGACTTAATTACTTGTTATAGTGACTTTTTTGTAGTCTCCATTGGATTTGCTACAGAGATGATCAGGTTGTCTAGAAAGAAAGACAGTTTAATTTCTTTTCCAATCTAGATCCCTTTAATTTCTCTTTCCTCATTTATTAGACAAGAACATCCAGTGTAATGTTGAATAGACAGGATGAGAGCAGATGTCCTTGCCTTATTTCTGATTTTAGAGAGAAAACATTGTTATTCCCCATCTAAGTGTGATGTTAGTTATGGGTTGTTCATAGATGTGCTTTATAGGTTGTGAGCATTGTATTTCATTGCTAACTTGCTCAGAGTTTTTTTTTTTAATCAGAGATGAATATTGGGTTTTGTCAAATGCATTTTCAGCATCTATTAAGGTAGTCATATGGTTTTTTTTCCCTTTTTAGTTTAATATTAATTTTCAAATGTTAAACCAAACTAGTATGCCTGGGGTAAACCATACTCGGTAATAATGAGTTATCCTTTTTATATATTATTGAGTCCAGCTGACTAAAATTTGGCTAAGAACTGTGATGTCTGTAATGACCTAGCAGTTTGTAGATAGCAGTTTGTAGTTTTCTTGTTTTGTTTTTGCTTTTGTTTTTGTTTTCTGAGACAGGGTCTTACTCTGTGGCCCAGGCTGGAGTGCAGCGGTGCCACCTCTGGTTCACTGCAGCCTCAACTTCCCAGGCCCAGGTGACCATTCCACCTCTGCCTTCCAAGTAGCTGGGACTACAGGTATGCACCACCATGCCAGGATAATTTTTTGTGTTTTTTGTAGAGACAAGGTTTTGCCACGTTGTCCAGGCTGGTCTTGGATTCCTGGGCCCAAGTGATCAGCTTGCCTTGGCCTCCCAAGGTGCTGGGATTACAGATGTGAGCCACTGTATCTGTCTTTGTCAGATTTTAGTCACAGGGTAATGTTGGTTTCATAGGATGAGTGGGGAAATGCTCTCTCCTTTTCAATATTCTGGGGAGTTGGTGTAGAAAGGCTTGAGTTCCTCTTTTCATATTTGTTTGAATTCTTCAGTGAAGACTTCTGGACCTGGAGTTATGTTGGTGGGGAGGCTTTTAACTATAAATTCAATTTCTTTAACAGATATATGGTTATAAAGGTATGTATTTCTGTTTGAGTGAGCTTTTGTAATTTCGGGAATTTGTTCATTTTATCTAAGGTGTCAGATTTATTAGCATAAAGCTTTTCATCAAATTCCCTTATTATCCTTTTGGTATCTGTAGAATCTGTCATGATGTCATCTCCTCATTCCTGATATTGGTAATTTGTGTCTTCTCTCTTTTTTCCTGATAAGTCTGGCCAGAGACTTATCATTTTTATTGATCTACTCTAAGAACTAGCTTTTGGGTTCATCGATTTTTCTCTACATTTTTCTGTTTTCTATTTCATTGATTTCCACTATAATCATGAGTCTTTTTCTTCTATTTACACTGGGTTAGTTCACTCTTCTTTTCTAGTTTTTTAAAGTGGAAGATTAGGTCATTGATCTGAAACCTTTCTTCTTTTCTAATACAGGCATTTAGTGCTATATCAATACTACATTAGCAGCACCTACACAATTTGACATGCTGTGTTTTCACTTTCACTTAGTTCAAACTTTTTTGTTGTTTTCCTTTGATTTCATCTTTGAAGCATGGGGTATTAAAAGCTGTGTTATTTAGTTTGCAAATACTTGCGAATTTCCAGATATCCTTCTGTTATTGAATTATATTTTAATTCCATTTTTGCTAAGGAACGTGCTCTGTATTCTTTGAATGCTTTCAAATTCATGCCATTTTCTTACAGTTCAGAATATGGCCTATATTGATTAAAATGTGCACTTGAAAAGAATATGTATTCTGCTGTTGTTGGGTGGAGGGGTCTCCAAATGTTAGCTGTCAGGTTTTTTGATAAGGGGATTCAAGTCTTCTATGTCCTTACTGGTTTTCTGTTTACTTGTGGTTTTTTACTTATGTTTATTTTTTATTTTTTTTTTAGGGAAGGGAACACTGAAATGCCTATTAGACATTTTCACTTATATCAGTGTTCTGAAAAATGCTGCAGGGACCATCCTCATACATTTGCCTGGCATCTATTTCACTCAGGTGCATTTCTATAAGCCCTTCCACGTTGTTACAGAGCTTATCTTCCAGAAAGCTTGTTTCACTTCATGTTTCTGCCAACAGTGTGTGAGCATGCTATCTCCCTGACCTCTCCCCACTTTAACATCCCACCAGGAAAGGTTATGTTTTCTGTCCGTATTATGTGCTTCCTGGAACAGTCTCTATTCTGGGCCCCTCTTTATTCTCCACCTTTCCAGTATCTCCAGATTGTGAGGTCTCTGAATAGGAATCCCTCTGCTTTAGAGTTGCCGAAATGCTGGGCTGAGTAACCTGGTCTGGGCACCTTCAGGGGAGATGAGGCATTCCCATTACAAAGCTTCTGCCGGGCCTTATGGATGCCCTTCCATGACCTCGATCCCATCCTGGCTCATTGATTCTCATCCTTACTCTGCCCTGCTTTCTTATCTCACATCCCCTTATGGGGGGAAGAGCAAATCAGACATGTGGAAGGTCTCCAGCTCTACTCTCCTCTTTAGAGAGCAGCTCCTTCAGCTTTCAATGCATCCTGTACTCACAATGCTTCCCTGGTGTCTGTCAGTGTCTGGGACCCTCTCTGCAGGCATCATGAAGAGGAGCCCCAGGAGCTCATGGTCTAGATGCTGAGGATGTGACAACCTGGCCTTGCAATTAAGAAGCCTGGAGGGGCAGATGAGGGCACAGATGAAGGCACCGGCTAACAGCCCCAAGAGAGGAGCCACTTGCAGCCATCAGCAGGGATTAGAAGATCCCTAATCTTCCCGGGGAAGATTCTATATGTTGGAATAAAACAAGTCTCTCCTTTTCTCACCAGCTGTAGGACGGAGATATATAACAGATGTGTTCACAGTGCCCAAGCCTCCATAAATGACTAGGCAGAGTCTTCTGGAAGGTCATGATTTCACATCTCTCTGTGTGAGTAGTGAGCTGTGAAATGGCCCAAGAGATCTTGTCTCTCTGCAACCACTGGGGAGCGCTTGACTTGTCCAGGTGTGAGCTTCCTAATCCCTGCTGATGGCCGCAAGTGGCTCTTCTCTTGGGGCTGTAGGCTGGTTCCTTGAAAGTGCTTTCAGCCACTGCAGTAGGGCTTGAGTGAGTGGCCAGGGAGATGTTCATTTTCACTGGAGAAGCCTCAAGGAGAGAGAGAAGCAACTCTGGGCAAAGAAACTATGTTCTGAGGGAAAACTGGGTATGAGAGCCTGTGTGGCCACATCCACCAAGGGGAGTGGAGTCAGGGCCATGGATGTTCCAGAATAAGATTAATCAACATATGGGGTCAGAGGGTCCCTCCAGGGAGGTCCACTATTTCAAACCAGCCAGCATCTTCAACCTTTCCACCATCAAAGCTTCGCAGAGGGGAATATTATGAATAGCAAGAAATGTGCAGGAAGACTGTTTCTTCTGTTCTATTTCTGCTCCTTTAAAATAGCTCTGTATGTCCAACAGCTTCCCTGGGTAATAAGACCCAACCTTAGAATAAAATGCACTGCATTCTTCAAATCACGAGGCCAACTCGGCAGGGCAGCCGTTGAGAGGAGGTGGGACCCCCTGGAAGTGTTTCCTCCTTTGTTAAGAGGCTGTCATGGTGATGGGGCCACAGGATGGAGCTCTAGGAGAAGGCTGGGTAAATACTGGGATGTTCCATCTCACAAGCTCTTGGCAAAGGTTTAGATCAGGTTTAGGCTTGGACCAGGCCATGAAACAACTCCCACGTCCAGGTGGGTCTCGAGGCCCAGGCATCTTCCCAAGGCTACTGGCCCCAGGGCCCTTGGCTGGGTGATGCAGGCCTAGACCCTGCATCAGCGCTCCATGGCAAGGAGGGGTCCTTCTGGCCAGGGGCCCTGGGCCAGCACAAGGGCAGGAGCGCACTGGAAACAGCCGCATACACCGGAAACAGAAACACAGGTGGACACAGGAGCCCCCACGCCACCTGACTTTCTCTGGCACCCCGTGCAGCCCAGGAGGAGCCAGTGCAGGATGAGAGAGGTCTCTCCCAGCCCCAAGCCCTGGGTGGGCTCCTGCTGCACTCCAGCCCAGGGGAAGATTTGTCTTGGCCCCACCTGTGCCAGCCCTAGGATGGAACTGCTGACACTGTTGGGAAGCCCAGACAGAGATTTATGAAAAAGCTGTTTCCACCAGTGAGGACCACATAAAAACAGGATCCATAAAATATTGAGTGAAAAAATAAGATTGCAGACAGATTTACATCGATTCTCTTTTCCACGCGCATGTTCTCATTTTTTAATTCCTGTCCAAGAAGCCGAACGTCTCCTCCTCCCTAAAGGCACCCCCTCCCGTCCAGGCCTGTGCTTCTCCTCCCTTCCCCACCTCTCCAACTCCCCAGAGCCTCCTGAGCCCACCACTGAGATGGGGTCTTAAGCCCCTGCCCTGTGGTATCCCAGGCCCTTGTGTAATCCCCACCCCTGGGGTGTGAGCTGGACCTAGTAACTTACTTCTAAAGAGCAGAATATGTCACTTCCTGGATTAGGTTACAAGAAGACAGGTTCTGTCTTGCTGGCCCTCCAAGTGTTTTCTTATCCTCTACTCTCCCTCTTTCTCCCTCACTCCCTCTGAGGGTAGCCAGTAGCCACATTGTGAGCAGCCTTATGGAGAGGTCCACATGGAAAGGAACAGGTGCCTCTGGCCACAGCCCACAAGAATCCAGATCCTGGCAGCAGCCACGGATGTGAACTCAGAAGCAGATGCCCCCATACCAGTCCTGTGATGACTGCAGCAGCAGCCGATGCCTGGATTACAGCCTTGACAGACACCAAGAGGCACCAAGCTAAGCTGTGCTCAGATTCCAGACCCACAGGAACTGTAAACTTACAGGTATGTGTTGGGTCTGGCACACTGGCTCATGCCTGTAATCCCAGCACTTTGGGTGGCCAAGGCAGATAGACTGCTTGAGCCCAGGAGTTTGAGACCAGCCTAGATAACATGGCAAAACCCCACCTCTACAAAAAATACAAAAAATAGCCAGGCGTGGTGGTGCTTGCTTGTGGTCCCAGCTACTCAGGAGGCTGAGGTGGGAGGATGGCTTGAGCCCTGGAGGCTGAGGTTGTAGTGAGCTGTGATCAGGCAACTGCACTGCAGCCTTGGCAACAGTGCAAGACCCTATCTCAAAAAACAAAGTTTGAAGCTGCTGCATTTTGGGGTAATTTGCTACACAGCCATAGATAACTAATACACAAAATGAAACTTCCCTAACTCTCCTGTGTTTTAAATCATTCCTTCACACTTCAGAGAAGTCTGTTTTGCTGCCTTGATTTCCCTCCATCCACCCTCCTTGATCACCTTCAACCTGGCCATGTCCTCCTGCTTCCCTCCTGAAACTCTCCTCTGGAAGGTCCCCAAGGACCATGCAGCCACGGCACACCTGCTCCTCTTCTTTCTGATACTAATGGAACATTAACATGCTCCCTCCAGCGGCTCTAGGGGAGAATCTTTCCTTGATTCTTCCAGCTTCTGGTGATTTCCAGCAGCAGTTTTCAGTGTTCCTTGGTTTGTGGCGGCATCACTCCAATCTCTGCCTCCGTCTTCACATGGCTCTCTTCCCTCTGTATGTCTGTGTCCAAATTTCCCTCTCTTTACAAGGACACTACTCTAATGGGCCACCCTAATTCAGGATGACCTCATGTTAACTAATTATATCTGCAATGACCCTGTGTTAGTCTGTTCTCACACTGCTATGAAGAAATACCTGAAACTCGGTAACTTGTAAAGGAAAGAGATTCACACTTCTATGAAGAAATACCTGAAACTCGGTAACTTGTAAAGGAAAGAGGTTCACACTTCTATGAAGAAATACCTGAAACTCGGTAACTTGTAAAGGAAAGAGGTTCAACTGACTCACAATTCTGCAGACTGTACACGAAGCATGGCTGAGGGAGGCCTCAGGAAACTTACAATCATGGCAGAAAGTGAAGGGGAAGCAGGCATGTCTTACATGGCTGGAGCAGGAGGAAGACACCAAAGGGGAAGGTGCCACATACTTAAACAACCAGATCTCATGAGAACTCACTCACTATCAAGAGAACAGCAAGGGAGAAATCCACCCCCCTGCTCCAATCACCACCCACCGGGCCCCTCCTCCAACACTGAGATTTGGGTGGGGACACAAAGCCAAACCATATCAGACCTTGTCTCCAAATGAGGTTACTGTCACAGGATCCAGGTAGACATAAATTTGAGGGACATTCAACCCAGTGTAGCATTCAGGGACCAATCACGGGGCCCTGTTCAGCCTGCCTTTATCTTCTGTCATTACCCTGCCTTCAGGTGTGCCCCCATGACCTGACCCCTGGGGAGATGGCCTGCTTGGCCCCAGCACATTGTACATTCTTGCTGTTCGAAAGTGCACTCTTCTTCCACATCCAGCCCCAATGCCAGCCTCTCCTAGCATCTCCTACGCCTCTGGAGGGCCCATGTGTTCTCCCTCAAGGGCCCCCAACCCTGCATCCTGAGAGCATCTGTCTCTGTTATGGTTTTTCTTCTTTGCTGTCTCCCCTGCTGTGCTCACTGAGAGTGGGCAGAAGTGTGGTGTGATAATGTGACTTGTGAGTAGACCCCGATGCCTACCCTGGAGGTACAGGCGGAATTCCTGCTGGAAGGGAAAGACATGCAGAGGAATGCCACGGTGGAGAGCAGCCTGGTCTGGGTCTGAGAACGCTGGCGCTCACATCCCTTCTCCTCTCCCTGTCATCGCTGTGACTGTGGGAAGGCCAACTCTTCTCCCTGACCCTCAGTTTCCATGCCAGTCATGTGGGAATAATCAGATTCCTGCCTGGCCATCTGACCTGGGCTGGGGTCTCTCCACAGGCTTAGGGGACTCAGTCTGTGAAGTGCCAGGTCACCTGGGAAGACCCCACACATCGACAGCTGGAGCTTCTCTGCCACAGCACTGCTGAGTGTCTGGGGGCTTCAGGGGCTCAGCCAGTGCCCCAAACTCTGCCATGAGCCTATCTCCCATCTAAACTGCAGGCCCAGATCTCACTGAGATGGGAGGGGGTTGCAACTCCTTCCAGAAAACAGGCTTCACGGAGGGAAGGGCCTGGCTGGGGCCGGATGGGGAATCTCCCAGGAGAAGGAAGGGCCAGGTCTAGGCAGGGTCTGAAGCCCAGTGGGATTCAAGTCACAGCCTCACCTGGGAGGCCCTGAGGGAGCAGGTGCTGTGCACTGTGGAGCTGAGATTTCTAGTTTTCTTCTCCAATCTGGGGCTGCCCTGGGAACACCGTATGCTTCTCACCATGCATGATTTCCAGTGGCTTCCCACATGGGCTGTGGTTAGCAGTTGGGTGGAAATAATCTGTGGCTGGCCTCCCTGCAGGACTCTGGGCTTCTACTGGGCAGCAATGCTAAGCAACCTGAGGACCCAGGAGGGAATCAGAGGGCAGCAGCGGCTCGGTGGCTGTGGGTACTGGTGCACTTCTCCCTCTCTGGCCGAGGACAAGGCCTGGACCTCCACGCCATCCTGGAAAGGAATCAAGCCTGGCCACGTGTCCCTACTGCCACCTCCCAGGGGAGCCCTGAGCTCTTTAATCACAGACACAGCAGCTCCTCCAGCTTCTGCAGGATGGGAGCCTGGGAGGTTCTCAGCAAACACTGGAAAACGTGACTTTCTTCTCCTCCCGACTCCTTCGAGAAACAATGTTCCCGAGGGCCACACCGAGGTCTTTGTTGGTGACTATAGAGTCAGTGCTCTGCTGCATACGGGCCAGATGGGCCAGATGAGCCACCATATGGTGCCTCCAGTGAGTACTTCTGCCCGCAGCCTCTCCCGGGGCTGCCCGTCCCACCTCTGCTGTCTAATCCTGCGCAGCCCACCTTCCCCACACACCCTCCTCCAGCTTCTCCTACCAGCCCAGCACCTGGGCTATACCATGCAGCCCTTGCCCACCTCTCTGCCCTGGGCAAACCAGGCACATCCTCTCTCTCGCTGCATCCTGGGCCACTCTAAGTCAAGCTCTGCCCGGGTGCAGCCAACAAGAGCCCCAAGCACGTGTCCTTGGCCTTCAGAGGTGACAGAGCAAAGACAATTCCCAAACCCGGAAGAAGCTGCCGGGAAGAAGAGGGCCAACCACGCAGCCAGGAAGGGCGGGGCAGGGGGGGAGCAGGGCTAGAATGGAGGAACCTTGGGTGGGTAGGAGAGTAGGGTGTGTGAGGGAAGGGAGAATGAAGAGGGAGGAAAGGGGAGCCGGGAGGGGAGACAGGGCTGCGGTGGCTGAGACACTGCACTGAGTGGTCCTGGTCAGGGAGCTGCTACTCTGTGGGCCCTGGCGGCTTTCACAGGTTTAACAAAGTCCCCCCAGGACTCAGCTTTGGCAAGTGCTCTGCAGAATAACCTGGCAGGTATTCTCCAGTGGGTGCCACCCTGATTAAAAAGAAAATTGAAAATCTCCACACCTGCCTTGCCTTTGTGAGGAATGGGAGCCCTGGAAATCCTTCCGCCCCAATTCCCCAAAGTCACATCTCAGACAGCCCCGTAGACAGCAGGCCCTGAAACAGTGCCGACCTGAAGATGGGAGGGCATGGGGGGCCTGCCTTGACTGAGTCAAGCTGAGGACCGAGGGGAAAGCCTTTGCCCATTCTGTCCGCTTCCCCAGATGAAGGACCCCTGTGGCGGCACCTCTGGAACGATGCCCATGCCGGGGTTTACTGTTTGGAGGAGCCACTTGTTTGAGAGTGTGACCAAGTGACAAAGGCCCCTGATGATGCCCTCCTGGTATCCATCCCCTACCTTCTTCCCTAGCGTGTCTGGACCTGGGACTTGCCTCTAGCAAGACAGTTTGGCCATGGCAATGGGATGTCACTTCCAAGATACATTTAACGACCCTGGCTTTTCTCTCATTTGCCCTTGTTAGTGCTGTTCCTTGCTCATTCTAATGGGGCTGCTGCCATGCTGTGAGCTGCCCCATGGAGAGACCCACAGGTGGGGAAATGGAAGAGGACTCCAGCCAACAGCCCACAAAGAACAAATTCCTGCTGAGAACCATGTGTGAACTTGGAAGCCATTACCTCCCAGTTGAGCTTTCTGATGAGAGCATAGCCCTGGCCAACAGCTCCACTGCGGCCTGAGGAGGGCCCTGGAGCCAGAGGCACCCACACAGCTGTGTCCAGATCCCCACCCGCAGAGGCAGCAAGGTAAGAGGTGCTTATCATTTTATGCTGCCACGTTTTGGAACACTTTATTATGTAGAAATAAATACATAGATTCTGAGACCTGAAAATGGGGAAGGGTGTCAGGGAACCCCCTTGAGTGAGGGAGACATGGTGTGGATGGATGTGAGAGGCTTCAAGCCCTGTATTTCCAGGTCTCTTAACATAGACTCCCTTAGGGGCACCTTGGCCCCAGTGCCCGGGGAGCAACTGCTCCATGGAGGGTGAGTTTCATTGTTATCCAGTCCTTTCCTAGAGGAAGGGCGAGTTGCACATTTACCCCGTCCATTCCTAAATGGAAGGGGGGTTACACTGTTACCCAGTCCTTCACTAGATAAAGGGTGAGTTGCAAGGTTACCCAGTCCTTTCTTAGGTGAAGGGTGAGTTGCAAGGTTACCCAGTCCGTTCCTAGATGAAGGGTGAATTGCACAGTTACCCAGTTCTTTCCTAGAGGAAGAGTGAGTTGCAAGGTTACCCAGTCCACTCCTAGGTGAAGGGTGGGTGAAGGTGCACATTTACCCAGTCCTTTCCTAAATGGAAGGTGGGTTGCACATTTACCCAGTCCTTTCCTAGATGAAGGGTGAGTTGCAAGGTTACCCAGTCCTTTCCTAGGTGAAGGGTGAGTTGCAAGGTTACCCAGTCCTTTCCTAGATGAAAGGTGAGTTGCAAGGTTACCTAGTTCTTTCCTAGAGGAAGGGTGAGTTGCATGGTTACCCAGTCCATTCTTAGATGAAGGGTGAGTTGCACGGTTACCCAGTCCTTTCCTAGATAAAGGGTGAATTGCACAGTTACCCAGTTCTTTCCTAGAGGAAGAGTGAGTTGCAAGGTTACCCAGTCCACTCCTAGGTGAAGGGTGGGTGAAGGTGCACATTTACCCAGTCCTTTCCTAAATGGAAGGTGGGTTGCACATTTACGCAGTCCTTTCCTAGATGAAGGGTGAGTTGCAAGGTTACCCAGTCCTTTCCTAGGTGAAGGGTGAGTTGCAAGGTTACCCAGTCCTTTCCTAGATGAAGGGTGAGTTGCACGGTTACCCAGTCCATTCTTAGATGAAGCCCAAATTGCCTTTCCAGAAATGACTGGCACTTGGCTTCTTCCTCCTACTACTCAGGGTGGCACCCCTGAAGAGACTGTGGGTTTTGGCTGTTCATGTGAGGCTGCAGAAGGAAAGTGAAAAGGTTGAGGGGTGCAGTGGGTTGGAGCTGTGAGAAGTAAGCAGGGCTTCATGGGAGTTGGTGGAGGAGAAGCGGGATGGAGATATGGCCGCACAGTGATGACCTGGCCCACGGGGTCCTGGGGCCCACTGCTCACCGGCTGCAGACTGGAAGGAAGTGGGGCCTGGTGGCCTGGGCATTTCTTCTCTCCATTCACAGCATGGAGGGGCTGGTGGAGAGTCCTTTACACTCCAGCCTCCTATCTTAGAAGCAGATACACCATGCAGTGTTGGCAGTAGGCAGGGCTTCTGCTCAGGCAGGTGAGGCAGTGGAAAGAGGTCTTAGTCTCAGTTGGCTTTGCAGTCTGTTCTCACTCAGCCTCATCCTGGAGTGACCTGGGATGCAAGTTAGATCAGGTCCCCAGCCCGCAACAGCCTCCCAGGGCAGCCCGCTGCCTACTGTGGGAGGAACAGCCTTGAGGGTGCAGAGGCCGGGAGCTCCCAGCACCCCAGGTCCTGATGCCCCCAGGAACCGTCAGGAGAAACAAGATCATATGTGAAAAGGTACAAAACAGCCTGGAGACATGGAAGACATCTTAGATAAACATAGAGGCATGGGATGTTCCAAGTTGAAATAGCAAAATGAATAAAAATATAAACTCTTTTCTGAATTAATTTATGGCATTTTAATAAAATTCGACTGTAATTCCAGTGAACCTTCAGATGGACTTCAAAGCAATGTTGTGAAGCGTAAGCAGGTGTGTTATGAAGCCACAATTCCTTCTTTGAAAAGGGTCGTGAGGAAGCACCAGCCCCAGTAGATGTTGGAGCATTTTCATAATGCAGTAATTAGACGTGTGTAGCATTTGTATGTGATTAACTGCGAGACCAGCAGGATATGGTAGACAGTCCAGGAGCCGACCGGAAGCCGACACTGAACGTCTGGTATGGAAGGCACCACAAATCAATGGGGCAGAGATTTAGTCAATAAATGTTACTGAGACGACTGGTTAATTGTTTGGAACAAAATTTGAAATTAGATTTCCTTCCCCTCACAGAGTTTTGCAGGGAAAAAAAAAGCAGAAGAAAAAATACAGTCAACCTAGCTACCAAAGGAAGGGTTCCAGGGTATGCCCAAGGTGGGGGAAGTGGGGTGGGAGGGAGGAAGGAGGGAAGGCCGGCAGACCTTCAAAAGGAGACACGTGCCTGCAATGACTGCAGGGTAGCAGACTGGCTGCTGGAAATAAAATGTATTTCTCATTTATTAGTCCCAAATGAGGCCTGGAGACAAATACTTACAGAAAACATGACACCGAGAAGAGGAACTTTTAAAAAACGTATCAAGGACTCAAATCAATGTGCGCAAAAAACAAAACTTGGAGAAAAAGCAACATTCCTGATATCTTTTGCACGTGAGGCAAGTGCCCTGTGACTCTTTTGTAAGGAATAATCCCTGCTTCAATGGGGGGAAGTCACTCCCCACTGTACTGTTGGATTCTGAATGTCCTTGGTTCATGCATGAACACATTGTCATTGTTCGAGTTCCTAGGCATGGGGCTCCTGGGTTGGGGATTTACATTTATTCGGCTTATAGATGTGGCTGAAAGGTTTTCCCAGTGGCCATGCCAGTGATGCCACACTGCCAGTCCCCGCTGTTCCACATTCATCTTGCCAGCTGGGGTTTGCTGCTGGACATTTCACGGGGCCACATCGATGGGTGGGTGGTGGTTCTGGGGCCATATCAGTGGATGGGTGGTCACCGCTGAGTTTCATTTTGTTTTGTTCTGGATATTAGAGAGGTTAAGCGCCTGATTTTTGGATCCCTAGTTCGTAATTTAAACTCTTCACCTAAGTTCACGCATGAGATTGGTCTCAGTCCTTGATATGGTTTGGCTGTGTCCTCACCCAAATCTCATCTTGAATTGTAGCTCCCACAGCTCCTGTGTGTCATGTGAGGGACCCAGTGGGAGGTGGTTGAATCACAGGGGTGGGTCTTTTCCATGCTGGTCTCGTGATAGTGAATGGGTCTCACAAGATCTGCTGGTTTTATAAAGGGGAGTTTCCCTGCACAAGTTCTCTCTTGCCTGCCACCATGTAAGACATGCCTTTCGCCTTCTGCCATGACTGTGAGGCATCCCTAGCCATGTGGAACTGTGAGCCCTTTAAACCTCTTTTTCTTTATAAATTACCCGGTCTCGGGTATGTCTTTATCAGCAGTGTGAAAACAGACTAACACAGTCTTCATCTAACTCCTTCCTTGGCTTGGGCCGGGCAATCCTCCACTTTGTGTGTGCTGGAGACAGACCTGCACTGTGAGAACGGGCAGCTCTGTCCACTCACGTCTGTCTCGCAGTGGAAGTGCCAGGAGCACGTGGTGTGGGTAAAGGATGCTCTGTCTGTTTGCCACACAAATTGATTCTGAAAATCGCCACTGCAACCTCCAAGTAGGGGCTTGTTCTTCTTCCTCCATTCCTGTCTGGTCAGAGCTGAAATTTCCTGCTGAATCAGTTTTAGAAGATCTGTTTGTTCACGAAATGTGCCAATGCCAAGAACTTCCAGTATAATTGTAATATGTATATTTTAATTACAACATAACATGATCATGGTGGGAAAATTAGAATAATACATAAGGAAAAACGAATAAAATGATAATACAACACCTGTAATCCCATCTGCCAGAGATAATCCCCAATGATTTTTCATGTGTATTACCCGGGCTTTTATTTATATTCTTTTTTTACAAATTGTTCATAGATACTCCATACGCTTCAATTACTTACTCCACATTTTGTTTTGAAATAGCCTTTCTTTCCTCTTAGGATAGACTGTGAACAACTTCCTAAGTCAATGAGTCCCCCTTCCCATCCAGAGTCCTTGGGTTTTTGGGCATCCTCGGATTTATTCATTGATTAGTCCATGGTTCATTTCATTCCTCATTTAGGTTGCTTTCAAGCTTTGGTTGTAGTGAGCAACGCTATGTCTATCTTTGACCATTGTCTGAGTGATTCTCTTTTATGATTTCTTAAAAGAGAAATGGCTGAGAAAAGCCATTTTTATTTTTTTCTCTTGTACTGTCAGGTGGTCTTCCAGAAAGCATGTGCCAACTTTTCCTCCTATGAGCAGCAGGTGACGCCCATTTCTGAGCACACCTTATACTCTGGCTGTACATGAGAGACAGAAACCTATGCCATTGTTGTCTTAAAACCTTTTTTTTCCACGTTCACTGGTCTTGATACTGTTTTTCCCATTTGCCCCATTTTTTCCCAGCTCTTTGGAGAGCTAATGTTTTCCAGCAGATTTGAAAAACTTCTCTTCCAAAATGGCTCTGGGAGGGGCCTCTCGTGCCTCACACCCCAACACAATGTTCTTTCTCTTCCTGGTTTAGTAAGTTTTTTTTCTTTATATATTTGTTTATTCAAAATAAATGTTGATTTTTTTGCAAATGTCTTTTGGCACCTATCACTCTTATGTTGTTTTTCTTTTTTTAACTACTGATGGGATAGTTTTTTCAACCCATTTCTCACTTAAATCTCAGCTCACAATCTTCTCAATAAAATCAAAGAGGAGTAGAATCTTTGTCATGCAAAACCTGTGAGAGCAGTCCAACTCCTCCATCTCAGGGTATGGTGGTCAGGCAGACTGCACAGCCTGCGATTTATTCACCAGTCAAGGCCAAGTCCAGGGTGGAGGCTCAGGGCTTGGGAATGTGGGCAGCTCGGGTGTGGTGGGACAGGTGGTAGGGATGGCTGGGGCCTGGGAGAGCTTCACTCAGAGCTAGCTCCCTCAACGCCCCATAAAAGTGCACAGTACAGATGGGCTTGTCTGCCGGGCCAGCATTCCCCAGTTCCCTGTACAGGGAGCCTGTCCCTGCAGAGGCCACCAGGGCCTGGTTGGGCCTGACCTGGGCCAGGGTTCACATTCCCACCATACCCTCTGGCCAGAAGAGGAGAGGACACAGGTGTGCTGGGTTGGGGGTGGAGGCAGGCTGGTTCTGAGTAAGACAGGGCAGCCCAGTGTGAAAGGAAAATAAATCTTGGGACTCCCCAAGTCACTAAGCCAAAGGGAAAGGTCAAGATGGGAACTGGTTAGGGCAAACCTGCCTCCCATTCTATTCCTAAAAGAGATACCTACTAAGATAAAAAAGCTACACACCTCCCTCACAATTTGTCCACAAGGAAGTTCCTTGCAGACAAAGGACAGACAGAACTCAAAAGTCACCCTTCTGCTCACTGAGACGAATGCGTATCTGATTGCTCCCTTTAGAAAGGCTGATCAGAAATTCAAAAGAATGCAACCGTTTGTCTCTTTATCTTCCTATGACCTGGAAGCCTCCTCCCTGTTTCGAGTTGTCCCCGCCTTTCCAGACCAAACCAATGTTCATCTTACATACATTGATTGAGGTCTCACATCTCCCTAAAATGTATCAAACCAAGCTGTGCCCCATCACCTTGGGTGCATGTCGTCAGGACCTCCTGAGGCTGTGTCACAGGCGCGTCCCTAACCTTGGCAAAATAGACTTCCTAAATTGATTGAGACCTTTTTGTTTATAGCAGGGAGGTGGTGGAAGGCAGGCAGGGAGCCACCCTTCCTGTGGGTCTCCTGCTTTCCTCGGAGGCTGGAATGGGCAAGCATTTCAGCATCTTGGGGGAGGCAAGAATGCATCCAGGCTGAGGCCCTGACTTCTGCCCGGAAACTGCCACCCGCCCTCCTGGACGTGGCTCCACCTCACTCCAGTGACAATTACACATCTTTAAAACACTATTTTTTGGAAATTCTTTCCGATATAGGGAAAACAGTAAGATCTCAGAAAATTTTCTGATAAACCTTGACCCGATATATTGGATGAGCCTTTGAAATGAAAACAAACTGTTCCTTGAGAACATTTTACCCGTGGATATGATGTGGAGTCCACGGCCCCCATTCCCCACCCTTCCCATTCCCTCCCATCCCCCAAAGTCGGCGGCGGGGGTCTTGGGGCATCTGGGTGGCTCTGGGACCAGCCCACCCAACATAGGAGGGGTCACCCAGGGGTTCTAGGTTTGTCGCATCCCTGGCGGCTCACCCAGGACCCACGGTCATTCAAGCACACCATTCCTCATCCCCTCATTCAGCCGACACTTGCTGAGCACCGCCTTGGCGCTGGAGCAGTGGTTCCGGTCCATGCTGGTTGCTAGCGGCCTGCAGAGCAGCAGGGACAAGACAGCAGCTTCAGGGAAGACAGACATCAGCGTGTCAAGCGTGGGTGCCGTGGGGAAGGCAGGAAAGGCTCCCTGAGGGGTGGTGTCCAAGCTGAGAGCTGGAGTGGAATTCGGCAAAGAGAGGAGAGAGAAGAGGATGCGGGAGAGAGGCCCAGAGGAGGAAATAGACCTGCAAGGACCTCCCCTCCCCGAAGTCTGAAGCCATAGCTGATAGGCCTGCTCCACACCAAGCCCTTTCTCCTTTCCAGAGGTACCTGCGCACAGCCACCTCTGATATTTGTCATTCTCACCTCAGTTTATTCCAGCTCTGGTCATCCCTGTATGTATCACTCATGACAGCAGCCTCATCGAAGCTCCTGTCTCCTCTTTTCCCACCTGTGAACAGAAAACACTTTCTCCCCTTTCTCCCCTTCCCCTTCTTCCTTCTTTCTCCGTCTCTGTCATGCACAGCAGGCATCAGAATAGGGCTGTGGGCAGCCCTTTGCCCAGGTCAATGTGAAGGCAAAGTTCCCAAGTGCCGGCCACTCTGCACCTGTTGTCCTTTGAGGAGAGACCCCGAAGCCCCTACATGTCTACACGTGTCTCTCCACCAGCTGCCAATGTCTTCTGCTTTCTCCTAGAAACAAGTTTGGAGAAGGATGTTATTTTATTTCCTTGCAAATTCTAGTTTTGTTTTACACCTGTTTTACTGGAAATAGACTATTTTTTAAATGGACAATGGTGAGGATCCAGTAGCTGATACAGTTTGGCTCTGCGTGCACCCACATCTTGTGTTCAGTTGTAATCCTCAGTGTTGGAGATGCGGCGTGGTGGGAAGTGATTGGATTAGAGGGGTGGTTTCTAATGGTTGAACACCATACACTTGGGTGCTGTTCTCATGACAGTGAATGAGTTCTCATGAGATCTGGTCATTTCAATGTGTGTGGCATCCACCCCCCCACCACCTCCCGCTCTGGCCATGTAAGGCGTGCCTGCTTTCTCTTTGCCCTCTACCACGACTGAAAGTTTCCTGAGGCCTCCCCAGAAGCTGTCATGCTTCCTTACAGCCTGCAGAACTCTGATCCAGTTAAACCTCTTTTCTTTATAAGTTACCCAGTCGGAGGTATTTATTTATAGCAGTGCAAGAACTGACGAATACAGTCATGATCCTGTTCCTCAAAGCCAAGACATTGGAGTGGCCAACACTCAAGACTGCGAATGACCTTCAGGCACCGCCTGTGCATCCTTTATGGACCACACGGGTGTGTGCGCTTTGCACCGTGTGGCGACCTAGCATCAGATTGGCGCAGTCGTCTGAATATTTGTTCTCATATGACACAGCCGACTACAGAAGGATCTGCATGGATTTCTTTAATGGAAACTATTTGTAAAAGATAAGCTGTAAACAAAGGAAATGGTTTGGAATAAAATTGATCTTTGTTTATTGTTGTTGACACTGAGAAGTTTATATTACATAATTGTATACAACCATTATAAATAAACACCCACGAGCCTACCTCCCAGGTCAAGTCCTCGAACATGGCTAGAATCTCAGAACCCGCCAGTCCATCTCCCCAGATGCCCTCGCTCTCCACTGCCTGCCTCTCTCAATTCACAGCGGCACCCTGTGCCTGGTGGCAGCTGTCCTTTAACTTTTGGAACAACCACATCATTGTTTTTCTAAAGTTTTTCCACTTCCATTTGCATCCTGAAACAATGTGGCAGAAATTTTATATGAAAAGCTTCATTTCCTCATGCCTATAATCCCAGCACTTTGGGAGGCCAAGGTGGGTGGATCACTAGGTCAGGAGTTTGAGAACAGCCTGACCAACATGGTGAAACCCCGTCTCTACTAAATATACAAAAATTAGCTGGGCGTAGTGGTGCACGCTTGTAATCCCAGCTACTCGGGAGGCTGAGGCATGAGAATTGTTTGAACCCGGGAGGCGGAGGTTGCAATAAGCCAAGATTTCGCCACAGCACTCCAGCCTGGGTGACAGAGCAAGACTCTGTCTCAAGAAAAAAAAAAAAAAGCTTCATTCCTTATTTAATCTTTTGTGTCTTTCTTCTTACTCTCATAGATACGTTTGGGAGACGTATCTATGTGGAAGCATGTGATTATAGCTGTTTGTTTTTACTGCAGTATAATATTCAATTGAATATGCGCCCACTTTACCAGAACTAGATATTCACTCTGTTTGAGATTCCCATTTTTGATAATTGCACACAGTACAGCCGCGAGCATTCCTGTAAATGTACCCCGGGCTCAGGGCATGTGTCTCTGTAGGTGGATGGTCAGAAGTGCCATTGCGGGGCCATAGAGCCCGTGTAACCTCAATTTTTCTAGATAAAGCCAAAGCGATGTGCCCTCACCTGTGGTGTCTGAAACTTCCTTTCTCCAGCCTTGCAGCAGCTCATGTGTTGGCCTTTCAAATTCTAGCCATTCAGTAGATTGGTTGGAGGTGAATTTTTATTTTGTTTTCATTTGAAACATTTTCCATTGAGGTAAAATGCACCTAAAATAAAATTTACCATTTTAACCTTTTTTTTTGAGGAGTCTCGCTCTGTCACCAGGCTGGAGTGCAGTGGGGCGATCTTGGCTCTCTGCAACCTGACTCCCTGGTTCAAGTGATTCTCTCCCGAGTAGCTGGGATTAGAGTTGCGCGCCACCACACCTGGCTAATTTTTTATTTTTAGTAGAGATGGGGTTTCACCCTGTTAGCCAGGAAGGTCTTGATCTCCTGACCTCGTGATCCGCCTGCCTCAGCCTCCCAAAGTGCTGGGATTACAGGCATGAGCCACCGCGCCCAGCCTCATTTTAACCTTTTTAAGTGTACACTTTGGTGGCACTAAGTACATTCACAGTGCTGTGCAGCCATCACCCTCCATCTCCAGAACTCTTCATCTTAAAAAGCTGAAACTCTGCAGCCACTAAACACAGCCCCTGGCACTCACCATTCCACTTTCTTTCTCCATGAATGTAACTACTCCAGGAATATCATCAACAAAATCATGAAGCGGTAAATGTCCTTTTATAAATGGCTTATTTCATTTAGCATAATTCTTCAAGGTTCATCCATGTTGTATGATGTATCAGAATTTCCATCCTTTTGTAGGCTGAGGAATAGCCCATTTGCTATGGCTTGGATGTGGCTTGTTTCCACCAAAAGTCATGTTGAAATTTAATCCGCTGTGGGGCAGTGTTGGGAGTTGGAGCGTAGTGTTGAAATTGCATCCATTGTGGGGCAGTGTTGGGAGGTGGAGCGTAGTGTTGAAATTGCATCCATTGTGGGGCAGTGTTGGGAGGTGGAGCGTAGTGTTGAAATTGCATCCATTGTGGGGCAGTGTTGGAAGGTGGAGCGTAGTGGGGGGTGTTTGGGTCATGGGGTCAGATCTCGCATAAACAGATTAACGCTCTCTCTCCGGAGTGTGTGAGTGCTTGCCCTTCCAAAACTGGATTAGTTACCAGAGAGCGGGCTGTGGTCAAAGCGAGTCTGGCTTCCTCAGCTCTCTCTTGCTTCCTCTCTCACCAGGTGATCTCTTTGCTCATCCCCCCTTCCACTTTCCATCATGAGAGGAAGCAGCATGAGCCCCCTACCAGATACATCTGCCTAATTTTAGGCTTTGGAGCCACCAGAATCGTGAGCCAAATAAACCTCTGTTCTTTGTAAATTACCCAGCCTCGGGTATTCTGTGATGGCAACACAAAACGGACTGAGACAGCATGGTATGTGTGCTCCACACCTATCCACTCATTCCTCAGTGGGCAAGCGGGTTACTTACGTCTTTTAGGTGCTGTGAGTAGCGCTGCTGTGAACATGGGTGTACCAATATCTGTTTGAGCTCCTGTTTCATATTTTTGAGTATATGTCCAGAAGCGGGATTGATGGTGGTATGGTAGTTCTCTGATTAATTGTTTGAGGACCTTTTTTTACAGTTGCTGCACCATTTTACATTCTCACCCGCAGTGCACTGGGTTCCAATGTCTCCACATTCTTGCCAATGCTTATTACCTTCTGGGCTTGTTTGCTTTTGAGGGTTTGCTGTTGTTGTTTTTAACAGTAATCATCCTAACTGGTGTCCTGGGACTGGTGTCCCCGTAAGCAGAGCCTGAGACGAGGGTTCTTATTCAACTGACTCTCAGGAGACAGCAGGTGAATCAAGCAATAAGGGGCAGAAGCTGACCTCAGCTGGAGTTCACCTCAAGCCCGACTCCATGGGAGCTCTGGAGTGTGAATGCACCCGGGACTCGGCCCTGCTGTGAGGCAGGGGCTGCCCTGTAGTATCCTCATGCCAGCTAGTCCTTGTCCTTGGTCTGCCCTGGGTGCGGGACACAGCCCCTTGATGAAGTGGCTTCTGCTGGGCCAAGGGCAATTATTTCCAGGAGTGTCAGCTGTGAGTTGTTGGCCAGTACAAGCTGCTGCCAGGGGTGGAAATGGCAGCCAGTTAAGTGAATCTGAGCTGAGCATGGCAGTAGCTACTGCAGGGTGCAATTCTGTGATTGCCATCGAGGAGGCACATGCCCCATGATCCGTCTGCAACTGGACTTGTTCTCCGTGAAGTGTCTGTTCAAGCGTTTCCCCATTTTTCCATTGGGTTGTCTGGCTTTACGTTTATTATTTGTCTTTGAATATCTTTTGTCATTATGTGCATTGCAAATATCTTCTCCCATACTTTGGCGTACTGTTGACTTTTTAACCCGTAGAAGGAGTCGGTCTTATTAAAGACACCCTCCTCTTTCTTTGTGAAAGCCACTGATGAGATTTGGAGAGACTTCTCCCAACTCAATCTCTAAACAAACAGTCTTTCCACCAGCATGTCCACTTGAAAATTATGAAATCTGATTAAAATAAGAGAGAATACACTTCTCACAATACCTTCCACTGGAAAATCATAGTTAAAGTAATTCAGTGTGGTGCAGATTTAATTAAGATTGGATTGCGAATACTGGAAATGGTATTAGCATTCAGCATTTAGCCCCTGGAAACTCGGTGAATGTGACAGTTAAGATTTAGAGGATTTGAAATGAATTTTTTTGCAAGCTGGGCTTCCATGTGCCTATTAATTTGATAAATTTCGGAAGTTATTCACATCCCCTCTGATTTTCTTTGTTAAAATTGTCTCTGATGGAAGAGAAAAGCTCCCTCTTCCCGTGCTGCTTCTTCAGGCATAAGCAGAGAGCACAGGGCCTGAGCCCTGCCCCTAGCCAGGCCATTCCTCCTGCCTGCGCTCTTCTGCATGACCAGAAGTGGGTTGAATAGCAGCATTTACCCAGAACCCCACGGTGCAACTGTATTTGGAATAGGGTCTTTGTAGATGTAATTAGTGAAGAATCTTGAGACGAAATCATCTTAGATTTAGGGTGGTCCCTAGATCCAATGGCGAGTGTCCTTATAAGATGGGGAGAGACACAGACACACAGAGGAGAGGCCATGTGAAGACGGAAGCAGAGTTTAGAGCAACACGGCCACAAGCCAAGGAAGCCAGGGGCCACCAGAACCTGGAAGAGGCAGGAAAGCTCCTCCTTTAGAGCCTCTGGAGGGAGCACAGCCCTGCTGGCACCTTGATTTCGGCCTTGTGGCCTCCAGAACGGTGCGAGGATAATGCCTGAATCTGTTCTGGAGCTTTCCACACCCTACTGTGAACCCCTGCAGCCCACCTGCCTGTCTCTGTCTCCAGGCTGAAGTGCAGGGGTCAGGGGCTGGCTGTGGCTCTGCTCCAGGGCGGGGCATCTGGCTCACACTGGGCAGTTCAGGTGCACAGAATACCTTGCAACAGTGATCAGCCACTGCTAGGGGTGAGAATCCCACAAGGGAGATCCCACAAGGATCCCACAAGGGAGAGCCCACAAGGTTGGAGGAGCCTGTGCGGAAGCCCCCTCCACTCATGCTGGCTTTGAGTTTGCTGACGTCTTCAGCTGTCTGGTCCTCTGCTGGACCAGCTGGGACTGAGGATGGGGCTTCAGGGAGGATGAAATATGAACCAGCTGGCAGCTCTAGGACCTCCCCTGCCCCGGCCTGCCTCTGTTCCCAGCTGGGGCAGTGACTTGCCAGACGCCAAGAGTGCCCGAGACCAGACTCCTGCTGCCCACAGGCCCACACCCCATCCTGTCCTTGTGCTGGGTGTGTCCTTGGGTCTTGCTTCTCCTCTGTCCCTCCCTGCCAGCTGCTTGGGAACTGGCCTGTCTTCTGAGTTTGCCTGGACCCTTACTCCAGGCCTCTCTCTGTTCCATGCCCTGCAGCCCCAGGTCAAGCTAGGTCCACCAGAGTAGTGGCAATGCCTGATAGTGGAGGTGGATACACAGCAGCTCCTGGCCAGGCTCACAGTCTTCACAGGCTTCATGGTGCTGCGACAAGGAAAGGGGCTGAGCGAGTCATGCCCTGTCTGTGCTCATCACCATCCATCACTGTCCATCACCGCCCATCACTACTCATCACTGTCCATCACTGTCCATCACCACCCATCACTACTCATCACTGTCCATCACCGACCATTACTGTCCATCACCATCCATCACTGCCCATCACTACTCATCACTGTCCATCACTGTCCATCACCGCCCATCACTACTCATCACTGTCCATCACCGACCATTACTGTCCATCACCGTCCATCACAGTCCATCACTGTCCATCACCGTCCATCGCTGTCCATCACCATTCATCACTGTCCATCACTTCCCATCACTACTCATCACTGTCCATCACTGTCCATCACCGTCCATCACCGTCCATCACCGTCCATCACCGCCCAACACCGCCCATCAACATCCATCACCGCCCATCAACGTCCATCACTGTCCATCACAGTCCATCACCGCCCATCACTACTCATCACTGTCCAGCACTGCCCATCACTGTCCATCACTACCCATCACCATCCATCACTGCCCACCACTGTCCATCACTGCCCATCACTGCCCATCACCGTCCATCACTGCCCACCACTGTCCATCACCCCCCATCACTGCCCATCACTGCCCATCACTGTCCATCACTGTCCATCACCATCCATCACTGCCCATCACTGCCCATCACCACCCATCACCATCCATCACTGCCCACCACTGTCCATCACTGCCCATCACTGTCCATCACTGCCCATCACTATGCATCACTGCCCATGACCGTCCATCACTGCCCATCACCATCCATCACCAT
Source organism: Homo sapiens (assembly GCF_000001405.40). Taxonomy (NCBI): domain Eukaryota; kingdom Metazoa; phylum Chordata; class Mammalia; order Primates; family Hominidae; genus Homo; species Homo sapiens. The sequence goes on from NC_000002.12 coordinate 240,198,429, forward strand.
CCATCACCGCCCATCAACGTCCATCACTGTCCATCACAGTCCATCAACACCCATCACTACTCATCACTGCCCATCACTGTCCATCACTGCCCACCACTGTCCATCAACCCCCATCACTGCCCATCCCGTCCATCACTGTCCATCACCGTCCATCACCGCCCATCACTGCCCATCACCATCCATCACTGCCCACCACTGTCCATCACTGCCCATCACTGTCCATCACTGCCCATGACCGTCCATCACTGCCCATCACCGTCCATCACTGCCCACCACTGTCCATCACTGCCCATCACTGTCCATCACTGCCCACCACTGTCCATCACTGCCCATCACTGTCCATCACCCCCATCACCATCCATCACTGTCCATCACTTCCCACCACTGTCCATCACTTCCCACCACTGTCCATCACTGCCGTCACTGCCCATCACTGCTCATCATTGTCACTGAATTCCTTCCCCAGGGTATGCACCCGTTCCTGATCATAGCCTTTGGCCATCCAGGGAATGGGACCATGAGACATGACTGGCCCCGGAGAAGTCCCTGGTTACTTCTAAGTCAGCCAGACTGGAGCTAACATGAATGCAGTGGTTCTTAACATTTTGTGCTGCCTGGAGATGTTTTTGGTTGCCACACCTTGGAGGAGGGTGTTCTGGAATCTGGCAAGTAGAGGGCAGGGTGTGCAGGGCAGCCCCCACAACAAAGAATGGTCCAAGCCAGGACATTGCTGGTGCAGTCGGGGAAGCCCTGCTTCCCCCCTCCCCCACCGTCCTGCCTGGCCAATGCCCATCTTTTGCCCCTGCCATCACCCATTCATCACGGTCACAGGGCTCTGCAAACTGCTACAAACTCGTGGCATTTCCAGCGGCTTCCCATTCCTCACCCTAGGCTTTGAACTAACTGGGAAGGAGCTGTGGCTGGCACAGCAGGGCTGAGGCTATGGCTTGGATCTGAGGGCTTCCACCACACCCCCAAGCCTTGGCTGGAACCCCTGTGGGAGAGTTGGGTCACTTTGTTTCAAGGAACATTTGAATGCTTCAGGTTCCGGAACAAGGGAAGGGAGTGGATCCAGCCTGGCTGGCAGCTCTGAGAGCTGTGGCTACACGGGGCACCCAGGCCCACCCACCCTCTGCACCCCTCACATGAGGCATCCCCGGGCAGCCCCTCACCTGGCTCCAGGGGCCAGCTCGTGTGAACCAAGGCCCAGGCCTCCATGGCCTTCTGCCCGCCGTGGCCAGTCCTCATCTCCTGCAGGGTGATCGATGGCAGGAAATCCACTCCTCACCTTGCCCGGCTGCCTTCCCGCCCCCCAGCAGACCCGGGCAGGAGAACAAGAGCACCTCAGCAGCACACTTCGGGGTCCAGCAGTCCACTTCTCAGGGACCCCTGGGGCTTCCCAGGGATTTTCAGACACTGCCTTGACATGATGTCACTAAGGGGTCCTTACCTAACTGAGTAGGGACCCCACAAGGGGACAAGAATGTCTCCCCCAGAACAAAGACAGTCTTTTCCCCTGAAGAGAGGAGGTCTGGTCCCCACCTCCTTTTATTCTCAGGTCTACCTGTGACCACATAAGCCACACTAATAGAATTCAAGCAATGGCTTCAATCCAGGTCCAGTCATTTCCCAAGACCTTGCCTTCACTCCCATCATCATTCACCGTGTGCTACATTTAGTGGGGCACTTGCTGCTGGTTTTTAATAATGGAATATATAATTCACATTATATTGAGAAAGATTTCTTCATTTTCTACTTCTCACAAGAAGCTTTAACACCAAAAGTCGGCGTGATGGTTTTAAAAGTAGGCCCACAGATTATCTGAAATGCCCTCCTGAAGGGTGGAAGGTGGAATTGAGTTCTCTTCCCTTGAGCGTGGCTGTTCATGATGAGCTTCTAACAATAGCACAGAGCAGAAGCGATGGTGGAGGTGAAAACCCGACTGGCACAGCTTATGAAAACGCTGCAGCGTCTATCTCGGGCAAGCTCTCTCACTCTCTCTCCAGGCCAGCTTCCTGACCACAGATGCTGTGAGATAGCAAATGTCTATTGTGTAAAGCTGCTAAGTTTTGGGATGATTCGTTATGAGCACTGATAACTAACACAGCTGTCAAACATGCATTTTGTGCTTGCATCTGTTTAAAAATACCACTTGTTTTTCTTTATGCTGTTAGTGTCATGAACTATTTCTTCACAGTTCCCACACTAAAACCTCCATGTCGCTGGATAGGCGTTACTTCCTCAAGGCCTTGCTTCCAGCCCGTGCTCTCCACCCTGCTCATCGTCCGCCGGGTCAGTGCGGGGCTTCACCAGCTGCACTGTGGGAAGGGACAGGCCACCTCTGACCACCGGCCTGCCTGGGATGCACTCACATACCACGGGAGGAGCCCATTGCACGGCGACGCCCAGCTGCTCCGGATGCAGGGGAGGACAGGCCAGTGAGGGCTGAGGGTAGCGAGGCTTCTGCTGCAAACCAGCTGTGCCGACTCAATCCCTCCACCCCCCGGCTAATCCCAGCTGCAGCTTCTCCCAGCCTCTAGCCATTCCTGTCACTGGCTACATGGCGGTACTGACTTGAATTTTCAATATCAGATGTTGCCCCCATTTTTACTCCAAAAGCTAAAGGTTCAGCCACCTTGCGCCATCTTCCCCTTCCCACACCACACTTTGCCTTCCCACCAGACCCGCACTGAGTTAGACCACAGCTGGGTTAACTCTGCACTCAATGTTTGCATTACTCTTTGCAAATATTCCCCATGGCTGCTTTTCTGACACAGATCTTCTTCCATGGTTAATCACTGCCTTGCTCTGTCTGCTTAATTTCTATGTACCTGTCGTGAGTGCATAGACTCAGAGCTTTGGCTCTCTGCTTGTTGCTCCTGGAGCTGTCCATGCCCCTGTTCTAGAGCTGCTGCCCCAGGACCTCCCGTCCTCCCAGGAATTCCTTCTGCCTTTGTCTGGGGAGAACGGAGCCCTGGTCCTCCACAGCCCCTGGTCTCTTGGCTTATCCTCCTTGAGCCTCCTGAGAAAGGGGCAAAGGAGGCAAATTGCCTACTTTATCAATTGCATGTTCATGCCCCTTCTCCCTTCATTCCGCTGGATTTTTACCATTTTATCTGGTGGGCGTGAGGACGCCCATCAGACGCTAATGCATGCAGGCTTTTAAATTTGTAATTTTATATTAGTTTGAATGTACATTGGAAACCCCTTATTGTTTCCCTTTCAGCTTCTTTATGAGGTTTTTTTTTTTTTTACCTTACTGACTTAAAAAATGCAATCAACTTGGTGTTTTTTAAAAATACTTTCTGGCCTTGTTAGGCTAAGAAGGGACTTTCCCTCCTCAACATAATATTACACAGCAGTACTCCATGAGTTTTTTAAATGTATGACCCTTTTACCTATTTAAAAGTAGTTTTTGTGAGGCTGCAAAACATCTAGTTTGCTTCTTTGGCCGTGAAATATAGTCAACAAACACATGAGAATATTATCATCTCACTGAAGAATTAAAAATTCAAATGGAAATAGTGAGCAGGCATTTTCTGCTTCCCAGAGCGCCCTGTGTGACAGAGGTTGGCATCGCCTGATGACGGCTGGGCGAGGGGCTATGCCTGCCTGTGTGTCATGGATGGAAACACACAGGGCACCGCTGACAGGGAGAGGCATGAGGACGCCCATCGGACGCTAATTCATGCAGGCTTCTGGCCCAGCAGTGCCACTGTGAGAACTTATTCTCCAGAAGCACTCATACAAGAATACAAACATGCTCACTGCAGCATTATTTTTAAATCCTAAATAACTAGAACCAAAGTAGTGTCCATCAAAATGAAGTTGGTTAAGTAAACCAGTGCACATCCATTATTTATTACAGCCTTCACAATAAATGGAAAACTGTGGTGTGTGTGTGTGTGTGTGTGTGTGTGTGTGGAGTGAGAGAGAAAGGAAGTTGTATCTATATTGATCAACAGAGACTATTCTCCAAGATAATTTCTGTGCACCAATGCAAACAGTAAGTGACAGAATAGTGTAAGTCATATAATTCCATTCTCAAAAAAAAATGTAGAGTTTGCAAGGAAATACACCAAACTCCTCTCTGGAAGGTGAAATTTCAGTTGATTCTTTTTTCCATTTTTTCTTGCTCTTTCTGAATTTGTGACTTTCTAAAAGTTACAGTGAACAAAGATCATTTAAAACATAAAAACAATAAAGCAATTTTTCAAAGGAGCTATTAAATTGTAAACCAGAATAACAAGAGACCCATAGACACCAAATAAGAAGGTTTCCCCTGGCAGCTGGGAAAACGCCAGCTGGGACTGGCTCTGCGGGGGCCACACTCCCTCCACCTCACCCTTGCAGAGGGAGCTGGCTCTGGTCCCTCCATCTCTCGGGCTGCTGCTGTGGTTTTGGGCGTCTGAGAACAGAGGCTGGGGGTGAAGCCCCAGTATCCCCTTGGCATTCACTTCACACCTGCTCCACACTGGACAATGTCTGTCCACACCATTGGCCATGCCCTTTTCCCTCACTAGGGCCTCTGGGAGGAGCCCAGCTCCGGAGATGACCAAGACCTGAGCCTGGACTCTGGGAAGGGAAGGGTCACAGGATGGCACCATCCCCAGGGTGCAGTAAAGTTCCCAGGGTGCAGTGGGGGTGCAGGGTGGTCATTGGCCTGAGCTGGAATCTGGAAGGCTTCCTGGAGGAGGTGGCAGCTGAGACTTGGAGGAAGGGCAGGAGTGCGGGCAGGTGGAGAGGCAGGTGGTGTTGAGCAGAGACCATGCTGAGAACCGCCAGGTAAGCTGTCATATGTGAATATTCACTGAGCCCCCGCTCTGCACAGGGCTAGTGCAAAATGCTGGGCATTACAAGGGGCCAGGAAGAGACTCCCTCTGCCTGCACAGGACTCTGTGTTAACAAGAGAGAAGGGCTGGATGCCCAGCCCCTTGGGTGTCCCATGTGGTCTGCAGCATGTGGGGAATGTCCATCAGGGCACAAGAAGGCCTGAGGCACACAGCAGATGCGTGCGGGTGTTGGCATGGCCTCTGCGAAGGTGGTCAGCCATCCAGGACAGCTGTCGGTTTCTGCTTTGAGCCTGTGTGGACCAGAAGGAGAAAGGAAGTATTGGAGGGAAGGAGCGTAGAGGGGAGGGGAGAGCCAGAGAAATGTGTTGGGGAATCTCATTAATTCCAGCATGCCCTGCTGTTAATTACATAGAAATTAAATTGGCAATAATTCAAGCAGAAAGCTTTCATGTGACGTCACTCCACATTCCTCGCTGAAGCGCCGACTTGCTCTAATTAGCACAAGGATTCCCGGTCCTTTGTCATCTCTGGTACCCAGCTCCTTGCTTGGGCCTGGCCTGTGTCTCGACTTTCTTCCCCCAGGCTCACTCATCCATCAAAATGAAGTCAGTGACTTGCATCTTTAGAGTCCAAGCTTGGAAACCTCCGAACTTGGAGGAATGGAATCCAAGCTGGGGAGAAGGTGGGAAGTGAACCTACCTCTTGTTGGGGGCCGTGACTGAGAGGGCAGGGAAGCAGAGGGCTGAGGGACTCCTAGGAGCCGGAGCTGCTCTGCTCTGTGGACCCGCCTGGGTCCTGAGATCAGGGGCCACGTCACAGGCGACTTCCAGTGCAGCTGAAGTGTGTAGGTGCCACACCCTCCACATGGTGCCCAGCCAGGGCTTCTGGAATGGGAGGGGCCCTGAGCTCCGGTCAGCAGGGCCAGTGGTCACCCGGCCCGCCATTTTCCCAGCACAGCCAGCTCACGGGCCTGCTTCTGCCCCTTCCAGTGCCTTTCTTGGGGAGGAAATAGCAGGGGATTATCCAAAACCCCGACTCCCCCTGGTAATGCTGGTAATTCTCCTTCCCTCTCAGCATTTCCCTTTGATGCTCTAAAAGCTGAACCTCCAATTTTACCTGGTTGGCTCCTCTTCCAACTGCCTATGTAATGTGATTGTCCCTAATGGAACCAGCCTTGAATAATTGAACAGAGCTGGAACAGGGGCCGTGGAAGTTGTGACTGCCTTCACTCCTATATTTAGTGCAAAGGGGAAACCGAGTTCACGCGTGGTCAGGGCTCTGTCATGCCCGAAGCTCAGGACACTCTCGGACTCTGGTCTGGGGCCGGGTTGAATAGAGGCCCTGTGCTCTGTGCCTCTGGGCTTGGCCCCATCCTCACCCCATGCTCCCCTGAGCGTGTCCTGCTGTACTGGGCCTCAAGGGTCGGCTGTGTGATGGCAGGGTCCTGGCTCCATCTGTCCCGGCTCTGCCTCCTGAGTCCTCGGCACTTCTCAAGGGGTGCTCCCTCTCCCCCACCCTCAGGGCCAAGGCTGCCAGTCTCAGCTCCCAAATCCATCTGTTTCCCACCCCTTGTCACCACCCCCAACCCAAAGCCTCCCTGTCCTCATCCACACTTGCCGCCATCCTCCCCTCTGGCTTCTTCCTCTCCCGTCTGACTTTCTTGCATATACCAGCCGTGTTCCTCAACAGAAGCACAGACATTCCTCTGTCCTTCTCAGTGTTCCCCCAGGCTGTGCCATTTCCTGGAGCAAAACACACACTCCTGAGCATGATCTGTGATCCTGGCCCTTTTTGCAAAGCACAGGCTGCCCAGAGCCTGTGCCTATCAGCCTGGCTCCAAGGGCATCTCCTGACCTCCCTGGCAGGAGCCGCAGCATCCATGCCAAGGGGTGGGAGCAGGGCTAAGCAGCTACCAGGGATGTCAGCCCTGGCTCTAGCAGAGGATGAGGGAGCTCCTGCCTCCAGACTTCGGGTGGACGCTGTCCCTGAGAAAATGTCCCAAATGAAGTCGGCATCATGACCTCCTTCTTCAGAAGGAAGGAGCTTCATTGTTTGCAGCAACTACATACTCAGCTGTGTTTGTGTGAGGTGTGGGCTGAGAGTGAGGAGAGGGAAAGAAAGGGAGAGAGGGAAAGGGAGAGAGGGAAGGAGGGAGAGGGAAAAAGAGACTGACAGCCCCCAGGAAGCCTGTGACTAGAAGCTGTTTCAGCCAAAGGCCAACCTTCTCTTCCCTGTGAGCAACACTTTCACAGCATCTCTGGTTCTGCAAACCCAAAGGGAAAATCCCGAGCAGTGACTAAAACTGCTGTCATCACCACAGGCCATGCCCACACCTGCCCCGCCCCTCCCAGGAGGACCAGCTGCTGGCAGAGCTGCACAGGGTCAGAGCCCAGGCCAGCTTCTGTGTGAGTCTGTGGTGCGCCCTGGGCACAGAGGGATGGGCAGTGGCTGGGGAAGACAGCTCAAGTGTCAGAGCTACTCAGCTGCAGACTTCCTTCCCACCTGCTGGGGATTCTTTCAGGAATTGTTCTGGGGAAAAAAAAACAAAACAACAACAACAAAAAAAACCACTTTCTAACCAAGAGGAGCTTTCCTGGCAGTTCTTAAAATAAAAATGTTTGCCCTTATAGGGGGATGAGTTTACCATCAAGAATGAAGACTCTCCAGCTTGCATCTAAACACGTGAATACAACAATATGGTTGTTTAGAACAAAGCCATTCAGAGGGGCCCTGGTAGACTGATGTTCACATTCACAGCAGGCAAATGCAAATGGCCCTCCACTACTGAGGAGAAAAGGCAGGGCCATGATATGAATTTCAGGCTGATTTGCATTGAAAGAAAAAAAGAAGCATTCGACCTAAAGAGATCACTTTCTAATGATCAGGGTCACAATCCACTTCAAAGCTATTACTCACAAACAAAATATGGCAAATAAATGACATTAAGCTACGTAAACAGCTGGAAACTCTACAAAGAAAAATCCACAAAAATCCAATAAGAGTGGAAGACATCTCTCAATCCTTAACAGATCAAGTAGATTACAAAATGATTAAGAATTTAGAATATGAGCAAAATTAAATTAATGAGAAGTTTAAACATCTAAGTATGTATCCTGCATACAGAAAATACACTCATTTAAATACCCAGGAAATATTTACAAACATACACCACGTACTGGACCTGTGAGGTCTAAACATTTTTTATCATGGGCCCTCAATATGGATACCTATTAATTTTACTTATAAATTATCATTCACAATATATGATATGGATATATAATATCTCATGTCCATTATAAAACATATGCAATGCTTGACATTTGAAAAGCTGTGATAACAGCGTGCATACACAGAAGCTTTATCTTTTCTCCCTCTGGTAGATTGATGTGTGCACCTGCTGGAAGGCACACCTTACTTAAAATACATAAAACACTATTTTTTTGCAGCCAGAATAATACTCTACTAAAATCTGTCAAGCACATTACAAAAAAGAAAAACCTGCAGATTTTCGATATAAACATCTTAAGCAAAATATTATCAAGTAAAATTTATTAGTAATTGAAAAACAAAATCCCTGAGTCATTCACTCTAAGAATGCAAGGATGGTTCAATGTTCAGAAATCTATTAATTTCACATATTAATAGGTAAAAGGAGAAAAGCATGTGTTCATGCAGCACTTTTGACAATAGTGGAAAATTGGATATGGACCAAGTACCCATCAAAGTTACAGAAGATGAATAAATGATAGGCCATCCTCATGATGACCTGCTGTGCAGCTATTTAAAAGAATTAGGCCGGGCGCGGTGGCTCACGCCTGTAATCCCAGCACTTTGGGAGGCCGAGGCGGGCGGATCACGAGGTCAGGAGATCGAGACCATCCTGGCTAACACGGTGAAACCCCGTCTCTACTAAAAATACAAAAAAATTAGCCAGGCGTGGTAGCGGGCGCCTGTAGTCCCAGCTACTCGGGAGGCTGAGGCAGGAGAATGGCGTGAACCCGGGAGGCGGAGCTTGCAGTGAGCCGAGATCGCGCCACTGCACTCCAGCCTGGGCGACAGAGCGAGACTCCGTCTCAAAAAAAAAAAAAAAAAAAAAAAAAAGAATTAAAGAGAGCTAGATGTCCTGCATCGAAAGAATTTCAGCATTAATTATTAACTGAAAACAAAAAGCAGAAAAGCAGCATATTAATATATAAATACATGAGCCATAGGATAAAACACTGTATTTATATCTAAATATGATGTATAATTTATATATAAATTGTATATGCATAATTCACAAACAATTGATACGTAATATAAGATATAATTTACATCCATAATTTATATGCATATGTGTGTTTTTCCCCCATGTAGTACAGGCCTCAGCAGCCTGGGCACACAGCAGAAAGCCACTCTTACTGTTCTACCCAAATGATGCCCCAAGCCCTCACCCAGCCCCCATCCCAGAAAGCTGCCTCTCCAGAGACCTCAGGCTGCTTGGAGGCTCTGCCCCACCCTGGCAGCCTGGTGTGCTGGCCGCTGGGCAGGGCAACATTCTCCCAGGGAGGGTCTCTGTTCTCCTCTTGCTCAGCAGTCAGTCCTGTGGTCTCTGCACCTGGCCCAAGGGCGGCCTCACTGCAGAGCACAGTTCAGGGCCCATCTCACCTGGACAGGCAACCCACACCCCTCCCTGGTTCCACTGGGACGGGAACCCTCCTGGAGGCAGGAGGCTTGTCTATTGTTTGAAGGGTGCTTGTGGGCCCCTCAGGTGTGTGGGTGCTCAGGTGCACCCTGGGCCCTTGTGCGTGTAAGCAGTGACACCCTGCCTTTCTGGTCCCATGCTAGACCCACAGGAGTTCCATGCTAGACCCACAGAGTGTCGTTACACTCTGAGCACCAACTTGCACACAAAGACCTCCCTCCTCCCTCCATCCAAAAGGCCTCTTCTTTTCTGTTGCTAAAATTGATCGTCACACTGGACAGCCAGCCATGGGTGCTCTCAACCCCTTTCTAAGGGGAGTCCTCCTGAGCCCCACCCCATGTGGGCTCTCTTCTGGGGGTCACTGCTGGGAGTCAGGACCTTGCTCTGCGGAGGATGGAGGCTGCTGGCAACCTTCTACCTAATAAAGAAGTCCAGAACAGGGCTCCTGGCAGGGAGAGAGGAGAGGTCCCAGCAGGCCCATGGTTTTCATAGTCCAGGGTCTGGTATTTAGAGAAAGGAAGAAGTACTGGATAGGGCCACCAACAGGGGCCCCAGAACATTTTACCCCTGTAAGGGCAGGGACAATTTGGGGAAAGTGACCTAGAAATGAATCTTTGATCAGGCCCACAGTCCTCACCCTCACCTTGGCCCCGGGCATTCGCCTTCCAAGTGTGCTGTCTTGAGCCCCTGTGGCTGTCTTGGTGCTAACTTCCTGGCCCAGAGGTTTCTGCAGGCCTTTTTTGGAGGAGCTACTTCTGCGCTCACAGTGTCTCCTTTGCCTCCACAGGGGTCGTGGCTGTGAGCCCGACTCCAGCCCCCATGTGCCTCCTGGGCTCCGCACATGCCTGCCCTGGCTGGACACACCCAGCACCGCTGCTGGTAGGCTGCTGCCACCTGGGCCCTTGCGTGGCAGGAAGTGAGGGAGGCTCCATGGCATCCTCAGCCCAGAGACACCAGGGCCTCCGATGGACTCAGCATCCTGGCTGCCTCCACCCCAATTCACCTCAATCAGAAGGCTAAAGAGGCAGTGGGGCACCTGCCTGCCTGGCAGAGCTGAGGCTCTGAGCAGCCCGAGGAGAGAGGGAGGCCCAAGGCCTCAGCAGGGCCCAAAAGGCCAGAGGGCGCCTTGGCCAGCGGCAGGAGGAGTCGCTGGGGAAGCAGCTCTTGCTCTGGGCAGGCACTGCAAACACCCCGTAAATGCCACTTAAGATCTGAATCATCACTATGCAGCCTCGAAAGCCTGACATCCATCATTCTGCCGGCCAGTCCTCCCTGAAGGCAGAATGACCATGCTTAGAATATGACTGCCTTTCATCTGAATTATGCCCCAACAAGGATTACAAATGGCTTCCTGGAACAAGAGAGACCATTCAACCCAGGACATTGGTCCTCACTGCACAGGTGGAGCAAACCCCCGTCCTCTGGGTGCTCCTGGCTGCAGGCTGGCTCTCTTGATCACCTCCATGGACTGAGGATGTCAGGAGCTGTTGGGACGTGTTGTGAATGGTGATTTCTGTCCCACGTCACTCCAGTGGCCATGGTTTCTATTTCCTGTTTCTGTTTCACCTGGTTCCAATTCTTGCTATCTGAGGCAGTAGTTGAGGTGGCTGTCCCTCCTCTCCCGGGCAGGGAACCTGCTTAAGTGGCCTTCAAGGAAGTGTTGGAGTTCTCCTCCAGGTGTGCCCTGCCTCAGGGTGTCTGCACTGGCTTGGGCCCCAGCCAGCGTCCCTCGAGGCCTAAACCCGGGCCAGACTCCCACTGTGTGCCCGGGTGCAGTGGGAGGCTGGCTCAGCAGGGGCACTCTGCAGGTTTCCAGGGTCAGGTCACAGCTCTGTCCCTCAGCTCTGTCCCGGCCAGGAGTCTGACCTAAGTGCTGAGCAGAAGCCACAGCATTCTTGCTTAGTTGTCTTCTGTTCTATGCCAGGCACCCCCGGAGGTTGATCGGAAGGTGCTTCCCTTCTCTTCCCGAGCCTCACCTGCCAGAGTGCATGTCTCCCTTTGCGGGCCATGAAGGTGAGCGCTACCTACCTGTCCTCACAGGTGTGTCTTCCCCTCCATAGCACTTCTCACAGCTGCAGCAAGAGAGACAGTGATCAACAAATACCTTTTCAAATAAATATACGAAGAGTTTTGATAAATATACACCTGCTGTATCTGGAGAAAACACATCCGAAAACCTGCTCCTGAGGTGCTGTGCCCACAGTCTAAGCTTCCACCAGGACCCTCTGGGGCAGCTCTCCCCTGACCTTCTGGGGGGTTCTGCTGCTCCCACTTGTCCCCATGTCTATGCAGATTCTACCTTCCAGGCCCCCAGGCCTTGAGCAGACCTCCAAGTGGCCACAGCCCCGCCACCCCGCCCCTACTCAGTGCCTAGTGCAGCCTGTTTTAGCTCACCGACTGACTGGGCAAACCCTGCCCGTGTGTGTCTGTGCTCGGCAAAACCCGAGCTGACCCCGCGAGGGGCCTTGTGCCCCCATCCAACCACCCCTTCATGGCACCCAAACCTCTTCTGGTGCTGCTGCCCAGGATCCCGTCACAGCCCTCACTGCAGCCCCGCCCCAGCCCCGTTCTCTATGGAGGGCAGGGCTGGTGCACTGAGGTTCCCCTTTCCCTGCACTATGGGCCAGCCTGAGTCTCTGGATCCCAGGGCTGAGGGCAGAAGGCACAGGGGTGTGGGATACTAGGCAGGTACTAAGTGGGGCAGGGGATGACTGTACCTCTCGGTCTGTGCCCACTGACAGGCCTGATCTCCCAGGGACCTTTGTTGGCCGCAGCAGAAGACAGCTGTGTCCAGCATGCACCGGCTCACCTGGGGAGCCAGCCACGCCCCCAGATGGGGCCCCGTGGAACCCTATTGCCTGCTGAGGGGACCCTCAGCCCTCGTGGCAATGGCACAGAGCACAGGGGTGGGGGCAGTCTGCAGCGACCTTCTGAGGAAGAACAGACAGGTGAGGAAGCCGTGACTCTCGAGGCCTTGGCCCCAAGCAAAGTAGAAGGAAACTTCTGGCTGAAAAGGAAGGTTTATGCACGTGCCTGATGTTCAGTCTACACAGCGTCCCTGGGTGGAGATTGGAAACCCTTGCTGAATGCAGTGTGTGGCCCCACCCCTTGCAGGAATCTGCATTTCATGGACAGAGGGGTCCCCCCTTGAATTTCCAGTCTTAGCCAGTATTTTCTTCTCCATATCCTTGCATTGACCTTGGCATGACTTCTCGAAACTTTGTGTGAAGTGTCATTCTGCTTTTTCTCCTTGGCACAGGTGGGGCCAATAGCAGCAGCCCCTCCCATACGTTTGCAATGAGTGGGGGTGTGGGGTGGTTGGCTGGAGCAAGGGGCCAGCGACTCCTGGAACACTGAGTTGGCCTTTCCTCCCAGGTTCAAGGACGGCTCCACTACTACGCAGTGAGGGTCACTGGCCACAGGGGAGGAGGGCACAGTCAGGCGTGGTACCCAGGCCACAGAGGTGCCCTCGTCCTGGTTCTCCACCAAAGAGTTCAGGCCCCACTACAAAGCAGTGACTGTTCTGAAGATGAGAGACGAAGGGTTCCAAAGAGATGCAGAGAGGGGTGAGACCATGGTCCTGTGGGCCCAAGAATGCAGGGGACTCTGTCCTTAAAACTCCAGCAGGGGGTGTGGTGTGGGTCTCGCCTCTGCAGTGGTCTTCCCCACTGCCTGTTTTTCACCTTCTTTCCTGACTCAGGACCAGGCAAAGCCCTGGGGAGAGGAGAAAGGGGAGGAGCTGGTGCCTGTGCCCGGCTGTCAGGACACGAGAAGGGGCAGCAAGCAGGGCACCTGGCCCCAGCTCTGAGCAAGTTGTCCCCCCGCAAGCTGCCCAGGGGTGACGTGCACCTCCAGACAGGCTGACAGCTGTACTTGCACCTCCGGATAGGCTGACGGCCCTATGCCCTAGGTTCCAGAGTGTGGCAGAGATGGCTGGGTTGATTTTCCTGGAAGCGTTTCTGCTGACCCTGCTGAAATGGACAGGTGGAGTATGTTCAGCAGGCAGCCGCCCACCTCCCTCCCCAGGGCAGTAAGGCCAGGGCTGGGGAGGAGAGTCTTCCAGAAAGTCACGCGCGGCTGCACCCAGCCCAGGATGTGGCTGTGCCCTGCCGGGGGGGCTTCTCTGCAGGGCCCAGTTGGCTCTCCAGGGACCTTAGGTTCTGGAAAACAAGAGGGTCTCATGGGGTTCTGGAAAACAAGAGGTGGCTGGTGTGGATGGGGATGTCCTCCTGAGGCCCCACAGGAATAGCCCCCGGGTCACAGTGGGAAAAAGTAAGTCCCTCCCAAAGTGGCCACCCCAGGCAGCCTGGCCTGCCTCCTGGAGTGCCTTGGGTCAGGGGTCAACAAGCTGCTGCATCCCGAGAGCCAAACCTGGGCCCCCGTTTCTTGAGTATCTGCTTGAATGACCCTCCCCTTCCCTGCTCATCCCTGGGCCCAGGAGAAGCTTCATCATAGGCGGTTAAACTGCACCTGTGCTCGGTACTGAGCCACTCTCCAAGCCACACCTGCCTGGCCAGGGCCTGGAGCCTCAGCCAGCAGCCTCAGGCCCCAGTGTCAGGACCTCCCTTGGTCCTGCAGGGAGGCTGGGCCTTTCCTGGGGTGGGCCGCCCCTGAGGCGGGGGCTCCCATCCACCACAACCTGCACTTGGAAGCTCCAGAGGGGCAGCCACAGGGAAGCCGTGGGGTCTCTGCCCTTGGCTCCTGGACGATTCCGGATCTCCAGGCCAATGTGTCCAGCACGGCAGCCTCCCCACCCAGCCCCATGCCCTCGAGAGAATGACCTCGGATAAGCAGCGTTTCTCAGGGAAACCCCCAGGACACCCCCTGCTCTCCGAAGTTCTAGTCTTTCCCTTCACTCAGAGTAATGGATGTGTGTTTTCCTTAACAATTCCATTATTAAAAGAAGTTGTTCAGGGATCTCGCCCCAGAACAAAGCAAGCCCTCAGTGGGCCGTAGGGTAGCCTGCTGTCTCCCCCGGACAGGTGCACCGGAGCTCAGGGTGGACAAGGCTGGCTTGGTCACCAGGCCCAGGGGAGACGGTCAGCACCCTCTTAGCCGCACAGGAGGGGGGTAGGGAGAACGCTCCAACCTTACTCCCAGTCAACTGGAATCACCTGGCATGATTTCAGCTCACAGATTTAAAAAAACTGCCTGTGAGAATATTGTCCCTGTGTGAGGGGAGGGTCTTGCTATTCCTGGACCCAGTGTGTCCAAGGGAGGGAGAGTTGGGCCTCTGTCCCCCTGGGGTCCCCAGCTGCTAGGCAGCTGCACCTGGGATCCTGCCCACCAGGGAGTAGGAGGCTGCTCCCAGCTCTGTCTCCAGATCTGGGTCTAGTGCTGTGTCCGAGCCCTCTGCTCCCATAAGCCAAGGCCTATGGGGACTGGCCTAGGGTGAAGGAGCCTTAGTCCTTGAAATACCAGACCTCATTTTGAAACATGTGAAGGAGCTGCAGCAGAGAGCACTGGCTTGCGTCCCGGGAGGCGGCTGTACGTGGCCAGCATGCCTCACAGGAGGTAATGGCTGGTGTCACTGGCGTGGCTTAATGACAGAAGTCTGAGGTTTTACAGGACAAAAGGAATTGGGGTTCGTGCATCCAGATGTTTCCCCAACACATGCAGGGACTGTCAAGACCAGGAAGGGGGGACACAGAGAGCAGCAAAGGGGTCACTGGGAGTGGTAAAGGGGCCACTGGGGGTGGTTCTTCAGCCAGGCCCAGCCCCTCCAAGCCCCCCCAGCCCCTCTGAGCCTCTCCGGGGGGATCCTGGGGGCTCCTCTCCAGGCCACTGGATTTCCCAGCACCTGGCCCCATGGAGCCCGGGGCATGGTAAACCCGCTACACAGACCTGCCTGCAGCAGGGGCACCTGGGCTGCCTGCTTCTGACCTTGATGTGATTTGTTTCGATCAGCTGGTTGTTCACCATGCTGAGTCTGACTGAGCAGTCGGGAGGGCACAGAATTCCGCTTGGATAGTGATCAAGACGTAGCACAGGGCGCTCACTGTGTAAAAATGAATGCACCCCTCACAGGCTGCTTGCTGTGTAGACAGGAATACACCGCTCACGTGGGCGTTCACCAGTGCTGTGAGAGAGCAGGCAAGCACAGGATCCCGGGCCAGGCCACACGACCAGCTCCTTGAACGAACAGCCACTTCCCAGTCTTTCAACAGATAAGAACCCAGACATGACCTCTGGGGTACTGACCAGGGTATCCCTCAGAGCGGCCTGGCGCGGGCCTGCCATGCACGGAGGTGCTGTCTGCCTCTCATTAGCATTCAGTGAGTCCAGCTCCTGCTCTCCTCATCAGCATTCCAGCCATGCTGGCCAGCTCGGCCTGAGAGCAGGAGCCTGCCTGGAGATGTCCCCTCTCACCCAGCCTGAAGGCACTGCCTGCCCTTGCCTCGGGACACAGCCGCAGCTGGCTCCCATCTGCAGGGATGCTGGTGACCACCTAAAAGGAAGAGGCTGAGGCATAAAATGTAGCTGAAAGATTGACTTGAGCTGAGGTGAGGGCAGCTGCCTGGAAGACTCGGACTGAAGCAGCTTGGATAGGAGCCCTATTCGGCCTTTATTACAGGCAGGTTTTTAAAGACGAAAAAGGGGGACAGAGAGTTGTTTGTTGGGAATTCCCATTGGCTTACGGAAACCACATTGGTGAGTGATTGGCTATCCACTGTTCAGCTACAGGGCATGAGTTACAGCGTCCAGTGTGGCATTACTAGGTTACTTTACAGCTGCTGCAGCGGTCACAAGCAGCTTCAAGAGGTGGACACACAGCTCAAAGCGGGAGAGGATGTGACTGCTGTCTCATCTTAACGTCTTTCTGGGACTGACAGTGTCAAAAGACTACATTCCTTGGATAAAAGCTTTTTTCCTTTTCTCACTAGGCAGAGAGAGGCTGGCTGACCCCTGGCTGTGGCCTCCTGACTAGATACAGATGCGGAGCCCATGGTGGATCTGAGCCGGGACGGGCCTGGAGCTTCAAGCACGTCCTTGGGGAGGAACTC
This sequence comes from Homo sapiens, assembly GCF_000001405.40. Taxonomy (NCBI): domain Eukaryota; kingdom Metazoa; phylum Chordata; class Mammalia; order Primates; family Hominidae; genus Homo; species Homo sapiens. The sequence goes on from NC_000002.12 coordinate 240,214,910, forward strand.
CAGGGTGCCCCCGGATATGAGAGAGGGCACTGCAGGGTCCTCGGAGGCCATGCAGCCCAGATCTGGCCTCACAGTCCACCAGCTGACTCGGGCACCTTCACTGCCTGACAAGATGGCTCCCAGCTTGCTTGCCGCCTCTGGCCGGGTCTCCAAGCACCAAGCTGGGGAAGCCGGGTTGCTGCTGGACTGTGAGCTCGGACAGTTAACCTGAACACGTGTTTCACAGCTGTGGCCCAGGAAACCATGGCCTCTGTCTGGTCTGGTTTGCAGCCGCTTCGGGCCCTGGGTGTGGGCCGGGCGCCCAGTTCATGCACAGCTGTGCAGCAGGTGGAAGGCCTGGTGGGAGCGTCAGTGTCTGGTACCCTGGTTCCCCGCAGACTCTTTCCAACTCAGTGTGCCGCCTTCCTGCGGGTCAGGACCCATGACTCTTGGAGAAAAGACCAACCCTCCCCCGGCAAGGCCTGGCAATCAGGCAGGCCAGGTCTCCCTCTGGGCTCCCATCCCGCAGGCTCTGGCCCTGCCCCTGGTCACTGCACCAGCCCATCCTTCGGCCTAGTCCCCTTCCCTCCTCCTAAGGACCAGGGCCCAGAATCCTGCCCCAGACCCTAAGCAGCTGCTCCTTCCCTTCCAGGACCACCCCAGTCCCCCACCATTATGTAACCCCTGAGTGTCCAGACGGAGCCCTGGTGGTCGAGTGCAGGTTCCAGAGTGTGATGTGGGTGCATCATTGTCAGAACCCCCAGTTCCCCTGCCTGAAAAACCAGGTGACAGTGATGCCACTCATGGCTATCAGCAAAGTAGCATGTCACGGCCTTGAGCCATCCCTGCCAGCTTCGATGGGAACATGGTCAGGGAATGGAGCCTGGCTGGGGCCTCCCTGGCCCTCGAGGAGAGGTCTTGGTTCTGGTCCGGAGCCCTTTGCTGGGGCAG